>NC_000003.12:155826786-156129816 GCF_000001405.40 Homo sapiens
ATTACTTATAAAAACCCCACTCTAAAATTCAACCTATGTTATAAAATTAACAAAATCAGGAGTTAGTACACATTTTTCCACAATGATAAAATTAAGACTCATAATGTACTATCTTGTTTCGTCTAACTTTTGGAGGATTTATATAATCTCTAAAGAGTCAGAGTAATACATAACACAAAACATGCAAAGAACCTTATCACTGGGTGTATGTAATACGCTGGGAATTGCTAAAGTACTCAAAAGCTTAATTTTCTTGGAATAGCAACTGTCCACTGAAAACTATAGTATTCAAACAAAAGGTTATGTGTTAATACATGAAAATACAGTACCTGATTTGGCATAAATTGTGAGATCTTTTTCACTAGTAAAGTGCTTAATTAAGAAACATTTTTCCACTATTAGATTTAATTTGTCAAAGGCACAAAATATCTTTGTCTCTCTCTTTAAAGTATTAGTTTTTTAAATTATGGTACTGCCCATTTAAATTTTACTTAATCAGAAAGCTTTACTGTTTTTTTCTCTCAGCAATTAAAAAAAAACTACTTGAAGAAAAACATTTAATTTTTATTTTCAAAATGTTGCCATAAACATACATACAACACTGAATTTGATCCCCTCCATTGGCTGTCTGTGTGCCAGGAAGCACTTGTGACAGAAAACATATATAAGCTTAGGGTAAAAGTTTATAAGGAATCAAAATATCTTCCAAAAAGAGGGGGTAGGGGCAAGAGGAATCAATAAGTTTAAAAATCATAACTTTCATTTTATAAAAAATAGTTTGAATAATTTTCTTATAAATCTTTAATGCTTACAAAAGCAGGAAATACATTTAAAATAGTCTTTTTAACACAGATTCATTTGTACAATGTGGTCATAAGAAAAATAACTAAAATGACATTTCAGTAGTCTATATTCTTTTCTCAGCAAATTCCACATAAAATTTAACTAATTTACAATTCAAAATAAGATTTTAACTGCCAACAATGTCAGACTAGTTGTGGTTAGTACCTGAATATCAAGCTCTTCTCCATTTTATATATTGTACCAAAATTTTAAATACAGCTCAGCAGTGATAGGTACTAATAACAATACCTGACTACATGGTTACCACCCGTGACTACTGCATTGCAGCTTAAAACATGCTTTGGTCAGTAAATTTAAAAGATATACATCAAATAACAAGGCCAGAAAAGTTGTTTTAGAATTTCCTGACCTTAAGTAAACTTTAAATACATTGACAAGGCAAAAAAAAAATATGATCAAATATACAGAAAGGTTTCTATTTTTTCAACCATTTGGCATTTTATATTATTAATTTCGCTGTTTAAAATAATATTTTATACTCCTGTGCACTGATTATCATTGCTCTCCGAATTAAAACTAAACTACAATTACCTTGCTAGAATGTCCAGTAGCATATATATTAATTGTTCCTTTTGCATTTCCACGAAGATGATCCTTCATCCTGTAACTTTTTAAATTTTGGACCAAGAAAGAACCACCAACCAAATCCAATGAAAACACAAATAATGGACTCCACATAATAACCATCCAGGGCTGTAACACATGAGCCACCCAGTTTTTTGCAAAGCTGTAAAAATAAAACTATAATAAATACTCCACAATTTCAAAATGAAAGTATTTAGCAATTAACATGCTTCTACTTTATAAAGAATAAAAATATATTTTTCTTAAAACATTTCAGTATTTCACTGAATTCCAATGACAAAATATGTTAATGTATCTTAATCTCTCTAATGCTACTAACAGGATTAAAAACAATTTTCAGTTCTTGCTGTAAACAATACTCATTTTCTTTTTTGAGACACGGTCTCACTTGTGGCCCCGGCTGAAATGCAGTGGTGTGATAATGGCTCACTGCGGTCTCTGGCTCCTGGGCTCAAGCAATCCTCCCACCTCAGCCTTGTGAGTAGATAAGACCACAGGCGTGCACCACCATGCCCCATTAATTTCTACATTTTTTGTAGAGATGGTGCTTCACCATGTGGCCCAGGGTGGTCTTGAACTCCTGGGCTCAAGCAATCTGCCTGCTTCAGCCTCTCAAAATGCTGGAATTACGGGTGTGAGCCACCATACCCAGCCGAATATGTTTTTTTTTTTTTTTTTTTTTTAAGAGACGGAGTCTTGTTCTGTCGCCCAGGCTGGAGTACAGGGGCGCGATCTCAGCTCACTGCAACCTCCGCCTCCCAGTTCTAGCAATTCTCCTGTCTCAGCCTCCTGAGTAGTTGGGACTACAGGCACACACCACCCCGCCCGGCTAATTTTTTGTATTTTAGTAGAGATGGGGTTTCACCGTGTTGCCCAGGCTGGTGTCAAACTCCTGAGCTCAGGCAATCCACCCGCCTTAGCCTCCCAAAGTGCTAAGAATACAGGCGTGAGCCACTGCACCTGGCCCGATTATCTATTTTCACGATGCAGCTTTCACATTCGGAAATGTGAAGAAATTTCCAGTCCATCTACTCTAGAAGTAGACAAATACCACTTTGAAAGAATTTATCAACAAACCACTCACTATACAGGTTTAGTTATCACTGTTATAGGAATAGCCAATGGACATTCCCTTTTTCTATCACTACAAAACTTAAGCTATTAATTATGCATTTATATAGTGCCTGCTGTGTAGGACAGTGATCGTCAAGGTGGGGGAAAGAGAGATCGCCTCTCCTTTACTGAGAAACGCCTTTAAGGGAACTAGTCTTGCTGATTTGAATGATTATAACCCTCAGCCTTGATGTGAAAGAAAATATATATGTAGATTTCTAAACCAGAACCTATGGACAGATATGATTTTTAAAAAAGATATAGTACTTCTAGAGACAAAACAAAGATATTAATATCTTAGTATTAGCTTAATGTTATCTAAAATTAAAACATACTTACCTCAACAGCATCAGGTGTTCGACAATTCTGGTTTGATGCTCCTACACACTCTTTTACTGTGAGGGGATCTACAAGCCAAAGAGCTACTGTAGAAGGCCAGTTTCCTCCCAGATTGGACACGGTATTTAAAAGGGTCATGTATGTTCCTCCAATAAGTGGATCACTAACCTTTGCATTGAAAGCCATTATAGAAACATACATGCTGTACACTGTAACCTACGGAAAAATGTAAAACATCTTTAGTATGATTATAAAGCTTATAAAGCTACAGTCTAAATTAAGAACATCAAAGTCATAAACCTGAAATTAATTTTCATGGTATTTATTGAACTCAATTCAACAAATACTTATCAAGCACCTACTATAGGCCAGGCTTTAAGATCACAGCAATACAGGCCGGGCGCGGTGGCTCATGCCTGTAATTCCAGCACTTTGGGAGGCCAAGGCGGGCGGATCACAAGGTCAGGAGATCGAGACCATCCTGGCTAACACGGTGAAACCCTGTCTCTACTGAAAAATACAAAAAAAAAAAAAAAATAGCCGGATGTGGTGGCAGGCGCCTGTAGTCCCAGCTACTTGGGAGGCTGAGGCAGGAGAATGGCGTGAACCCGGGAGGCGGAGCTTGCAGTGAGCTGAGATCGCACCACTGCACTCCAGCCTGGGCGACAGAGGGAGACTCAGTCTCAAAAAAAATAAATAAATAAAAATAAATAAATAAAAAAAAAGATCCCAGCAATACAAAGATGTGACCTTGGTCCTTCTGTGACATTGAAGAATTTATTCTAGGCTGGAAAATGGGGAATAAATAATTATAAATACAGGAAGTACTGTAAATAGAAGTGCACACATTGTGTTACTGGGGCATAAAGATAAATGAGAGATTAATTCTACCACAAGTAGTCAAGAAAGACTCCACGGAGAAAATGTTAGATGAGGTGGCACTAAAGGATACATAATGCATACAGCAAAATGCAAAACCTCATATTTGTACTGTACCTAAATATGTATCATATATTGCATGTGTATATATACATATTTATATGTATGCATTTATTACATATATAAATACTCAAATATTTAAAGAAATAGGAATATATATATTTTTCTCCTACATATACACAAGAAAAGTATTTCAAAATTTATGTGACAAACTGGAGAAAAACATCCTTAAGAGGCAAAAAGTACTTAAAAGGCAAGAATTAACCTTTAATTTAGAAAGATGGAAACAAACTGTGTTTCAATAATGGTATTCCTTTGAATAGTGTTTTTGGGGGTGTTCACAGAAAAAGGAGTTCCAAAGTCAAATAAGACTGAAAGACACTAACTTACACAAAATTGAAAAGGTTCCTTTCATTGTATGCCTTTTGAAATATTTACAACATACACTCCTTGAGGGCAGGGATTTGGGCATGATTTATTAAGTTATATTTCAGTACTCAGAATGGTTTCTGGCAGGGAATAGGTGTTCACTTAATATTTGTTGAAGAAGCTGGGTGCGGTGGCTCACACCTATAATCCCAGCACTTTGGAAGGCCGAGGTGGGCGGATCACCTGAGGTCAGGAGTTCAAGACCAGCCTGGCCAATGTGGTAAAACCCGTCTCTACTAAAAATACAAAAATCAGCTGGGTGAGGTGGTGCTCATCTGTAATCCCAGCTACTTGGGAGGCAGAAGCAGGAGAATCACTTGAACCCGGGAGGTGGAGGTATCACAGTGAGCCGAGATTGTGCCACTGCACTCCAGCCTGGGCAACAGAGTGAGACTCTGTCTCAAAAAAAAAAAAAAAAAAAAAAAAAAAAAAAAAATTTGTTGAAGGAATCATTAAGGCACTACTTACAGAAGGCTTATGTCATACATCATTTCTCGAATTTATTTGGTCTTGTACCTTTTTTCCCCCATAAAGCATCTGGTTATCTGAGTTTCAGTGATTACACTTCAGGAAATTCTCAAATGAAATCCAAAGCTAAATAAATACTTTTTTTGGGCTATAACATACCGACAGAAATACTGAAGCATTGACTAGTTAAAGTATTTCTTTAACCTTCTATTACATATCTAGCCTTAACTAAGCATGTGCAAAACAGAAAAAAAAATTATATTTGACAGTTTGGCCTCAATAATTTTATAAGCATAGAATTTAGTCTGACAGGATCCACTACAGATTTCTCCTAAATGATTTACTGTATGCACAAAACTACTGAGATTACCTGGTAGTCATATTTTTACGTTTCAGTTAAAAATTAATTCATACATTAGCAAATATAACTTTCAAAGGATATAAGCTAGAAAAATCCAAAGTGACTCAGAAATATGCATTAGCAATAACTGCAGTTAAGTCCCAAAGGTTACTTCTGGGCCTTTGCCATTTACTTGAATCACTTGCATCCAGAACAAAAAAATCTCATTCTGGGCCAGGCGCGGTGGCTCATGCCTGTAATCCCAGCACTCTGGGAGGCTGAGGCGGGTGGATCACCTGAGGTTGGGAGTTCTAGACCAGCCTAACCAACATGGAGAAACCCCGTCTCTACTAAAAAAATACAAAATGAGCCGGGCATGGTGGTACATGCCTGTAATCCCAGCTACTTGGAGGCTGAGGCAGGAGAATTGCTTGAACCCTGGAGGCGGAGGTTGCGGTGACCTGAGATCGTGCCATTGCACTCCAGCCTGGGCAACAAGAACAAAACTCTGTCTCAAAAAAAAAAAATCTCATTCTGCAACAGCAGCTTAGGCTAGAGCAAAGTGGGGATTCCTTCTTTTAAGGATTACAAACATATTTAACAAAGAAAGAAAAAGCAGCTTGACACAGCTTTCAAAATCATAAAGAATAAGTCAAAACTTTCAATATAGAAGCTAAGCCAGGGCCGGGTATGGTGGCTCATGCCTGTAATCCCAGCACTTTGGGAGGCCGAGGTGGGCGGATCACTTGAGGTCAGGAATTCAAGACCAGCCTGGCCAATATGGTGAAACTCTGTCTCTACTAAAAATACAGATAATTAGCCGGGCGTGGGCAGTGGGCAAGCAAGCCAGACTCTGTCTCAAAAAAAAAAAAAAAAAAAAAAAAAGCAGAAGCTAAGCCAGAAACTAAGACCAATACTATTTCTCAATACTTTCAGAAAGAAAAGATATTAGGAATTCAAGAAAGAATGAACTGAAACCTAGGGATAAACTGAGAAATATTTAGCAAGAGTAGAATTTGCTGGCTTTGGAATCAATTCTAAAATGTAACAAATACTTGTTGAATAATTTTTTTTTTAATGAATGAATGAATAAGAAAGTCTCTTTCAGCCGGGCGCAGTGGCTTGCACCTGCATTCCCAGCATTTTGGGAGGCTGAGACAGGTGGATCACAAAGTCAGGAGTCAAGACCAGCCTGGCCAATATAGTGGAACCCTATCTCTACTAAAAATACAAAAATTAGCCAGGCGTGGTGGCACGTGCCTGTAATCCTAGCTACTCAGGAGGCTGAGGCAGGAGAAATGCTTGAACCTAGGAGGTGGAGGTTGCAGTGAGCCGAGACTGCACCACTGCACCCCAGCCTGGGTGACAGAGCAAGACTTCATCTTGGGAAAAAAATAAATAAATAAATAAAAAAGTCTCTTTCTATGAACAGCAGAACTCATTAAGTGAAAAGTCATAAAGTTTAAAGCGCACCATCAATAATTTCTTCAGTGTCAGATTCATGCTTAAAATTTATTATCATTATTTTAAGACAACTGTAGAAAGCTGTCTTCCTTATTTTACACAGAACAGTTTATTTCCTGAGAAAACCACTGCAAGCTTACCTGATGTAAAGCATAACTCAGCAGGACTACGATATAGTAATATATAGGGAATCCCCCTTGATGTTCTACTTTAGGAGTCCACCAAACCAGTAGGGCATATTCTAACCCAAGCAATAATCTATAGAGAAAGAAACATTGAGTTGACTTCCATTTTAGCTTAAATAACAACAACAACAAAAACAGAAATCCGTGTGCCTACCATATGAAAGAAGCTGTATCTAAACCTGTTAGGAGGTTAAAAAGATAAAAGTGCATATAAATAATATTGAAAAAAGATGCTTTTCAAATCTTTTTCCATATATATAATTCTACGCTCAGATATTAGTGGTATTGATGAATGTTCCTCATTTTACCCTTTCTTATTTAGTAAGGTTTTATTTCATTTTTACCTGTAGGGCATGGCTTTGTAAAATGTGTTTAATGGCTGGGGACCTGCAGTGTATTTGCTGATAATCAGAGGCAGTATTATCTGCAAAGGAACCATTGGAACTGCCAATAAGGCTAAATGTTCTTTGGGTACTCCCTCTTCTACCAATTTCAGTCCTGTTACAGCATCTGCTGCTGAAAAACCAATCTGCAATATAAAAACAAAAAAGTATTTTAATTCGTGACTTATGAAATATTTTCCTCCATGCATATGTAAGTTCTTCAAGAACCTCAATTTTATTACTGACCCATGACAGTTACAAGTGAGCATCATATTATTATACCTGGTACAACAGTCAAGTTATACGAGGTACATTTTGCCTTATGGTTTTCTAATAATATTAAGTGAAAACAACTGAAAATTCAGTACTGGTAGGGATGGTAGATGGCTATAAATACAACTAAATTTCCACTTCAAAAAGTCCAATGTGTTATAGTAAACGGGGTCAAAAATCCAAATTTACCAATTTGAAAGTTTTAGGTTTAAAAGAACTTAAGCCTTTAATTGACCCAAATCAATCTGGTTAAAATGAAGCATAACTGCCAATATATATATACATTTTTAATGATTTCTGACTGACCATAATAAAATTTCCTAAGTTCATCTAATGTTTCAAAAGTAATTCTGGGAAAACGTATCTGAGAGATTGAATAAAATGAAAGGGATAAAGTATAGTTAGATTAATTCTTTAAAACAGCACAAAAAAGAGTAAGAATTAAATTAAGATTATTTAGATAGCCTCAAAGTATCTCCCCATGAGTCAGTTTTTAATTACAAAAGAAAAAATAGTACTTTTACAATAGATTAGCAAAGCAATTAAAGTTAAAAACAGCAGTTAAAGGGATAAAGAGACATGATATGGCTTTCAGTATAATTCCCTGCAGACATCAAAACATTACTTCTTTGATCTTCCTGTCTTATATACCTGAATAACCTCAACCCAAACAAGAAGAAACATGAGAGAAATGTAACTAGAAGCCCATTCTACAGCATAATTGGCCTGTATTCTTCAAAAATGTCAAGGATATTAAGGACAATGAAAGGCCATACCAACTGAATGCAATGTGTGATCCTAGATTAGATCCCCAACAAGAAAAAAATTAAAGTTATAAGGACTGTTATTGTGTAAAATTTGGATATGGACTATAATTAGACAATAATATTATATCAATTTAAAATTTCCCAATATTGAGTTGTGGTTTTGTAAGCAGAAAACTTGTTCTTAGGAAATACATACTTAAGGTACTTATGGATAAAAGTGCATAATGTGTACAAATTACTCTAAAGTATTTCAGAAGACATATGTAATGGATATACATAGAAAGAGAACATCTACAGAATAAGGAAAGTGTAGCTAAACGTTAATAATTAGATAATCTGGATAAAGGATATAAAGGAGTTCTACTAATACATTTTCAAGAAGTGTGAAGTTATATCGATACAGTAGGCAGAAAGAAATTATTTAGGCAGATAGTGAGGGCAAAAGAGACCTCGGCAGAGCTTCCCTTCTAACAAAAAGCGGCCCCCAAAATCATTTCTTTTCTAACGAAGAGCAGCCTGAAAAACTTGAGTTGCAAACATAGATAAGCAAGCTGGAAGCTTGCACGGGGGAATGCCAGCAGCTGAACCAACAGAAAAGGGCTACCTGGGAGCCAGGCATGTCCACCATGAAAGCTCCACCTTCTCTTTTTTGTTAGCATGTGTACAGTAAAAAAATGGGCAACATGGTGCAGCTCAGGCAGAGAACCTGCCTGCATGATAAAAAATTAGGGTGGGGGCTGCCAGAAATTCATGCCCTATATAAATGGTGCACCTGGACCTTACCGGTTTTTCATGCCCTATTTAAAACAGACACTGCCTCCCCACTAGCTCATCTAAAAAACCCCTTGCATTTCACCACAGATCTGGCAACACATTTTTCCAGGACACCTCTCTGTAGCACAGAGCTATTCTCTCTCTCACCTACTAAACTTCTGCTGTTAACCTCACTCTTTGTGTGTCCACGTCCTTGATCTCTGTGGCTGTGAGACAGCAAACCTCAGGTACTACCCTAGACCACAAGGCCACTTCAATATCACACAATTTTTTTTTTTTTAAAGAAATTATAAGGCCAGACGCGGTGGCTCATGCCTGTAATTCCAGCACTTTGGGAGGCCAAGGTGGGTGGATCACGAGGTCAGGAGATTTGAGACCATCCTGGCCAACATGGTGAAACCCCATCTCCACTAAAAATACAAAAACTAGCCAGGTGTGGTGGTATACGCCTGTAGTCCCAGCTACTCAGGAGGCTGAGGCAGCAGAATCGCTTGAACCTGGGAGGTGGAAGTTGCAGTGAGCCAAGATCGCGCCACTGCACTCCAGCCTGGTGACAGAGTGAGACTCTGTCAAAAAAAAAAAAAAAAAAAAAAAAAAAAAAAAAGGAAAGAAAGAAAAAAAGAAAGAAAGAAAAATTATAAATAGTATACACGGTAACTTCTTGGAATAGAGCCAAAGAAAATTTCACCATAAAAAAAATTAAAGGTAACATATATTTCACTTAAGTCCAGAAAATAATTTCACTTACATTTTACTCATTCCCTTTGTAAAAATAAGACATACAAACTGACTTTAATGTTTAATCTTAAAATGTTAAAAAAGTCTTAAAAGTTATATAGTAGGAGATATTTGTAATACACATATCTAATAAAAGACTCAAATTCAAAATATATTTTAAAAAGTTTGGTCTGGCACAGTGGCTCATGCCTGTAAGCACAGCACTTTGGGAGGATGAGGCGGGAGGATTGCTTCAGCCCAGAAGCTCAAGACCAGTCTGGACATCATAGTAAGAACTCTTTTCTACAAAATATTTTTTTTAATTTACTGGGCGTGGTGGTGGCACATGCCTGTACTTGGGTGACTGAGGTTGGAGGATCACTTGAGCCCAGGAGGTCAGGGCTGCAATGAGCTGTGATGGTGCCACTGCACTCCAGCCTAGGTGACAGAGACCTCATCTCAAACAACGAAATCTAAACAGAAACAACAACTTTACAAATTTAAAGAAAAGGGCAACTTTGGATATTCAAATGGTCAATAATCACATGAAAAGATGCTCAATTTCTTTTGTCATTAGGGAAATTCAAATTATGGCAATAACAAGATGCCATTACACAACCACCAGAAAGGCTAAAATTAAAAAGATGATATACACCAGGTGCAGTGGCTCACGCCTGTAATCCTAGCACTTTGGGAGGCCAAGGTGGGTGGATCACAAGGTCAGGAGATCGAGACCATCCTGGCTAGGTGAAACCCCGTCTCTACTAAAAATACACAAAATTAGCTGGGCGTGGTGGTGGGTGCCTGTAGTCCCAGCTACTTGGGAGGCTGAGGCAGGAGAATGGTGTGAACCCAGGAGGCAGAGCTTGCAGTGAGCCGAGATCGCGCCACTGCACTCCAGCCTGGGGGACAGAGCGAGACTCCGTCTCAAAAAAAAAAAAAAAAAAAAAGATAATATATGTGTTTTCAAGGATGTGAAACTCCTTAAAATCAGAACTCTCTTACACTGCTGGTGGTAGGGAAAATTGGAACAACCACTTTGGAAAACTATTTGGCAGTACAAAATACTATGCATCTTCTATGAACCAGCAATTCTATTCCTATATATTTACCAATGAGAAATGTGCACCTATCTTCACCAAAAGTCACGTATGTGAATGTTTGTAGAAACACTACACATAATAGCTCTAAAAATCTGTTGATAGAATGGATAAATTGTGGCATATCCATACAACGGAATACTATACAGTAATGAGATAAACAAACTATTGCTATAAATAAAAATATGGATAAATTCCACAAATATAATATTAAGCAAAAGAACATATGCATCAAACATAAAAATATATATTGTATAGTCCATTAATATATAATTCAAAAGGAAAGAAAATTAATCTGTAGTATTAAAAGTTAGGAGATATGTTATTAGGGGGGAAGTTTAAAAGAAGAAAACAGTATTATAGACTTTGTAATTGAAGTACCTCCTTATATATTGCTGGAGACAGTATAAATTAGTATAACCTTTTGAAAAGCAATTCAGCAATCATATTACATTCATTGACCCACTAATTGCCTGCTTAATAATCTATTGGCTGGCCAGGTGCAGTGGCTCACACCTGTAATCCCAGCACTTTGGGAAGGCCGAGGTGGGCAGATCACCTGAGGTCGGGAGTTCGAGACTAGCCTGACAAACATGGAGAAACCCTGTCCCTACTAAAAATACAAAATTAGCCGGGCATGGTGGTGCACGCCTGTAATCCCAGCTACTTGGGAGGCTGAGGCAGGAGAATCTCTTGAACCCCGGAGGCAGGGGTTGTGGTGAGCTGAGATCATGCCATTGCACTCCAGCCTGGGCAACAAGAGCAAAAATCCATCTCAAAAAAAAAAACTTAAAAAAAAAAAATCTATTGGCCAGCCTGTATAGCAAAATGAGACCCCCATCTCTACAGAAAATGTAAAAATTAGCTGGGTGGGTCAGGCGTGGTGGCTCACGCCTATAATCCCAGCACTTTGGGAGGCAAAGGCGGGCAGATTGCCTGAGCTCAGGAGTTCGAGACCAGCCTGACCAAAATGGTAAAACCCTGTCTCTACCAAAAATACAAAAATTAGCCGGGTGTGGTGGTGCACACCTGTAATCCCAGCTACTCCGGAGGCTGAGGCAGGAGAATTGCTTGAACCCGGGAGGAGGAGGTTGCAGTGAGCAGAGATCCCACCACTGCACTCCAGCTTGGGCAACAGAGAGAGACTCTGTCTCAAAAAAAAAAAAAAAAAAAATTAGCTGGGTGAGGTGGCAAGCAGCTATAGTTCTAACTACTTGAGAGGCTGAGGTGGGAGTCTGGCTTAAGCACAGGAGTTTGAGATTACACTGAGTTATGACCATGCCACAGCACTCCAGTCTAGACGACAGAGCAAGACCTCATCTTAAAAAAAATAAAAAATAGGCCGGGTGCGGTGGCTCACGCCTGTAATACTAGCACTTTGGGAGGCTGAGGTGAACAGATCACCCACCTGAGGTCAGTAGTTCAAGACCAGCCTGGCCAACATGGTGAAACTCTGTCTCTACTAAAAATACAAAAATTAGGCCAGGTGCAGTGGCTCACACCTGTAATCCCAGCACTTTGGGAGGCCGAGACGGGCAGATCACCTGAAGTCGGGAGTTTGACACCAGCCTGATCAACATGGAGAAACCCCATCTCTACTAAAAATAAAAATGAAAATAAAAATAATTAGCCAGGCATGGTGGTGCATGCCTGTAGTCCCAGCTACTCAGGAGGCTGAGGCAGGAAAATCGCTTGAATCCAGGAGGCAGAGGATGCAGTGAGCCAAGATCATGCCATTGCACTCCAGCCTGGGAAACAAGTGAAACTCCGCCTCAAAAAAAAAAAAAAAAAAAAAAAAAAATTAACCATTTCACTCCAGCCTGGGCAACAAAGCGAGACTCTGTCTCAAAAAAAAAAAAAAAAAAAAAAAAAGTCTACTGGAAGGAAATATCCAGAAAATCACAGACTTATGCACAAAAATATTTGCTAGTGCATTTTTATAATTTAAAAACATAAGCAAAATAGACAACAGAAAAATGAGATTACGGAAAATTTAAATTTAACACACTAACTATATCATGTAGCTACTAACAAGTATGTTTTCAAATATGTAATGCTATAGAAATGTTTGGTATAAGACAAAGAGAAGATAAAAAATTATATATGATTCAATTTCACTTTTAAAGTAAATAAATAAGTAGGCCGGGCATGGTGGCTCACACATGTAATCCCAGGACTTCGGGAGTCTAGGCAGGTGGATCACTTGAGGTCAGGAGTTTGAGACCAGCCTGGCCGACATAGTGAAACCCCGTCTCTTCTAAGAATACAAAACTTAGCTGGGTATGATGGTGTGTGCCTGTAATCCCAGCTACTCGGGAGGCTGAGGCAGAATTGTTTGAACAAGGGAGGCAGAGGTTGCAGTGAGCAGAGATCGCGCCACTGTACTCCAGCCTAGGCAACAGAGTGAGACTCAGTCTCAAAATAAAATAAAATAAAGTATATGAGTAAATAAATATATGAAGTATACGTATACACACATACATGCACACACACATATATAGGGAAAAAAGGGAGTTTCAAAGGAAATATACCAAGAAGGTCAATACTGTTTTTTTTTAATTAATTTATTTATTTATTTTGGGGATGGAGTCTCACTCTGTCACCCAGGCTGGAGTGCAGTGCGTGATCTCGGCTCACTGCAACCTCCGCCTCCCGGGTTCCAGCGATTCTCCTGCCTCATCCTCCCGAGTAGCTGGGCTTACAGGCGCCTGGCACCACACCCAGCTAATTTTTGTATTTTTAGTAAAGACGGGGTTTCACCATGTTGGCCAGGCTGGTCTCGAACTCCTGGCCTCAAGTGATCAGCCCACCTTGGCCTCCCAAAGTGCTGGGATTAAAGGCGTGAGCCACCACCTCCAGCAAATACTGTTTATCTTAAATGAAAAATTATTAAATCATATAATTAGATAATATTGTTTGGCCAGGTGGGTGGATCACCTGAGGTCAGTAGTTCAAGAACGGCCTGGTCAACAGGGTGAAACCCTCTCTTCATTAAAAGTACAAAAAAATTGCCAGGCGCGGTGGCTCATGCCTGTAATCCCAGCACTTTGGGAGGCCAAGGATAGATCACCTGAGGTCAGGAGTTCAAGACCAGCCTGACCTACATGGAGAAACCCCATCTCTACTAAAAATACAAAATTAGCTGGGCCTGGTGGCATGTGCCTGTAATCCCAGCTACTTGGGAGGCTGAGGCAGGAGAACCGCTTGAACCCGGGAGGTGGAGGTTGCAGTAAGCCGAGATAGGGCCATTGCACTCCAGCCTGGGCAATAAGAGTGAAACTCCATCTCAAAATAAACAAATACAAAAAAATTAGCTGGGCATGGTGGTGCACACTGTGGTCCCAGCTGCCCGGGAGACTGAGGCAGGAGAATCGCTTGAACCCAGGAGGCAGAGGTTGCAGTGAGCTGAGATTGTGCCACTGCTCCCAGCCTGGGTGACAGAGCGAGACTTTGTCTCAAAAAAAATATATATATATATTGTTATGCTCCTTGAACTTTTCATATTTTCTGAACTTTCCATTCTTTTTTTTTTTCTTGAGACCCCTGTCTCAAGAGAAAGACAGACCCCTGGCTCTGTTGCCCAGGCTGGAGTGCAGAGGCATAGCCATGGCTCACTGCAAACTCCACCTCCCAGGCTCAAGCTGTCTTCCTACTTCAGCTTCCCAAGCAGCTAGCACTCCAGGCACATGCCACCATACCCAGATAGTTTTTTTATTTTTTGTTTTGCCATATTCAGGCTGGTCTTGAACTCCTGAGCTCAAGAGATCCTCCTACCTTGGCTTCCCAAAGTGCTGGGATCACAGGCATGAGCCAGCACATCTGGCCTTCTTTCTATCATTAAGAGGAAAAAACACTCACTATTTAAAATGAAAACAATGAGGCTAATGGTTCCTTCAAAACTGTCAAAAGATAGGTGCAAAGTGTTTATATACATAGATTTAAGTATATAAAATGAAAATCCTATAAGATTGCAGATTTCAGAAATATTAACTCCAACACTAGCAATAGTTCACTGTAACAAAATATACTTACCTTATTCTAGCCTAACATGTTAAAAATATTTTTAGAACTATAAAATTGAGACACCTTAATATAGAATAAAAGTCACCAGTAATCCCCGTTTCTCGTATAATTTTCCTTTCAGTACTTAAATAATTCAATGGATTTTTAAAAAATTGACTTCTAATACTCATATACTTCTATATCTTTTTATTTATTTATTTATTTATTTATTATTTTGAGACAGAGTCTCGCTCTGTCGCTCCAGCTAGAGTGCCGTGGTGCTATCTCGGCTCACTGCAACCTCTACGTCCTGGGTTCAAGTGATTCTCCTGCCTCAGTCTCCCAAGTAGCTGGGACTAAAGGCACGTGCCACCATGACCGGCTGATTCTTGTATTTTTAGTAGAGACAAGGTTTCACCATGTTAGCCAGGCTGGTCTTGAACTCCTGACCTCCGGTAATCCACCTGCCTCGGCCTCCCAAAGTGCTGAGATTACAGGCTTGAGCCACCACACCTGGCCCTATATCTTTTTACGTCACACTCTTAGTAAATAATTGTATTACTACAACATTAAATGTATACTCATTATAAGAAGACAGAGCTATTGATTTTTAAAGATATTAATCTCCATTCCAAGCATTAATATCATTAAGGTTCACATTTACTAACAGTTCTCCAATGGACATAATTCTTTACAATACTCCAAGACATTTAGCTTACTTTAAAATTAAAGTTGATATCATTACATCTTTTCAAATACATTTAATAAACAGAAAATATTGTTTTTCATTGTTAAATTCTAATGGTAGTGGAAAGGGACCTGTGATATGAAAAAGGCATTGTAAGTATTCCATGATATTGATACTTATAAGAAAATGATAAATTTGATTTATAAATCTCTTACCTTTGCAGTTAGAATCAGAAGGCAAAATGTCAGAACTGCTGGCATTTTTATAATTGCAAAAAGCAGCTTGTAAGTATCTGTGATCCCTTGTGTTTCTTCTTTTACTACTGATACTTCGTTTTCTTTTTTCAGAAGGGCAACCAATGTTGTTGTTATTAAAAATACAGTTCCCCAGAAAAAAAGGAAATCTGAAAATGTTTTAAATCTATAATTAATTTTTAAAATTACATAATTTCATTGATACTAAATAATTCTATATACAATAACTTTCAATTAAAATGTTATTTAAAAAATTAGCCAAGTACAGGTGCTCATGCCTGTAATCCTAGCACTTTGGGAGGCCAAGGTGGGAGGATTACTTGAACTCAGAAATTCAAGACCAGCCTGGGCAACATAGTGGGACCCTATCCCTACAAAAAATAAGAAATTAGCCAGGCTTGGTGGTGCACATCTGTAGTCCCAGCCACCTGGGAGGCTGAGGACTACCTGAGCCCAGGAAGTGGAGGCTGCAGTGAGCTGTGATTGTACCACTGCACTCTGGCATGGCCAATAGAGTGAGACCTTGTCTAAAAAAAAAAAAAAAAAAAAAAAGTCAACATTTAGGTACCTCTTTATTATATTCAAGGCATTGTACCAGGCACAGCAAATGAACAAAACAGTCCTGACTCTTAAACGTAGAGACCCAAAATAGGTGACAACAACAACCAAAAAGGCAGGGGGTGGTGAGACATTACATTTAGTGTACAACTGAGTTGAATGAACAAAAGCCTATCATGTCACTTTATTCAAGGAAAGTGCTAGGGGTGGGAAATGATTTTCATATCCCCTAAGATCCATCAGTTACATTTCTTATATACCCAAGCCTTTTCAGTTCTTTATTAAATTTGACAACAGGTGATTATTTACATCAGATTTTCTACCTTATATTTTTAAACTTTCTAATGCTTTCAATCTGTTTAAGAATAACCTTCTCATCTCAATAATATGATATAAAAGGCATTTGCTCACACTCGTAGGTGCAGAATGAGGACCCATGAAGAGTACTGTCTGGGTTGTTTCAGTGAAAGATAGTTGAGCCATTAGCTATCACCTTGAACAAATTTAGTGGAGGGAGTAAATAATGGTCTGGAAGATTCTGCTAAACAGCTAAAAATAATAGTAATAATGGAGGTATCATTTATTGAGTGCATACAACGTGACAAAAATATGCTAAGCATTTTACATGTATCAACTCCTTTACTTCTACAGCCCAATAGATCCTTTACTTCACCAGCCCAAATTTACAGGTGAACAAACTAAGGCTTAGGGAAGTCAAGCTGTCCAAGTTACATTCTAAGTCAGTGGTAAAATTGTGATTTCACACCTTATAAGTACAACTAATTTCAAAACTTGTATCTCATTAACCACCCTGAGAATTGCATTTCAGTTTGCCACTAGAAAACTTATTAGATAACCCTGTCTCAGTTTCTTCATCTGTAAAAGAAGATTTGGCTAGAAAATCCTTGCATTATAGCTCAAACATTCTAGACTTGTGCTCCATTTTAGATGCTTTTACTTTTTATTTTATGGTGTATGTGGCACAACTGATCAAGGACCCTAAGTCACCTCTTCTCAAAAACAATTAGAATATTCTTCAGTCAGGGTTTTTCCTTAGATTGAATCTTGCTCTTGCTGCTGTGCTCACTGAAGGTGATCACTACAGTTTGAACCTCACTTACGAGGCAGAAAGACAGCATTATTTGTTTAGATCAATTTCGCCTTGGTATTTAAATATTCCTTTCTTATATGTTATCTCATTTGATTCTCATAGCAAACAGGATAGGCTAAGCATGTGTTATTATTAAATACAGACGAGGAAAAGAAACTCAGAATACTTAAATATTTACCAAAGGTAAAAATCACTAAGAGGCAGAGGCAGAGGCAGAACTTGAATCTCAACCTCCTGAAGTTGAGTCTTACATTCTTTTCATAATTTTACACTGCCTACATAAAGGTATATATATATATATATATATATATATATATATTTTTTTTTTTTTTTTTTTTTTTTTTTTTGAGACGGAGTCTCACTCTTGTCAGGCTGGTGTGCAGTGGTGCAATCTCAGCTTACTGCAACCTCCACCTCTCGGGTTCAAGTGATTCTCCTGCCTCGGCCTCTGTAGTAGCTGAGATTACAGGCATGTGTGCCACTTTACCCAGCTAATTTTTGTATTTTCAGTAGAGACGGGGTTTCACCATGTTAGCCAGGCTGGTCTCGAACTCCTGACCTCAAATGATCTGTCTGCCTTGGCCTCCCAAAGAGCCAGGATCACGGGTGTGAGCCACCACGCCCAGTATAAAATAACATCTTAACATAATTTCTAGCATTTTGGAATCTGGTTCGAAAGGAATGAACAATAATGTATTAATAACATTATCCTTATAAGTGAGGCTAATGTCCACTTTTTTTTAAGTAATAAATGTTTAATCAAATAATTTTACATATTATTAACAGCATTCACTTGGCATGTCCACTATTTTTGCATTCTTAATTCCATCTGCAAAATGAGATGAATAATGACTTCTTTAGAGTTTCACGTACAATACTATTCTCATTGAGCAGGGTTTTGGTCATCATCTGTTTTAAAACAGTTGTTTAACAAGCCCTGAAAAAAAAATAATTTTCACTGTCACCAAAATTCCAATTAATGTTAAGCGAAAAGTAAAAGTTTTCCAGTTATATAAGACTTAAGTAGTTCCATTTTTCTAGGCAAAAGAATTGTAAATTTGTTTAGCATAGTCTACCAATTTTAATAAACACAGTCCATCTAAAATTTAAATTCCTTGATACCAATACCAAGAGAAAAAAGAAGAAGAAACTACACAGGTTTCAGCAATGTTTGCAGATAAGATTATTTCTTTTTTTCTTTTTTTGAGACAGGGTCTCACTCTGTCACCCAAGCTGCAGTGCAGTGGTGCAAACTTGGCTCACTGCAGCCTTGACCTCCTAGGCTCAAGTGATCCTTTTGCCTCAGCCTCCCAAAATGTTGAGATTACAGGTGTGAGCCACGGTACCCAGACAAGGATATTTCTAATTTCTTTGTGCTTTGAGGAGAAAATACATAAAAAGAAGGAAGTAGTGACAATGGGTCAGTCACAAAGCCCTAATTCAAAGGGTTTCCATCTCTCGCACATGCAGAAGAATGAAAAAGCCAATAGTTCAGAGAGGCCAGGAAATATATTAAGAAGTTTTATGAACACAATTATCACAAATCAGACCAATGTTGATAGATGATAGCCAGTAGTCTTATTAGACTTATTAACATTGCTTTGATGCTAGAGACATCCATAGCCTGTTATGCCAACAACCATAAAGAAACATTACTACCAAAAACATGGAAATATTTCATTATTAACATTTTGGTTAATTTTGATTTATGTATTTTATCATTATTACCAAAAATATGGAAATATTTCATTATTAATATTTTGGTTAATTTTGATTTGTGTATTTTATAAACTTAAGCATACATGGTATATAAATGTATGATCAAGATATCAAAGCTGATGTTCAAGTTTCATAAACATGATTTCCGAGTAAAGACCTAAAAAACAGACTAAATATTCTGAAGTGGCTGCAAGATCTTGTCCAGTGCTTTCACGAATGCAGAAATTAAGAGCATGTAACAATTCATTAGTAACCAATAAAGGTACAATAGCTCGCACCTGAGTGTCTATTATAAGATCTGGGAAAAAACAGAGGACATCTCATTTAAATCCCAAAATCACTTTCCAAGATAGGCATTATTACTCCTACTTTATATACAAGGAAACAGAATCACAAGCCAGAAAGTGCCAGAAATGGCATTCAAACTGCGGTCTAGTTCTAAAGCAAGAAATGTTTTCCATTATGTCATCCAGATACTCAGATACACCCACAGCAAGTAAGCTCTCTTTTCTATCAACTGGACACCACTGAGAAAAAAGGTTCATATTTTAGCTCCAACCATGAGGTCTGGAACATAGATATTTTCCCACACTTCCTTTTTTTTTTTTTTTTGAGACTGAGTTTCGCTCTTTTTGCCCAGGCTGGAGTGCAATGGCACAATCTCAGCTCACCGCAACCTCCACCTCCCAGGTTCAAGTGATTCTCCTGCCTCAGCCTCCCAAGTAGCTGGGATTATAGGCATGCACCACTACCCCAGCTAATTTTTGTATTTTTAGTAGAGACGGGGTTTCTCCATGTTGGTCAGGCTGGTCTTGAACTCCTGACCTCAGGTGATCCACCCACCTCGGCCTCCCAAAGTGCTGGGATTACAGGCATGAGCCACCGTGCCTGGCTCCCTCACTTCTTTAAACTGACTACTTGTATTCCCCCTTCTCACCTCTGTCTCCCCATATGGTGATATGCCAAAGGAAATTCAAATGCACAGGATAAACAAACTTGGTGTGTCTTCCTAAAGAATTCATTTTATTCAATAAATTATAGGGAGATTACTTTAATGAGAATAAATAGGCTGGGCGTGGTGGCTCATGCCTGTAATCCCAGCACTTTGGAAGTCAGAGGCAGGTGGATCACTTGAGGTCAGGAGTTCAAGACCAGCCTTGCCAACATGGTGAAACCCTGTCTCTACTAAAAATACAAAAAGTAACCAGGCATGGTGGCACATGCCTGTAATCCCAGCTACTTGGGAATCTGAGGCATGAGAATCGCTTGAATCCAGGAGGCAGAGGTTGCAGCGAGCCGAGATTGTGCCACTACACTCCAGCCTGGATGACATGGCAAGACGCTGTCTCAAAAAAATAAAAAAGGAATACAGTTTGTTTTTCTGAGAATGTAGGGTAACATTTTAAGCCTAGACATGAATGCTAAAGAATGTATTATAGCCTATGTAAGAATACCTGGTCTATCTAGAAATGGGTCAATTAGTCTTTTCCAAATTCTAACAGGCATTTTGAGTCATATAAATTATGTGTTCTGAAAGCAGGACAAAGAAATTTGTCATCAGGTAGGAATTAATAGTCCTGCTTTCTAATTTAAAGCATCAATGTCGCTGGGCACGGTGGCTCATGCTTGTAATCCCAGCACTTTGGGAAGCTGAGGTGGGCGGATCACCTGAGGTCAGGAGTTCGAGACCAGCCTGACCAACATGGTGAAACCCCATCTCTACTAAAAATACAAAAAAAATTAGGTGGGCATTGTGGCGTGTGCCTGTAATCCCAGCTACTTGGGAGGCTGAGGCAGGAGAATCGCTTGAACCTGGGAGGCAGAAGTTGCAGTGAGCCGAGATCACGCCACTGCACTCCAGCCTGGGTGACAAGTGCAAAACTCCGTCTCAAAAAATAAATAAATAAATAAATAAATAAATAAATAAAGCATCAATGTCTTACAAATACTGTTTTTATTGTCATTAGTTTGGTTAGATTCATACTTATAGCATCAACTTTTTCAAAGCAACACTTTCTCTCATTTATTCCTGTATGTGCGTGCCTATTTATAAACAAACTGATTTATAAACTCTAATATCTTTAGCTTCCTTCTCTGTCATTAAACCGTCTTGCTCCCTGCTCCTAAACCCAAATACACTGCTCCCTATTCCAATCACTTCTAATTGTTACTACTGCTGCTAG
Organism: Homo sapiens; assembly: GCF_000001405.40. Taxonomy (NCBI): domain Eukaryota; kingdom Metazoa; phylum Chordata; class Mammalia; order Primates; family Hominidae; genus Homo; species Homo sapiens. Next base: position 155,848,042 of record NC_000003.12, read on the forward strand.
AGGAGAGGGCCTCAATTACCAGTTTACAGGCTAGATCTGGCCTGAAGACATAGATTAGATAGATGACAGATAGAGAGATGATAGATGAGACAGATTTTTTTAAAGATGGGTCTTGCTATGTTGCCCAGGCTGCAGTGCAGTGGTTATTCACAGACACTATTATAACGCATTGCAGCCTCGAACTCCTGGCCTCAAATGATCTTCCCATCTCAGCCTGTCAAGTGGCAGGAACTACAGATGCGTGCCACTGTGCTCAGCTAAAGACATGTTTTTATATGAGCCTAAGAAGTGTTTGTAAAATTAGGAAATAAAAAAGGAATTTCTAGTTTCTCTTGAATATGCCTAAGATCTAGCAATCTTGCCGGGCATGGTGGCTCCCACCTGTAATCCAAGCACTTTGGGAGGCCGAGGCAGGCAGATCACAAGGTCAGGGGATTGAGACCATCCTGGCTAACATGGTGCAACCCTGTCTCTACTAAAAATACAAAAAATTAGCAGGGCATGGTGGTGGGCGCCTGTAGTCCCAGCTACTCGGGAGGCTGAGGCAGGAGAATGGTGTGAACCCTGGAGGTGGAGCTTGCAGTGAGCAGAGATCGCACCACTGCATTCCAGCCTGGGCAACAAAGTGAGACTCTGTCTCAACAACAACAAAAAAAGAAGATCTAGCAATCTTGGGATCCTATTGTCACAAAACTACAACTTACTAGAGTTGACGCTCCTCACCTTTAGAGGGGCATGGATTTCTCAAATTATCTCTGTCCCCTCCAACTCAGATGACTCATTTACATTATCTATCTACCCAATATATTCCATCTCCATTTATCTGTAACAATCAAAACTGTTAATTACAGATAGTATTTCATTTATTTTTTATTTATTTATATTTTTGGAGATGCAGTCTTGCTCTGTCACCCAGGCTGGAGTGCAGTGGTGTGATCTCGGCTTACTGCAGCCTCCACCTCCCCAGTTCAAGTGATTCTAGTGCCTTAGCCTCCCTGAGTAGCTGGGATCACAGGTATGCGCCACCACACCCGGCTAATTTTTTGTATTTTTAGTAGAGCTGGGGTTTCACCATGTTGCCCAGAGTGGTCTTGAACTTCTGAGCTCAAGCAATCTGCCCACCTCAGCCTCCCAAAGTGCTAGGATTACAGGTGTGAGCCGCTGCACCTGGCCAGAACATATTTTAGAATTAAAAAAAGAAAACAATTACGCTTCCTTTTAATACTCAGATTTTCTAAACATTGCCTCAGTGTTTAGCTCCTCTTTAATCACCTAAGCAATTATATTTCCATCATATAATTCTTCCTGTGCTATATAACTTTTTCAAAACCACTGGTTTTTCTTATCCTATTAATAAGTTCCAGAAAGAACAATGTTATAAATGTGGTATGTTCAGTCATAAAAAGGAGAATGAAACTATAGGAATTCTAACTTTCAACTAAAATGTTTGAACCAGAAACAGCAGTCCACTACAGATATAAACAGTTGAATTAAAAAGTAAGCTAGTTATAGAATCTACTGCAGAACAAAGTTCAAATTCCACAGGAAAAAAAAAAAAAGGGGCAATTCAAAATAACAAGTGACAGCCAGGCACAGTGGCTCACACTTGTAATCCCAGCACTTTGGGAAGCCGAGGTGAGCAGATCACTTGAGGTCAGGAGTTCAAGACCAGCCTGGCCAACATGGCGAAACCCCATCTCTACCAAAAATACAAAAATTAGCCAGGCATGGTGGCACACGCTTATAATCCCAGCTACTAGGGAGGCTGAGGCAGCAGAATAGCTTGAGCCCTGGAGGGGGAAGTTGCAGTGAGCTGAGATCATACCACTGCACTCTACCCTGGGCGACAGAGCGAGACTCCATCTCAGAATAATAATAATAATAATAATAATAATAATAATAATAATAATAATAACAATTCACTGCCTAGAAATACTCTGTGAATGCATACTGTCTGTTATCAGTTTGTTGCTTTTTTCTTTTTTGAGATGGAGTCTTTCTCTGTCGCCCAGGCTGGAGTGCAGTGGCGCGATCTCAGCTCACTGCAACCTCCGCCTCCCAGGTTGAAGCGATTCCCCTGCCTCAGCCTCCTGAGTAGCTGAGACTACAGGTGCATGCCATCACACCGGGCTAATTTTTGTATTTTTAGAAGAGACAAGGTTTCACCATGTTGGCCAGGATGGTCTTGATCTCCTGACCTTGTGATCCTCCTGCCTTGGCCTCCCAAAGTGTTGGGATTACAGGCGTGAGCCAACGCGCCCAGCCAGTTTGTTGCTTTTTATGTGTCTGCTTTTCATTTTGTCCTGAGACTGCTGTTTATATCACCACAGAGGATTAAGGAGATGATGTTACTTAAGATGAGAAAGCCTCAGTGAAATCAAGGTTTAAGAGGCCATGGAAACTAAATTGCTAATTAGCTAAATTGGAACTTTCTCTTAATGTAAGAGTGATTGGTAAAACATCATTCCAGAGAATAATGTTATGAGTTCAAGAGTTATTATATTTATACTCCCTTAGCCACAACTGTTCCCTAATGGATCAAAATTATGCCACTGGATTTTAATTTACACTGACTTATTCTTTTTTTTTTTTTGAGATGGAGCCTTGCTCTGCCGCCTAGACTGGAATGCAATGGTGCGATCTCGGTTCACTGCAACCTCTGCTTCCTGGGTTCAAGCGATTCTCCCCACCCAGCCTCCTGAGTAGCTGGGATTACAAGTGAATGCCACCACTTCCACCTAATTTTTGTATTTTTAATAGAGAAGGGGTTTTGCCATGTTGGCCAGGTTGGTCTCAAACTCCTGATCTCAGGTGATCTGTCCACCTCAGCCTCCCAAAGTGCTGGGATTACAGGCGTGAGCCACTGCACCAGCCTTGACTTCTTTATTTTAATTTTATTTTTAATTAATTAATTTATTTTGGCTGGGCGCAGTGGCTTACGCCTGTAATCCCAACACTTTGGGAGGCCGAGGTGGGCGGATCACAAGATCAGGAGATCGAGACCATCCTGGCCAACACAGTGAAACCTTGTCTGTACTAAAAATACAAAAATTAGCTGGGTGTGGTGGCACATGCCTGTAATCCCACTACTCAGGAGGCTGAGGCAGGAGAATGGCTTGAACTAGAGAAGTGGAAATCGCAGTGAGCTGAGGTCCTGCCACTGCACTCCAGTCTAGTGTCAGAGGGAGACTCCATATAAAAAATACATATATATAATTTTAAGACAGGGTTGCACTCTGTTGACCAGGCTGGGGTGCAATGATTGGATCATAGCTCACTGAAGCCACAATCTCCCGGGCTGAAGCAATCCTCCTGCCTCAGCCTCCTGAGTAGCTAGGGTTACAGGCCTTCGCAAAACACCCAGCTATTTTTTTTTTTTTTTTAATTTTTAGTAGAGATGAGGTCTTGCTGTATTGCCCAAGCTGGCTCTACCTCCTCAGCTCAAGCAGTCCTCCCACCTCAGACTCCCAAAGTGCTGGGATAACAGGTGTGAGCCACTGTGCCCAGTCGTGACTTATTTTTTATTTTATTTATTTATTTATTTTTGAGACAGAGTCTCAAAAATGGGGTTTCGCCATGCTGGCCAGGCTGGTCTCAAACTCCTGACCTCAAGTGATCCTCCCACCTCAGCCTCCCAAAGTGCTGGGATTACAGGTGTGAGCCACTGTGCCCGGCCAGCAGTGAATTATTCATAAAGCAGGAGTGGAACCCCAGAACACTGAGACAAATCTACCTGGGTGCAAAGCAATTATCTCTCAACCAAACAACTGAGGAAAAAGTACTATCACCATCATTTCACCAGTAATAGTGGCTCACTCATTAGCAGTTTGAGGAGGTGTACATAAGGTTAGATGTCTGTGAGAATAAGATTGCAGGAAAATAGTGTAGTTGTGACACCTCCTACCACCACCACATACCTGGACATTTACTCTACTGTGAATTTCCAAGGTAGCACAGAAGCTGAGAAGTTCAGTTGCTTAAATTTCAAAACAGAATCCCCTAAATTCATCATCACTGACAGAATGAAGAATTTCACTATATTCCTGACATTGTTATTCCTGATATTGGTCATTTTACTTGTTTTCTAGTTGTTACAAAAGTTAAAAACAAACAAACAAACAAAAAAGCTTAGGCCAGGTGGGGTGGTTCACACTTATAATTCCCAGTACTTTGGGAGGCCAAGGAGGGGGAGAATCACCTGAGGCCAGGAGTTCAAGACCAGCCTGGCCAACATAGTGAGACAGCCCCCCCGACCCCCAACTATCTCAATTAAAAAAAAGAAGAAAAAAGAAAAAAGAGAAAAACTTACATGTGTTTTACTCATGCAGAGAAACAGGGAAATTTTTTAGAACTTACCCTCCATTACTTACAGGACAAACTTTAAACTCTTTTCCCATAGTAATTAAAGAAAATCTTACTAATTTAGTCACAGCCTTTCTCAGCACGATTTCCCAAACCCAGTTCCACAATTTAGGCAATGTCCTGTACTTTTTTGTACTTTCCTGCCTCAGTGCACTTTTACTTTGTGTTGTGCATTCTGGTGTGCCATTTCCTGGCCTCGTGGAATCTTATTCAAGAACAAAGTCAAATGTTATCTGCAATGTGAAGCCTGACTCCCAAAGGCAGTTACTAACTGGCAACTCTGAACTCTCCTAAAATGTTCATCTTCCTTATTTCTTGAGTGCAGAACTCTGCCTTATTCATTAGAGGCCTTAGAATCCCGTCCCTTAGCTGGTTCAATAATGTTTGAACGAATAAACCCTGTTCCATTCACTAGAAGGCTGGATTCTGGGTACAACGGTAGGGGTAGAAATGGATTAGAAAGTATAGAGCTAGAAACCTAAAACCAACAAGACAAAAGGAAAAATGTGAACCATATGAGCCACACTTTTTAAAAGTGTGCATTTGTGTATTAAGCAAGTGGCATGAATCCCTGGACTCGGTTGTGTTATTTGATGGGTTGCCTCTCCCTGTTAACCGCATAGTGATCATTTGATTGCTCTAATATCATTCATTTTGGCTTTAATATTTCAAAGAAGCTCATTTGGACGAAACAGAAAACTTACCTTGAGTTATCTCCCATACAATGATTTCCAGTAAATTAATGAGCTTCCCTCCAACGTCACACACTCTTTCAAAAGGATAAATAAACCTAACACCATAATAGCTTAAATACACTACCTGAAAGAGTAACGATTCCTCTGGGTTGAGGCTGAAACCGCAAATATTTGTTACAAAAGTCGGCAGATTCAAGGGCCAAAAACAAAACATTGCCCAAAAAGTAACCCGCTGTTTGGCCCACCGAATTGCAAGTAGAAGCATAACCCACATTTTCCCTGGATAACATAGTTAACGCCCAACCATCGACGGCAATGTCCTGAGTGGCGGCCAAGAATTCAAACAAAAAGAACGCCACAGTGAGAGCAATCACGTCGGGTGTTCTGTCATCGGTATTCCCAAGCAAACGGTCCACCTGAGTGGATAAATAGATCATGAAGAGTCCTAGTATATACTGTGTCGGGACAAGCCAAGATTTGCGACGACCGAAGTTCTTAACGTAGACCGCATCAACCAACGGGGCCCAGAGTAATTTGAGACTGAAGGGCCAAAAGACAAAACTGAAGAAAGCTTGGTCTGTATAGCTAACATTTTTGCTTTGCAAAATGAGTGGGATGCTTCCCGCCAAGCCCAGGGGAATACCCTGAAGCACGTAAAGAAAGAGTAGTAGCAAAATGCTGCTTAGTTCGGCCCGGAAGCTCTGTGGGGCTTTTAAGAAGTCGCCAGTGCCGGTATCCCCCAGAAGAGCTTCTCTGTCCCCTTCCCGGCCCGCTGAGTCCAAATGACTGTCATCCCAACCGCCTGGCGGCAGGGGACCGCTCTTCATATCCAGAGAGTGACTGAAATTCCCTGGCCGCCGTTGCCGGCTGCTGTCCTTGTGGGAGATGGTGGGTGACATATCAGAGACGATGCAGAGCCCCGTCTGTGGGGGGCCGAGGCTGAGCGTTTTGGATCCGTCCAGTCCCAGGTCCAAGGCTGTCGCGCTGGACCAGGGTTTCGGTGGTTCACGGGATGGTGGCAGGGCTCAGAGCGATAAGGGCACTTCTTACTGCAGCCCGGAGTGCTGAAGCCGGGAGCCAGTCCTCTGGCTAGAGGCCCAGAGGATGCCTGGATAGGTGCCCCCTGGAACGGCGTCAAAGAGCCTGAAGGAGACCCCCGGGCAGCAGCGCCGGGCTCGAGGCTGGAGGTGTGTGCCGTGGTGCCAGGATGGAAACCAGCTCCTACCTGCGGCGGGATCGAACGGCTGGTCTCCCGACCCAACACCTCCAGCTCTCGCTGCTATCAATGCGGCAGAGAGCACTTTCTCTACAGGACTCCAGAAAAAGCATATAACTTCCTGCCTCGCGCTTCAGGAAGTGGTCCCAGTCTCTAACAGGTCCCTTCCCAGCCTCCAGAGCAAGCCAATCAGGGACACGCTCTCGTGGCCCAGTTCGGAAACAATGCTTGGTGGGAACCTGCAATCTTGGCTGCCGGAACCTTCGGGGAGGATTAACGCCGGCGCACCGTGCGGCCGGGGCGGGGCGCCGCCCAAACTCAGGCCCTGTGACAGCGACTGTGGCGGTCTGGAAAGCGTGGGCCTCGGTCATTGGGCACGAGCGGTCACGTGACAGCGGGTTCCTCCAGGCCAGCGCTGGTGGTTGAGTGATGTAATCACGTGGGGTCTGAAGTCTTCGTGGGTGTAGGTTTCTTCGTTATGCTGACGACAGGCAGTGCCCGAACTCTAGGCTGGGAGTTGTGCCATGCTGCTGCTTTCGTGGGCTGACCAGAAAAGGGTAGAAGGATTGACGTTTACGAAGTTTTTGAATCAGGAGGCAAGGTCGCCTTGTGCCCCCAAAAGGATAGAAAAAGGCCTGGCAAACTGGAGAATCGCGTCCTTACGGTGCCTACATATTTATAGTACGAATTAAACTGCTCAAGGGGTGCTAGGTTTGTCTGCAGTCCGTTTCTCCCTCATGGTGGAAGACGCGTGGGGAAACTTGGTAACCAACTCTAATTACATTGGTGATTGGAAGACTCGTTACATCCTGTTTTTATGTTGCAATAAAACGTCTTGTGGCCGGGCGCGGTGGCTCACGCCTGTAATCCCAGCACTTTGGAAGGCCGAGGCGGGCGGATCACCTGAGATTGGGAGTTCAAGATCAGCCTGACCAACAAGGAGAAACCCGTCTCTACTAAGAGACGTACAGGAATTTGAGAATCTGATTAATTTTTTTTCTGCTCTCTCACCTCTGGCAGAAAGATTATTATTTTTTTTTCTTTTGAGAGGAATCTCACACTGTCGCCTGGGCTGGTGTTCAGTAGGGCCATCTCGGCTCGCTGCAGCCTCCACCTCCCGGGTTCAAGCGATTCTCCTGCCTCAGCCTCCCGAGTAGCTGGGACTACAGGCACGCGCCACCACGCCCGGCTAATTTTTGTATTTTTAGTAGAGACGGGGTTTCACTATGTTGGCCAGGCTGGTCTCGAACTCCTGACCTCGTGATCCGCCTGCCTCGGCCTCCCAAAGTGCTGGGATTACAAACGTAATGGCAGGCTAGGCACAGTGGCTCACGCCTATAATCCCAGAACTTTGGGAGGCCGAGGCGGGTGGATCACGAGGTCAAGAGATTGAGACCATCCTGGCCAACACGGTGAAACCCCGTCTCTACTAAAAATACAAAAAATTAGCTCGGCCTGGTGGCGCGCGCCTGTAGCCCCAGCTACTTGGGAGGCTGAGACAGGAGACTCGCTTGAACCTGGGAGGCGGAGGTTGCAGTGAACCGGGATCGTGCCACTGCAATCCAACCTGGCGACAGAGTGAGACTCCGTCTGGAAAAAAAAAAAAAAGGCAACTGTAAAGTCCTCTAATCTTTGTTAAGTAGAAGAATAGATTGCAGAAAAGAACAGTGTTGGCCGGGCGCGGTGGCTCACACCTGTAATCCCAACACTTTGAGAGGCTGAGGCGGGCAGATCACTTGAGGTCAGGGGTTCAAGACAAGCCTGGCCAATATGGTGAAACCCTGTCTCTACTAAAAATACAAAAATCAGCTGGGTGTGGTGGCTCATGCCTGTAGTCCCAGATACTCGGGAGGCTGGGGCTGGAGAATCGTTTGAACCCGGGAGGCGGAGGTTGCAGTGAGCCGAGATCATGCCATTGCACTCCAGTCTGGGTGTTAAAGAAAAGAACGGTGTCATTTAAGTCCAATCAAGATTAAACCAAAACAACCATGAGTGGGATTTATATTGTGCTGGATTCAAACCCTGGCTCTAACAGTAGTTGTGCCTTGGACAGATTACTTAACCTAAGCCTCCATTTTGATGAAAATTAAAATAGAGTTCATAACATCTATTTCAGAGAGTTGTGGGAGTTAAAGGAAGCAGCCAATAAAGCCATTCACAATCAGTAGGTGTTTTTTTTTTTTCCAAAAAAAAAGGAAATACTTGATGAGTTTGTATGTCTTGTGTTTGATTTTTTCCCCTTCTTTAATTTGAAATAATTATAGATTCACAGGAAATTGCAAATATAGCAGAGTCCCATATACCCTTCACCCACCTTCCTCTGATCATTGCCTCTTACGTGATTATAGTACAATATTAAAACCAGGAAACTGACATCTGTAAAATATTGTTAACCAGACCACAGGCTTTATTCCAATTTCACCAGTTTTTACATGCACTAGCTTGTGTGTGTGTGTGTGTGTCCTGTGTTACCCTTTCATAGTGCTATCCCTTATAGTACTACATATTAATAGTTGCACCAGTCCACTGTCCTCCTCCCTGTTCTTTGGCAATCACTAATTTGTTCTCCACGGCTATACTTACGTCCTTTCAAGAATATTATAAAAGTGGAATCATATAGTATGCAACTTTGGGGATCAACTTTTTTTTTCATCCACCAAAATGTCCTTGAGATCCATTTAAGATGGTAATATATCAGTATCAATGTATGTCCGTCTTTCTTTTAAATCACAGAGTATTAGTCCATTGTATAGATACCAAATCAGTTTTGAGTTTTTTTCATTTTTTTTTTTTCTTTTTTGAGATGGAGTTTCGCTCTGTCGCCCAGGCTGGAGTGCAACAGTGTGATCTCGGCTCACTGCAACCTCCACCTCCCGGGTTCAAGTGATTCTCCTGCCTCAGCCTCCTGAGTAGCTGGGACTACAGGTGTGTGCTACCGTGTCCCGCCACATCAGTTTTTAAATAAGGAATCTTCTTGGAAATAATTGATTTCTCCCTACATATAAGAATGATTCCCCTTTAGTGGTTCAATTATCTTCCTATCAAATGTTAAATCTTTAGATCTATGCAGGCAAGAGTTACAAACAATAGGAAAAATGACTGGAGGCAAATATCAGGAAAAGTGTTTTTCATGTTACCCCAATTCAATGTGTATGCATTATTAAAGTGATAAGGTGGGCCAGGGGCAATGGCTTATGCCTGTAATCTCAACACTTTGGGAGGCCAAGGCAGGTGGATCACTTGAGGTCAGGAGTTCAAGACCAGTGTGGCCAAGATGGTAAAACCCTGTCTCTACTAAAAATACAAAAATTATCTGGGTGTGGTGGTGAATGCCTGTAATCCCACCTACTTGGGAGGCTGAGGTAGGAGAATCGCTTGAACCTGGGAGGTGGTGGTTGCAGTGAGCCAAGACTGTGCCACTGCACTCCAGTCTGGGCAACACAGTGAGAAGAGAATCCTCCAGCCCCAAGGTGAGCCACCCCTGCTAATGCTAAATAAAGAGTAGAGACAAGTATTCGTTGCTAAGCCATGCCCAAATTGCTGTTGTCTTCTTAGAAGACTTAGTGGTAGTATCTTTCCAACACAAACTAAGACATTTCTCTACAAACCTGGGAACACCACCCCCACCAGGCCCTCAGTGTCCCTCAGCAAATGTGGAACAAATGTCACTATCACTATGAAAACAAAACTGATACCGCATGGGACCTTCAGCCCATACTGTCATGAATAGCTGTTTTTGTTTTTTGTTTTTGTTTTTTTTGCATTTTCAACTCCCCTAACTCACTTCAGTTAATATCATTTCCCCTTTCTTTTGGAATACTGGTGTTCCCTGATTGATGTGTTTTGGGGAAGCTGGTGAAACTGCCAAATATAAAACCCTTCTGGTGGTCGCCATGATCCTTTCTTGCTTTTTTTTTTTTTCCTTGTCCCTTTATAGGTATCCTGTGTTTTCCAGTTGAAAGCTTGTGAAAATTCGCTTTATCCTTGAAGTTCAGAATTTTCACCAGGATGTATGAAGGTATGTATTGTATAATACATATATGTTTTTCTATTAATCTTGTTCAACATTTATTAGGTCTTTTTTAACAAAGTTTCAAATCTTTCTTGATTTTAGAGAAATTTTCCTTAATAATATCTTTGCTTTTTCATTTTTTCCTCTTCATTAATTCCCCCTAAAAGTCCTAGTAAACTTATATTTTGTTTACTGGAATTACCCCTTAAGCTTTTTCTCATAACTTTCCTTTTTCTTTTTACTCTATGTTCTTAGAAACTTCCAAACTAGGTCCTTCAAAAACAAATTGAAATTGCACAGTTAAAATTTCTGCATTTCAAAATACATAAGAGTTTTATCTCAAAAAACAAACAAACAACTATAAAAAAACTATGGCCGGGCGGTGGCTCACGCCTGTAATCCCAGCACTTTGGGAGGCCGAGGCGGGCGGATCACGAGGTCAGGAGATCGAGACCATCCCGGCTAAAACGGTGAAACCCCGTCTCTACTAAAAATACAAAAAATTAGCCGGGCGTAGTGGCGGGCGCCTGTAGTCCCAGCTACTTGGGAGGCTGAGGCAGGAGAATGGCGTGAACCCGGGAGGCGGAGCTTGCAGTGAGCTGAGATCCCGCCACTGCACTCCAGCCTGGGCGACAGAGCGAGACTCCGTCTCAAACAAACAAACAAACAAACTATTTGCATGGGGATTGGTGGTCATGGAGGCTTGAATTTAAAATGGCAGATTATCAAAGACTATTGAAGCTTGGTGATAGGTACACTAAGGGTTCATATGAGACCATTCTGTTTATTTTGTACATATTTAAAATTCTCCATAAAGGAAAATGAGAACAAAAACAACAACAAAAACCTCAAAACAGGCCGGGCATGGTGGCTCACGCCCGTAATTCCAGCATTTTGGGAGGGTGAGGTGGGTGGATCACCTGAGGTCAGGAGTTTGAGACCAGCCTGGCTAACATGGTGAAACCCCATCTCTACTAAAAATACAAAATTAGCTGGGCATGGTGGCGCATGCCTGTAAACTCAGATACTTAGGAGGCTGAGGCAGGAGAATTATTTTTATTTTTATTTTTTTGAGATGGGGTCTTGCTCTGTCACCCAGGCTGGAGTACAGTGGCGTGATCTTGGCTCACTGCACCTCCTCCACCTTCTGGGTTCAAGCGATTCTCCTGCCTCAGCCTCCTGAGTAGCTGGGATTACAGGTGCGTGCCACCACACCCGGCTAATATTTGCATTTGTAGTAGAGATGAGGTTTTATCATGTTGGCCAGGCTGGTCTCGAACTCCTGACCTCAGGTGATCCACCCACCTTGGCCTCCCAAAGTGCTGAGATTACAGGCATGAGCCACCATGTCCGGCCGGCAGGAGAATTATTGAACTCAGGAGACGGAGGTTGCAGTGAGCCGAGATCACGCCGTTGCACTCCAGCCTGGGCAACAAGAGCAATATTCCATCTCAAAAAACAAACAAACAAATTGGTTAACCACCGCTATTAATGCTGCTATTCAGTCTGTTTCAGAAACAAAACAAAACTGAAAGAGAGAATTTTACTGGAAGGATATTGATGGCCTCCCAGAATCAGTGGAAGGCCAGGACACCTGGCTTAGCAAAAACACAAAAATCAAGGTGACAATATATTAGGAATTACAGCAATAATCTTCAAGAACATTTTTCAAAAAACTACTCCACTGCCACGCCTGTGATGTCTTTGCTTCGTTTTTCTAGGCTCTGTTACAAAAATTAATACCACCATCTAGTGGACCCTTCATATACCTATGTCTGATTGTAGATTTCTTCTCTGGTTTTCCAGTCATTTCACTGAGATCTGAACTGTATCTTCTATATATTCCTGAGAATTTTAAAATTGTTTATTTTTGAGGTGGGAATCAGGTTTATTGAGGTATAATTTATATCCAGTAAAATTGGCCCTTTTTAGTGTACAGTTCTATGAGTTTGTTTTTTGTGTGTTTTTTGTTTTGTTTTGTTTTTGAGACAGAGTCTTGCTCTGTCACCCAGGTTGGAGTACAGTGGCGTGATCTTGGCTCACTGCAATCTTCACCTCCTGGGTTCAGGCAATTCTCCTGCCTCAGCCTCTTGAGTAGCTGGGATTACAGGCGCCTGCCACCACATCTGACAAATTTTGTATTTTTGGTAGAGACTGGATTTCACCATGTTAGCCAGACTGGTCTTGAACTCCTGACCTCAGGTGATCCACCCACCTTGGCCTCCCAAAGTGCTGGCATTACAGGTGTGACCCACGGCACCTGGCCTTTTGTTTTCTTTTGAGACAGAGTCTCGCTGTGTTGCCCAGGCTGGAGTACAGTGATGCAATCTTGGCTCACTGCAACTTCTGTCTCCCAGGTTCAAGCGAGTCTCCTGCCCCAATCTTCTGAGTAGCTGAGACTACAGGTGCATGACACCACACCTGGCTAATTTTTGTATTTTTAGTGGATATGGGGTTTCGCCATGTTGGCCAGGCTAGTCTTGAACTCCTGACCTCAAGTGATCTGCCTGCCTTGGCCCCCAAAGTGCTGGGATTACAGACGTGAGCGACCATGCCCGGCCCTATGAGGTTTTTGGGTGTTTTGTTTTGTTTTTTTAATTTCCATAGGTTTAGGCTAGGCACGGTGGTTCACGCCTGTAATCCCAGCACTTTGGGAGGCCGAGGCGTGTAGATCACTTGAGATCAGGAGTTCTAGACCAGCCTGGCCAACATGATGAAACCCCATCTCTACTAAAAATATAAACATTAGCCAAGCATGGTGGCGCACACCTGTAATCCCAGCTACTTGAGAGGCTTAGGCGGGAGGATTGCTTGAACCCGGGAGATGGAGGTTATAGTGAGCCAAGATCGCACCACTACACTCACAGCCTGGGCTACAGAGCAGGACTCAGTCTCAAAAAATATATATTTTTTTATAGGTTTTTGGGGGAATGAGTGGTGTTTGGTTACATGAATAAGATGTTTAGTGATAATTTCTGAGATTTTGGCGTACCCATCACCCGGTTCTATGAGTTTTAACAAATAGATAGTTATAGAACCACCACCACAATCAAGATATGGAATAGGTCCGTCAACTCCAAAAAGTACATACCCTTGTGCCCATCTGAAGTCAACCTCTCCACCCATTCCCCAACCTCTGGTAACCACCGATCTATTTTCTCTCCCTATAGCTTTGCTTTTTCCAAAATATCATGTAAATGGAATCATACAAAATGTAGCTTTTGAGTGTGTCTTCTTTCAGTCAGCATAATGCATTGAGATTCATTGATATCATTGTCCCGCATCCCCACCTCCTTCTTTTTTTCTCCCCAGTAATATTCCATTGTATGGATATGCCAGAGTGTATTTATCTACTGACCAGTTGAAGAACATTTGGATTGTTTCCCATTTTTTGTATGAGTAATGTCACTATAAACATTTGCATACAGGTTTTTGTGTAAACATATCTTTTCATCTCTCTTGGGCAAATACCTAGGAATAGGATTGTTAGGTCTTATTGATACCAGTGGGTTAGGGAGGTCCCCAAATGCTGGTGGGGCCTCAACCCCAACCAGTGTCCAGGCTCTTGACACCTTCCCAAGAAGCAATTCAAGGATTAGTTGGAAGATAATGAAAGTGAAACCGTCAGTGCAAGATTATAACTGAGACAGAGAAAGAGATCTAACCTGACCAACTCCATCTTGCCTCTGACCATCAAGCTGTCCTAGTTCATTCCTGGGCATGGGACAAACTAGCTTTAGGAAGAACTTAGTTTATAGTTTATAGTTTGAGGCACAGATGATAACAGCCTTTTCCCAAAACAAATCCCCTTCTTGCCTGGGGACTAGACTGCCTTTGTAGGACTAACATATTAGTCAAAAGATTATAAATTATGGTTTAGGAGTCATGCAGCTGGAGGCTACAAGATTCTGACACTCCCTAAATCGCTCCTGGGGATAAAAATCACTATTATAGGCTGGTGTGATGGCTTATGCCTGTAATCTCAGCACTTTCGGAGGCCGAGGTGGGCAAATCACCTGAGGTTGGGAGTTTGAGACCAGCCTGACCAACATGGAGAAACCCTGTCTCTACTAAAAATACAAAATTAGCCAAGTGTGGTGGCACATGCCTGTAACCCCAGCTACTTGAGAGGCTGAGGCAGGAGAATCACTTGAACCCAGGAAGCTGAGGTTGTGGTGAGCCGAGATGGCACCACTGCACTCCAGCCTGGGCAACAAGAGCGAAAGTCTGTCTCAAAAAAAAAAAAAAAAAAGAAAGAAAGAAAGAAAAGAAAGAAATCACTATTATAAAACCTAAGACCAGTGCTTGGGATATTTTGTAGACCCTGTCCTCGATGGATCAGCTGGCACCACCCAGATGGATAAACTGGCTCATCTGATCTTGTGGCCCCCATCCAGGAAGTGACTCAGTGTAAGAAGACAGCTTCAACTCCCTATGATTTCATCTCTGACCAATCAGCACTCTCGGCTCACTGGCTTCCTCCAACCCACCAATTTGTTCTTTTTTTTTTTGAGACCAAGTCTCACCTGTCGCCCAGGCTGGAGTGCAGTGGCGTGATCTCTGCTCACAGCAACCTCCGCCTCCTAGGTTCAAGCAATTCTCCTGCCCCAGCCTCCCGAGTAGCTGGGATTACAGGTGTGCGACTCCATGCCCGGCTAACTTTTGCATTTTTAGTAGAGACAGGGTTTCACCATGTTGGTCAGGCTGGTCTCAAACTTCTGACCTCGTGACCCACCCGCCTCGGCCTCCCAAAGTGCTGGGATTACAGGCATGGGCCACTGCGCCCAGCCAATTTGTTCTTAAAAACTCTGATCCCTGAATGCTTAGGGAGACTGATTTGAGCAGTAATAAAACTCTGGTCTCCCACACAGCCGGCTCTGTGTGAATTACTCTCTCTCTATGGCAATTCCCATCTTGATAGATTGGCTCTGTCTAGGCAGCGGGCAAGGTGAACCCATTGGGCGGTTATAAAAGTATGGAGGTTTATTGCAAAGAGAAAATTACATATTCAAGAAAGGGGAGTGTGAACATACTCGAGAGTGACACAGCCCGATTTGAGGTTTTTATCTTTACGGATTTCTTTAACCAAGGAATGGAATATTCATGAAGAATCCTGGAAAAAGGTGGAGATTTCTCAGAAATGTGGTGCCATCCATTTTTTAACCAAATATGGGACTGTCATGGCACTGGTGGGTGTGTGATTTAGTACGTTAATAAGCATATAATTAGGTCCTAGGTGAAACCTAGGTCAAATCCAGCGCCATGTTGTGTCCTGTCAGCCTTAGCGAGTTTGGCCCACACCCCGGTTTTTAGAATCTTATCAGCTTCTACCTTATGTAGCTATTTTAACAGATTTTTTCCTTGTTAGTTACGTGAAACTGCTGCCTGGAATTATTAAATTTTTCTGCAACCACCTTGTATTATTCCTGTCTCATTTTCCCCTCTCAGAGATGACTACCTTTTATTTTTCAGGATTGATGAGGGAGGAGGTCAATCTTATGTATTTACTTTCTGTTGAATGGGGCATTGGCCCTGCCTATTGAGGGTATGGAAATCTCTGGCTGCTTGGTCTGAGGGTCCCAAGGGTGGATCATCAGGAGAGTCTGAATATGAGGCAGGGATTGGCTGCAATCTTTGTATGACCATTATTTAGGCATTGAACTGCGGCAACCTAGAAGACACAGACTACAAGGAGGTTAAACAAGCAAGGACCAAAAATTAGTAGTAACAAGATAGTTATTAAAGATCCTAGGAAAGGTAGGAACTATGTCACACTTGGTAGGTATCCTTTAATGAAGTCCCAGATGGTTCGAGTAGTGGAGCTATTGAAATTATGCAGCCAGGTAGCCTGTTGGTAAATATTTTGAATTTGTAGTTTAACTAATACTAGTTTAACTAGTTTAATATTAGTTTAATTAATTTGTAGTTTAACTAATTGAGTTGTTAATATAAGAACAATAGGTGTGGTTTATTATTGTGCAAACCCCTCTTTGTTCAGATAAAACCTCTTTTTTTTTTTTTTTTTTTTTGAGACGGAATCTCACTCTGTCCCCAAGCCTGGAGTGCAATGGTATGATCTCAGCTCACTGCAACCTCCGCCTCCTGGATTCAAGCAATTCCCCTGCCTCAGCCTCCCAAGTAGCTGGGACTACAGGCGCGTGCCACCACGCCCGGCTAATTTTTTGTATTTTAGTAGAGACGGGGTTTCACCATGTTGGTCGTGGCTGGTCTCGAACTCCTGATCTTGTGGTCTGCCCGCCTCAGCCTTCCAAAGTGCTGGGATTGCAGGCATGAGCCACCGCGCCCGACCCAAAACCTCTTGTTTATTTGACCATTTAAGTGGTTTATGCTCTGGCCTTGTTAGGGCTTTATACAACTGCTTAGGAATGAGCCCAAATCCTGGGATCCAAATTCTGTAAAATCCTGCCATATTCAGGAAAGTTCTGAGTTTTTTTTGTTTGCTCGTTAAAGTTCTGTTTTTTAAGATAGTCTCTTTTTCGCCTGATGGACAAGGTTCAATATCCTGGGCTTAGGAGGTACTCCAGATATTTTACTTTCAGTTTAGAAATCTGGGCCTTGAGGCTGGGCACAGTCGCCCACACCTGTAATCCCAACACTCTGGGAGGCCGAGGCCTGCGGCTCACCTGAGGTCAGGAGTTTGAGACCAGCATGGCCAACATGGTGAAACCCTGTCTCTACTAAAAATACAAAAAATTAGCCTAGTGAGGTGGTGTGTGCCTATAGTCCCAGCTACTCCAGAGGCTCAGGTAGGAGGATCGCTTGAACCAGGGCAAGGGAGGTTGCAGTGGGCTGAGATCACATCACCGCACTCCAGCCTGGGTAACAGAGCGAGACTCTGTCTAAAAAAAAAAAAAAAAAAGAGGCCAGGAGCGGTGGCTCACGCCTGTAATCCCAGCACTTTGGGAGGCCGAGGCTGGCGGATCACCTGAGGTCGGGAGTTCAAGACCAGCCTGACCAACATGGTGATACCCTGTCTCTACTAAAAATACAAAAAATTAGCCAGGCATGATGGTGGGTGCCTGTAATCCCAGCTGCCTGGGAGGCTGAGGCAGGAGAATTGCTTGAGCCCAAGAGTTGGAGGTTGCAGTGAGCTGAGATCGTGCCACTGTACTCCAGCCTGGACGACAGAGTGAGACTCCGTCCAAAAAAAAAAGAAAAGAAAAAGAAAATTTTCCCAGTGATGCTTGTGCCTTTTGAGATTGGTTAAGTATACTTGGAATGTTTAACAAACAATATAAAGGCTAGAACCAGTTAGCTTGGTTTGAATCTCAGTTCTGTGGTTTACTACCTATGTGGGCTCAGGCCTCAGGCTAGTTAATTTCTCTGTTTTCTCAATCATAAAAGGGTGACAAGAGTATAGTAATATCTAGGCCAGGCACGGTGGCTCAGGCCTGTAATCCCAGCACTTTGGGAGGTTGAGGAAGGTGGCTCACCCGAGGTCAGGAGTTCGAGACTAGCTTGGCCAACATGTTGAAACCCTATCTCTACTACAAATACAAAATTAGCCAGGCATGGTGATGCACGCCTGTAGTCCCATCTATTTGGGAGGCTGAGGCAGGAGAATTGCTTGAACCCTGGAGGTGGAGGTGGCAGTGAGTCGAGATTGCGCCACTGCATTCCAGCCTGGGCAACAGAGCGAGACTCCATCTCAAAAACAAAACAAAACAAAAACAAAAACAAAAAAAGTAGAAGGTGGCAAGTATTAATGAAGAGGAAAGGGTTATGGGATCACAAGAGGAGGAGACATGTAACCCAAGACTTCAGAGTTGTGGGGAGGGAATCAGAAATACTCCACACAGAAGATATTTATGTACAAAAGGCCCACGTCAAGACAGAACATGTCATGTTTATGGAGTTGAAGCAGTTTAATATGGCTAGAGAGTAGAGTGATGGGGGCAGTGGTAAGAGAGCAGGCTGCAAGGTAAACAAGGGCTAGCCAAACCTCCAAGTGCCTAATAAGAAATGCTAGAAGTTTGGAGTTCTTCCTGAGAGCTGTGGGGAGCCATAAAATGATCACATTTGTATTTTAGAATGGTTGTCTTCAATTAAAAAAAAGTTTTTGCTGGGCACAGTGGCTCATGCTTGTAATCCCAACACTTTGGGAGGCCAAGGCGGGTGGATCACTTGAGGTCAGGAGTTTGAGACCAGGTTGGCCAACATGGCAAAGCCCCATCTTCACTAAAAATACAAAAAAATTAGCCAGACATAGCGGTGCACAGGTGTAATCCCAGCTACACAGGAGGCTGAGGCAGGAGAATCACTTGAACCCAGGAGGTGGAGGGTGCGGTGAGCCAAGTTCGCACCATTGCACTCCAGCCTGGGTGGCAAGAGCGAGACTCTGTCTCAAAAAAAAAAAAAAAAAAAATTAGCCAGGCATGGTGCTGCGCACCTGTAATTCCAGCTACTTGGGAGGCTGAGGCAGAAGAATGGCTTGTACCCAGGACGCAGAGGTTGCAGTGAGCCGAGATTGTGCCACTGCACTCTAGCCTAGGCAACAGAGTGAGATTCTGTCCACCCCCCAAAAAAAAAAAAAAAATCTCACATACTCACATACTGCCCTAAAAGAATTTTGCAAAACTGTGTACCTCCTTCCACATCTTAACAACTAATATTTCTCATAAGTTTAAAAGCTAATTTTTTGTTAATGGGAGGTTGAAAATATTAAACATTTTGAAAGATGAAATAAGGTAACCATGTATTATTCCTGAAATACATATTTTATGACATGATACATACCAAATCTGAAACATTGTATGAAATTTCTATCTGTGGGTTTTAGCAACTGTATTTTGAAAAAATGTATTGGTCCTAGAAATCATACAATTGCATTTAAAGGACTCAACATCACTGTTCTATGCTGCCTACGTTTTTTGAATTCAAGGCAACTTTGTCCCTTAACAAAAATATTTATATGACAGGTAAAGAAGGAAGACCTTGTAGGTTTAAGCTGCCTCAATGTATCATTAAAAGAGACTTCCATTCAGCAGGCATGGATCTACAGGAACAACAACAACAAAAAAAGATTTCCAGACTTCTGCTTCTGTCAAAGAGGAGGTAACAGGGATTGGATTTACCCTCCTGCCTGAAACAAACAAAAAAACTCAGACAAAATATATGAAACAGGGCCGGGCACAGTGGCTCATGCCTGTAATCCCAGCACTTTGGGAGGCTGAGGCGGGAAGATCACTTGAGGTCAGAGTTCGAGACCAGCCTGGCCAACATGGTGAAACGCGGTCTCTACTAGTAATACAAAAATTAGCTGGGTGTGGTGGCACACATCTGTAATCCCAGCTACTCGGGAGGCTGAGGCAGGAGAATTGCTTGAGCCCAGGAGGTAGAGATTGCAGTAAGCCAAGATTGCACCATTGCACTTCAGCCTAGGCGACAAGAGTGAAACTCCATCTCAAAACAAATAAACAAAAAAAGCAATGACTGTAATTTAACACATTCAAAAACTGAAAAAAGAAAAACTATATAGTCATTTGAATAGCCACAGAGAAAGCATTTGACAGCATCCATTCTTGACCAAAACTCTCAGCAAAATAGGAACAGAAGGAAACTTCCTCAACTTGATAAAGGGCATCTATGAAAACCTACAGGTTATTGGTGAGAGACTGAATGTTTTCTCCCTAATAAGTGTCAGTGAGTAGCCAGGTATGATGGTTGGGGGGGGCCTGTAATCCCAGCTACTCGGGAGGCTGAGGCAGGAGAATTGCTTGAACCCAGGAGGTGGAGGTTGCAGTGAGCTGAGATTGTGCCACTGCACTCCAGCCTGGGCAACAAGGGCGAAACTCCATCTAAAAAAAAAAAGAAAAATAAAAAGTGAGTGTCAATAAGAAGTTTGGGAAAGAAGTTTTGTTTTGAACTTGTTGAGTTTGGGGCCTAATATGACACTGACAATTGAACTGAGGATGAATATAGTTATCTGGGTCTGGAGCACAGAACAGAGTTGTTAAAACATAGAGCATATTAAGGGTATTTTAACAAGTCCGTATTTTATTTATTTATTTATTTTGAGGTGGAGTTTCACTCTTGTTGCCCAGGCTGGAATGCAGTGGCACGATCTTGGCTCACTGCAACCTCCACCTCCCAGGTTCAAGAATTCTCCTGCCTCAGCCTCCCAAGTAGCTGGATTACAGGTGTCCACCACCACACCTGGCTAATTTTTTGTATTTTTAAGTAGAGACAGGGTTTCACCATGTTGGCCAAGCTGGTCTCGAACTCCTGACCTCAGGTGATCCACCTGCCTTGGCCTGTCAAAGTGCTGGGATTACAGGTGTGAGCCACCGCACCTGGCCAACAAGTCTGTATTTTTAAACAAGTGCTCCAAGGAAGAGTAAGATGAGAAAAGGATTAGGAATAGAAATACTGAAGAAATCCAACACTTAAAGCTCCTGAAGGCCAGACATAGGAAAAGGAGCTAGCAAAGGCAACCAAGAGCAATCACAGAGATAAAAAGACAACTTTTTGGTGCATTTTAAGGAAAATCCAGTTTCAACAAAGAGGGATGGGTCAATAGAGTCAGAAGCTAAAGAAGAAAGAATATCAGGATCCTATATTGTGTGCATGCCAACATTCTTAGCCATTAAGCACAGGTGACCACTAGAATTTATTTATTTATTTGTTTATTTTGAGATGGAGTTTCGCTGTTGTCACCCAGGCTGGTGTGCAATGGCATGATCTTGGCTCCCTGCAACCTCCACCTCCCGGGTTCAAGCGATTCTCCTGCCTCAGCCTCCCGAGTAGCTGGGATTATAGGCGCATGCCACCACGCCTGGCTAATTTTTGTATTTTTAGTAGAGACAGGTTTCATGATGTTGGCCAGCCTGTTCTGGAACTCTGACCTCAGGTAATCCACCCGCCTAGGCCTCCCAAAGTGCTGGGATTACAGGTGTGAGCCACCACGCCCAGCCTAGAATATATTTAAACTAAGCATTGTTTAAGATAGATGGGACTTAGCCAATCCTTAATGCCAGTATATCACATCACATTCCACTCCATTAGGGGTGGATGTTTATGTAAGTTGAGGTTCTCCTATTGGTTACTGCACTCTTCTTTAGATTGTGCATACAGACCTACCCAGAGAAGCCAGTATCCATGGCTTTGGAGAGTTCAAATATTCAATTTTCCGTTCAAAAAAAGGTAAGCGAAATACTTAAGTCTCAGGCCCACTAGGACCTTAAGCCTTTCGTTTTTGTAAATATTTCACTAATAAACTGTCTACACTTTCCCAGATTGGGCAGGCCTTACATTCTATATATACTGAGAGGCACATTATCTCACTAAGCCTCAATTTCCTCATTTGTAAAAAGGATAAGAACATCAATCCTACCTTACTACTTTCACGGGATTGGTTAAAGTTAGCTTTTAAAGTATTTTCTCACTCTGGCTCCTTAATACCCTAGCTACAGTCTGACACAAGAATGACTGCAGCAAAATGTTGGCTGTATTATAATAAAAATATTTGTGGAAAGGCTTTGTTAGCTGGAAGCCATCTCAAGTATTATTCTTTATACCCCAATCTCGATTTAGGCCTCTAGGTAACCAAATTCAAAGTAACACCTCATCATCATGATGGTTGCCAAGGGGTAGGTGGAGGGACTGCAGCCCCTTCCCCACAAACAATTCCAATAAAAACACTGTTGTGCAAACAGAGCTTCACGACCAGTTCCCTGGGCCAGCTGCTCACCAGATTACCACTCCCAAACTCCCTTTTCTTTGGAAATACTGCACCTGCTGTATTTGTGGGGAGCTGTATAACTTTTGAAGTATCTAAGTGATCAGTTCCTACAATGACATCCTTGAGATATGGCCACGGAACTTTCCAAAGCAGCCTTGGCCTCCTTCATGTCCAGCAACCTGAGATAAGGCCACGCCACCGGCTAAGAGTTCCGCCAGGGGCCCAGCTCTCAGGAGGCCTCTTCGGTGCCGCCAGCCTCCCGAAGTCATCCAAGGTAGCAGGCAAATCCGGCAGCAGCAAACTAGCTCGGATTCGGCTTCGGTTTTTCTCCTGGCCGGCGCCACAGGCCCCTCCTCCGGGGCGGGCTCCTCGGTGCGAGGGCAGGAGGGGCGGAGCCGGTGGATGCCGCGGGCTCCTCCTCCCAAGGGCGGGCCGCGGGAGACCCGGCCGGCTTTGCCGGCGGGGACCGGGCTGGGGGCGGGGCCGGGCGCCGCGAGCCCCTCCTCTCGAGGGCCGGCCGGTTTGGCGGCGGCTGCGGAGGGTATCTGAGGCTCGGCTGCCAAGCCGAACGGGCTCTGGCTCCTCCCAGTGGCCGGCCGGGGCGGAAGCAGGAGGCGGGGGCAGCGTGCGCGCTGCTGGTCTTCTCTCCCGCGGCGCTGGGGCCCGCGCTCCGCTGCTGTTGCTCCATTCGGCGCTTTTCTGGCGGCTGGCTCCTCTCCGCTGCCGGCTGCTCCTCGACCAGGCCTCCTTCTCAACCTCAGCCCGCGGCGCCGACCCTTCCGGCACCCTCCCGCCCCGTCTCGTACTGTCGCCGTCACCGCCGCGGCTCCGGCCCTGGCCCCGATGGCTCTGTGCAACGGAGACTCCAAGGTCAGCGTGGGGGTCCCTGCAGCACCGCATCCCGGCGGAGGCGAGGCTCCCGGACCGGGGAGCCACCCCGCGAGGCCCTTCCCCACCCCCTTCCCCCAGCCCGTCCGCGCAGCCCTGCGCCCCGGGCAGCCACGCGTCGTAGAGTCCCTGGTCGGGGCCTGTGGCATGTTTTATCTCGGGAGCGGCGATGCTTTGTTGATCTTGTCTGCGTGTCGAGGTCCGGGCGTCGGGGAGGGCATCAGCTCCCCGCGGCCGCGTCGCTGGCCCCCGCCTCCCCCGCGCCGCTGTGGGGCGCAGAGCCCGCGAGCGCGGCGCGAGGGTGGGGGTAGGGCGGCGAGCGGGCTTGTGTGTCTGCGTGTCGGGGTGGGGGCTTCCTCGGCTCCCACCCCGTCCCTCTGGGAGGCTGGGGGCCCGTTGTGGCGATCCCGGGGCCCGCCGAAGGCAGGGCAGGGTCGGGGCCTCCTGTGCGGCGTTGGAGCTGGGCCGGCCTCTGGTCTTCCCGCCACCCCGTTTCCCGCCTGCCCTCGGCGAGGCCCGCTCCATTCCCCCCGCCAGCCTTGGGCTCCGCGGCGGTTAGGCCGGTTCTGGACGAACCCCTCGGAGCTGCACTGTCTTCCCCCTCCCCCAACGCCCCTGCAGGCCCGCGTGAGGGCTGGTGGCCCCAGGGTCGCGCACTCCGTTCTCCCTCCCCGCTTCCTTCTCAGAGAGGAAAGGGTGTGTGTCCAGGTCCCGCCCCCGTCCAGCTTGCTCCCTGTCGAGCTTGCTGGTTTGCGGGGTAACCCGCTTCCCCGCCTTTGGGGTCCCTCCCCGGGACGCGAGCCGTGCCAGCTCGCCCGAGGCCTGGGCAGTCCGGAGTTCCGGAGTGCTGGAAAAGTTGCCGCCTTGACGTACCCGGCGGGGAGAGCACGTTTGACCGCTGCTGCTCATCTCTCCTCCAACTCACTTTTCTTAGACCGTTCCTCTTACTTTCGTCCCGCTTTTGAATTGGGCACCTTCGCTTTCACCTCTGTATTAAAATTTTCATTGGCCTGGAGTTCTTTCTGACCTTCACTAAGTCAGTTTTGCCAGCGGGAAACCGTGCAGTTTTGAATTGCGATTTACTTCATTAAGATACACCTCCTCTGTACGCTGTTGAGGGCCTAGCTTTAGGAAAAAACTTAATTAAATTTCATTCGGGGGGTGGGATTGTATACTTCGAGGTGGATTTGGTGCTCTACGTCAGATAGTAGTGCCTTGTTCAGGCAGAATTTTAACATTCTTTTTAAAAGGTGCTGCTCAAGGGTCACATCTTAGGAGGTCCTCTTGAATGGTTGCTTAGCACCCGGTAATCATTCAAAAAGTATTTGTCGAACAATGAGTAAAAGATTATAAGGTAGCTGATTTTAACTCTTTTAAACCAAGGCACCAGTGGTGCTTAGGTCCAGGGAGCTGTTAAGACACACAAACCTTTAGTTTCTGACCTAAGGAGCAAATGTAAACCCCATTGTCCAGCTCTTTCCCGATTACTAGTCGACTTGCAAAGCATTTTTCTGCCTAGTTTTGAGTCTTACAACTCATTGGAAAGATTCATCTTTATGCTGATAGATGAAATAACTGGTGTTAGAAGGACTGAAATTTAATTTATGGGCTTTGAAAAATATATAGTGCATTTGAGAGGAGTATTTTCACAAAACTAAGTGACAGAAAAGTATAAGATTTGTTTCCAGAGTATATAAGAGGATTTTTCTTTTTCCTAACTGGTATTTTTTCTTTGTTTTGCTCTAGTTGGAATGACAAAGATAATCTTATCAGTTTGCTATATTTGAGCCTAGGGTGAATTAATTTTATTTCAAGGTTCTTTATGTTTTATAGCATAATTAAACATTTTAAAAACTATGTTAACAATTAGTTGTGGACTGAATTGGAAGCATTTTCAAGAGGAACATCTGGAGAATTAATATATTTCATCAAATCTATGATTATTGTATGTACCCCTGAGGAAGAAAGTCCTGACAAACCATAACATGCCAGTGATCATAAACATTTTAAGTAAAGAGATATTAAATATGGGGAAATACCTTATATCACCTACTTTATTATGCATATTTCTAAGAGGCCCACCTGGAAATAAGTAGGAGTCTTATTTTCCATAGCCTACCACTGAACCACCTTTCCCTTGGGAGGAAAGGCTTACTTTGTACATTGATTGGGCCTTGGCTGTGTGTATCTTAGTTCATAAATTAAAAGTTGGGCAAGAGCTGGTTTTGATTCCTGTTTCTGGTACATTTCAGTTATCAGGATTTTCTAAAACGGCGTTTTTGCATGATAGAAACTGGAGAGGGGCCTAAAAGCTATGAAAGCATTTGGGTTATTTTAATTATTTTTTATACACAATATTTTATTTAATTTTTAATTTATATTATTTTTTTGAGACAGGATCTTGCTCTGTCACCCAAGCTGGAGTGCAGTGGTGTGATCACAGCTCACTGCTGCCTTGACTTCTTTAGCCTCCTGAGTAGCTGGAAGTACAGGCGTGGATCACCCCGCCCTGCTAATTTTTATTTTTTGTAGAGACAGTTCTCGCTGTGTTGCTCAGGCTGGTCTGGAACTCCTGGGCTCAAGCTATCCTCCCACTTTAGCGTCCCAAAGTGCTGGGATTACAGTAGTGAGCCACTGTGCCTGGCCAGTATTTTATTTATTTAAATTTTTTATTTCCGTATGTTATTGGGGAGCAGGTGTCGTTAGGTTACATGAGTAAGTTCTTTTTTTTTTTTTTGAGATGGAGTCTAGCTCTGTCGCCCAGGCTGGAGTGCAGTGGTGTGATCTCGGCTCACTGCAAGCTCTGCCTCCTAGGTTCACGCAGTTCTCCTGCCTCAGCCTCCCAAGTAGCTGGAACTACAGGCGCCCGCCACCATGCCTAGCTAATTTTTTTGTATTTTTAGTAGAGACAGGGTTTCACTGTGTTAGCCAGGATGGTCTTGATCTCCTGGCCTCGTGATCCACCTGCCTCAGCCTCCCAAAGTGCTGGGATTACAGGCGTGAGCCACCATGCCCAGCCATGAGCAAATTCTTTAGTGGTGATTTGTGAGATTTTGGTGCACCCATCACCCGAACGGTATACACAACACCCAGTATGTAGTCTTTTATCCCTCACCCGCTTCCTACCCTTTCCCCCTGAGTCTCCAAAGTCCATTGTGTCATTCTTATGCCTTTGCATCCTCACAGCATAGGTGATCAGCTTTTCTTTAAAAACTTTTTATTATGGCAGGGGTGTATTTGACATAGTAACTTGAGTTTTATTAAGGCAGCATTATCAGAGTAATGCTTTGGGTGACTTGTCAAGTTTCCTACTCTTTTCCCCTGTCTAAGGGTGAAACTCTTGGTTGGAGTAAAGGTGGTACCTGTCCTATCATTGAGAGGTTATGACTAGGTTATATCATACTTGGATGAAAGATGTTTTATAAACTCTCCCTTAGTGATTGCATGTGATACAGAATCTTTAATGGCATTTAATAATGTTAATTTTAAGTTTGGAATTTCCAAATTTAAGATTTTGAATGGAATGGGAATATAACTTGGGATTTTTATCTGGGATGTACTGAGAATTAAACAACTATATCACCTTTTGTCACAACTTAGTAAATTTTTTTCTTAGATAAAAGTTAGATTTTTCAGATTTTATTCCGTTAGGATATTCATTTAGAGTGGAAGAACTGCTGCAGACAAAAGGAATGGTTTTTAGTGTAGTGTGTTCTTAGACCTGAAAGGTTTTGAAATTCCTCCAGGAATCTCGGATGACATTGCCTTTAGCGTGGGCCAACTTGTCACTTAAGGAAAATAATTCAGTCTTTTAAGAATTTTTACAAAAAGTATAGACTTGTCTTATACTTGTACAAATGTATTTGATACTTTTTTAAGGTTAATGAATTACATTCCAAAGGATGTTGTTTGAAGTAATGAATAATTATTTGCTACCCAGAATAATCAAATTTTGCTGTTGTAGTACATTCTTAAACTTTGTTTTCTTTTTTTTTTTTTTTTTTTTTTTTGAGACAGAGTCTGGCTCTGTTGCCCAGGCTGGAGTACAGTGGCATGATCTCGGCTCACTGCAATGTCCGCCTCCCTGGTTCAAGTGATCCTTGTGTGATCCTTGTACCTCAGCCACCCGAGTAGCTGGGATTACAGGCGTGTGCCACCACATACGGCTAATTTTATATTTTTAGTAGAGACAGGGTTTCACCATGTTGGCCAGGCTGGTCTCTAACCCTTGACCTCAAGTGAGTCGCTCACCTTGGCCTCCCAAAGTCGTGGGATTACAAGTGTGAACCACTGTGCCTGGCCTTAAATCCTGTGTTTTGTTTTGTTTGTTTTTGAGACAAAGTCTTGCTCTGTCACCCAGGCTGGAGTGCAGTGGCATGATCTCCCCTCATTGCAACCTCCGCCTCCCAGGCTCAAGGAATTCTCCTGACTCAGCCTCCTGAGTAGCTGGGACTAAATGCGCATGCCGCCGTGCCTGGCTAACTTTTGTATTTTTAGTAGAGATGGGGTTTCACCATGTTGCCCAGGCTGGTCTCGAACTCCTGGGCTCAGGTGATCCACCGGCCTCACCTCCCAAAGTGCTAAGATGATAGGCGTGAGCCATTGTGTCCGGCCCTGGCCTTAAACTTTGTTTTTATGCCTCTTTCTAACCTAAACCATATTTAGATGCTGAAAATGAATGAAAGTGTCAGGGTTAATGCATAATTCTGAAGCACTTTGTGAATCAACAGAAAAATAATTGTTTCATAGAATTTTAAATCTTTGTGTGGCATATACAATTCTGGGTTGCGTAGAATATTATTTTTTTCATGCTTATTGTGGAATAGAGATGCTTCTGTATTTGCTCAAGAAGGACGGTGGTTAAAAAAATTGCTTTATTATAGTAAAAACATAACAGTCAATTGGTTTTCTTGTTGGTGGACCCTTGCTATGGCTTCAGGTTCATGGTTTTGAGGACCTAGGAGATTATATAGTTAAGTCTATACACTCATTAAGATTGTTATAATGTGAAAGGGAATAAGATCTCTAAACTGGGGCACATGAGCATAAAAAAAGAAGGTGTGGAAAATTTAAATTTATAATAATTGCTGCAAAATAAAATATTACATACAAAAAAATTGTAGATTTACACAATACAATTAGTAAGTAAATGGCAAAACTCCTGTGGCAAGAGTGTTCAGATTACTGTCTTCTGTACATTATACACAGGGACATATAACATCTCTTTCCTGCATGTGTTACACAAATACCCCATATTTCCCAGTGACCCAGCTTATAATGGCCTCGAGGCTCCTGTGCATCTTGCAAGGTGAGGAGTGGCTGTAACACAACTGGGAGGTACACTGAGTAGCCGGCAGGAATAGCAACTTCAGATATTTCTCCTGTCATCACCCAAGACTAGATAGAGTTAGCTATCCTTAATTGCCTGTGTCCAAGAGTACTTGATTTTATTAGAAAAGAGTAAGGAAGGATGTGTTACCAGTATTTGGCATTCAGACTGAACGAGAAGTTAAAAATGAGAACTGTTTACTATGCTTGCAACCCACACAACACTAGACAAAGCCATAGCCGAAGGTGGTATTAGATATAAGGTGAAAGTTTAACAAACCCGTCCTATTTTACTTTAAGGCAGTTATTCATAGTATGTTGTTAAAAAGAAAAATCTGAGACAAATGTTAAGCTGGGTGGGATATCGGACTAACAGATGTACATCAGGAGAGTCCTGGGCAGACTGGACCATATGGTCACTCCATTTATAGAGCACATATTGTTCTGAGTTTGGCTCTGATTTCTCCCCAGTGATGTGTATTTAAAATTTGGCTAAAATTTAAGTCTAGTGTGTATACATTAGCATTATTTTTCTGAGTTAATTATATAATAAGAGTATTATTCTAAAATTCTTGAAAACTGAGTGTCATTAATTACCTGTGTTTTAAAAGTGGTGTGAGCCAGCAGCACTGAACCTGACCCTAAGGTAAAATAATCTTCTCTAGTCTGCCATAACACTTGCAAGGGATGTTTCCCAAACCTTTAAAGCTGCCTGGACATGTGAAGTTTTCTGTTTAGTTACTCCCGTTTGTCACTGGAAAAACAGTAACCTTTTAATCTCAAAACTCACAGCGGTCCATGTAAATTTAATTTCTACCTCATTTGCAATTTGGAGAACGAGTCTCAGTAATTCTTCTGAATCCTATTATGAATGTAAATTTAGGACTCCAGATTTCTAAAATTCTGCTTTGGACAAATTTTGGATCAACGATCTCTGATTAATTTGGGAAATTTTAGATGAACAAAAGTACCTGTAGATATATCATTATTTTGATGTTATTGGTAGCAGTAGAACTTCATTATACTTATTATTTGGCAAGCAAATTAAAAGAAATTTTAGTCAACATCCATGTCCTCAATCTGGATTCTACCATTTACTTTTCCTAAAAAAATTTTTATAACAGCTTTATTGAGATATAATTGACATACCATGTACTCTGCTTAAAGTATCCAACCCCATAGTTCTTAGTGTATTCACAGATTTGTACAACCATCACCCCCCATTTGTACAGTCAAAAAAACATTCTCATCCCTCCTCCCAAAAAAAAACCTCTACCCTTCAGCAAGGGTCCCCATTTTCCTGCAACCACCGCTCCCTCCCAGTCCTAGTCAACCACAAATTCATTTTCTGTCTGTAGATTTGCCAATTGTCTTAGTCTGTTGGGGCCGCTAAAACAAAATACCAGAAACTGAGTGGCTTATGAACAACAAAAATTTCTCACAATTCTGAACGCTGAGAAGTTCAAAATCAAGGGACCTGCAGATTCAGTGCCTGGTGAGGGCCCACTTCCTGGGTCATAGAAGTGCTTGATGCTGTGTCCTCACCTTGGGGCCTTTTTTTTTTTTTTTTTTGAGACAGAGTCTCGCTAGTACAGTGGCGCGATCTCAGCTCACTGCAACCTCCACCTCCTGGATTCAAGCCATTCTTCTTCTTCAGCCTCCCGAGTAGCTGGGCATGCGCCACCATGCCCAGCTAATTTTTGTATTTTTAGTAGCAACGGGGTTTTGCTATGTTGACCAGGCTGGTCATGAGCTCCTGACCTCAGGTGATCCGCCTGCCTTGGCCTCCCAAAGTGTTAGAATTACAGGCATGAGCCACCGTGCCCAGCCCCTAGGGCCTCTTTTATAAGGGTACTAATCCTATCCGTGTGGGCTCTGCCCTCATGCTCTAACCACCTCCCAAAGACCTCACCTCTTAATATTATCACATTGGTGATTAGGTTTCAACATATGAATTTTAGGGGGACACAAACATTCAGACCGTAGCACCTATTTTGGACATTTTGTGACTAGAATCTTAAAATATATGGTGTTTTGTGGCTTTCACTTAGCATAATGCTTTCAAGGTTCATCTTGTAGCATGTATAAGTACTTTATTCCTTTTTATTACCTGCTAATATTCCATTGTATGTATACCACCTTATATTTATCCACTTATCAGTTGATGAACATTGGGTTGTTTTCACTCTGAATATTATGAATAATGCTGCCATGGACATTTCTGTATAAGTTTTTATCTAGACAAAAGTTTTCATGCTCTTGAGTATAAACCTAGGAGTGGAATTTCTGGGTCATAGAGTGACTCCGTTTAACCTTTTAGTGAACTGTCAGACTGTTTTCCAAAGCAGCTGCAACATTTTATATTTTTGTCTGCTGTGTGGCAGTTTATGTCAGGATTCTCCAGAAAAACAGTAGGCTATAGATAGAGAAATAGATAATAGATATATATATAGAGAGATATATGAGAGGAAATTTGTTAGGGGAATTGGCTGACGCGATTATGGAGGCTGAGAAGTCCCACGATAGACTGTCTGCAGGCTGGAGAACCTACCAAGCTGGTAGCATTACTTAGTGTAAGTCCAAAGACCTGAGAATCGGGAGTCCATGGTGTAATTCTCAGTGTGAGTCTGAAGGCCTGAGAACCTTGGTGGGAGAGGGATGGGGGGAGGGTGATGGGAGAGTGGCTGCTGGTGCAAGTCCTGGAATCCGAAGGCCATATCCTGAAATTCTTATATACAAGGGCAGAAGGTGTCCTAGCTCCAGAAGGGAGATAATTTGACTTTCCCCTGCCTTGACTTTGTTCTGCCCTAGCCTCAGCTATTGGATAATGCCTGCTCACATTGGATGAGGGTGGATCTTCCTTTCTGTGTCTACTGATTCAAATGCCAGTCTCTCCTGGAAACACCCTCAGAGACATACCCAGAAATAATCCTTTACTAGCTATCTGGGTATTATTAGTCTGGTCAAGTTCGTACCTGAAATTAGCCATCACAATTTCTCCACATCCTTTTCTGCACTTGTCTTTTTTTTTTTTTTTTTTTTTCCTGAGACAGAGTCTCTGTCGCCCAGGCTGGACTGCAGTGGTGCTATCTCAGCTCACTGCAACCTCCACCTCCCCAGTTCAAACGATTCTCCCACCTCAGCCTCCCAAGTAGCTGGGATTACAGGCATGCGCCACCACACTGGCTAATTTTTGTACTTTTAGTAGAGTTGAAGTTTTCCCACGTTGGTCAGGCTGGCCTCGAACTCCTGATCTCAGGTGATCTGCCTGCCTTGGCCTCTCAAAGTGCTGGGATTACAGGCATGAGCTACCACGCCTGACCCACTTGTCTTTTTGATTATAGCCATCAGAGTAGCTGTGAAGTGGGATCTCATTTTGGCTATGATTTGCATTTCCCTAATGACTGGTTATGTGCATTTTTTCATGTGCTTATTGGCCATTTCTGTATTTTCTTTGGAGAAATGTCTGTTCAGGTCTTTTTTGCCCTTTTTTTTTTTTTTTTTTGAGGCGGAGTCTCGCACTGTTCCCCGGGCTGGAGTGCAGTGGTGTGATCTCAGCTCACTGCAACCTCCACCTCCTGGGTTCAAGCAATTCTCCTGCCTCAGCCTCCTGAGTAGCTGGGATTTCAGGCGCCTGCCACCATGCCCAGCTAATTCTTTTGCCCATTTTAAAATTGGATTATTTTTCTTTTTTATTGAGTTTTAAGAGTTTTTTTTTTTTAAGTCTAGAGATGTTTCTTATCAATATGATTTGCGATTATTTTCTGCCATTCTGTAGATTATCTTTTTACACTTTCTTAATGGTGTTCTTTGAAGCACCAAAACCTTTAATTTTGAGGCTTAATTTATTTCTTCTTTTGTCACTTTTGTTTTTGGTGTCATCTAAAAAACTGTTGGCCTCATTCAATACATATCACAAAGATTTGTGTAATTACCTATGTTTTCTTATAAAAGTTTTGTAGTTTTTGCTCTTATTTATGTCTTTGTTTCATTTTGAGATAATTTTTGTATCTTTTCTAAGGTGGGTTTAATCTGACTTAGGGTTTTTTAACAGACTGGCTCTTAGATTTGGATGATTGTTGGCCTTGTTATTGACCATGGCAGAGCTTGACCATGAGTGCCCCTGAAGGCTGAGGGTAACAGTTGCTCATTGTGGTAGTATCTTTTTGTATCAGTTTTGTATCTTTAGTGTCAGTTTGTGGAGAGAGGTGGTAGTTTAAAAAACTCACTAATAGGTGTTTTGTTTTGCTTGTTTTTATTGTGGTAAAATGTACATGCAGTGAAGTGCATAGATCTTTAAGTATGTAGTTGAGTTTTGACATATATATGTACTCATGTAACCATCACCCCAATCAAGATATAGAACATTTCTGTCACTCACAACATTCCCTTGAACAATAAATAGAATCAGAAGCACTCTGGATTTAACAAAGTTGTTTTTAAAAAATGCAAACTTGGTATTGGTGCAGTATTTTTAAGTTAAAACTTTTTTCAGTTATTAAGAAAATCTCTGTCGGTTTGTCTGTTAGGCATATTATCTTGCCTAAGGTGGTACATCTTGGGTTAACCACGTCTGGCTCTCTAGAGGTTAATAGTGCTTCTCAGTGGTTTCTTTTCTCTGATGTCTTTCCTTCATTAGTTACCCTCTTATTAAAAAGAAAAAAATAAGTGTGCGTTTGTATTTTAATGTCTAAAGCCAAAGAATCAGTGTAATGTTTATCATAAAGACAAAGTCACCGAGAGATGACCATAATTATAGACATTTGGTACAGTTTTACTTACATTCTTATGTATTTCTGTTAGCAAAGGCAGAATCAAAATATGTTATTAATATTTATTGTATATATTTATGGGGTACAATGTGATGTTTTGACAAAGTATGTTAATAATTAAGAGCCTGCTATGGATGCTTTGATATTAGTTTTTTTTTTTTTTTTTTTTTTTTTGAGACGGAGTTTTGCTATTGTTGCCCAGGGCGGAATGCAATGGCATGATCTCGGCTCACCACAACCTCTGCATCCCGGGTTCAAGCGATTCTCCTGCTTCAGCCTCCCAAGTAGCTGGGATTACAGGCGTGTGCCACCATGCCCGGCTAATTTTGTATTTTTAGTACAGACAGGGTTTCTCCATGTTGGTCAGGCTGGTCTCAAACTCCCAACCTTAGGTGATCTGCCCTCCTTGGCTTCCCAAAGTGCTGGGGTTACAGGCGTGAGCCACTGCTCCTGGCTTGATATTAGTTTTTTAAATGTTACTTAAGCTGGTGGTAGAAACATCTTCACAAAGGCATATGATGATACTAATTTTTAAAATTGTACTGTGGCATTTCAGTTAGCTATTGCCACGGTAATGGTAATTAACAATCACAAAATGTAAGTGGCATACAAACATAAGCACTTATTTTTTGTTCGTGAGTTTGTGGGTCAGCTGACATTGCTCAGCTCCACTTGATCTTGTCCTTTTCCTGAGACTAGTACACTCATGATGTTCTCATGGTGGCAGAAGTCTAAGAGGCAAGTAGAAACATTAAGACTGCTTAAAGCAGCAGGGCCTGGTGGCTCACACCTGCAATCCCAGCACTTTGGGAGGCTGAGGTGGGTATATCACTTGAGCTCAGGAGTTTAGAACAGCCTGGGCAACATGAGGAAATCCTGTCTCTACTAAAAATACAGAACATTAGCCAGGCATGGTGGTGCATGCATGGGTGGTCCCAGCCACCTGGGAGACTGAGCTGGGAGGATTGCTTGAGCCTGGGAAGCAGAGGTTGCAGTGAGCTGAGGTCGCACCACCGCACTCCAACCTGGGTGACAGAGTGAGACCCTGTCTGAAAAAAAATAAAAATAAATGAAGACTGATTAAGACTTGGTGTACTATGACTTCTGCCCTCATTATATTGGCCAAAGCAAGTCTTGTGCTTGAGCCCAGTGACAAAGGTGAGGAAGTATGTTCTATCTATAATAGGACAAGCTGCAGACTTAAGTGATAAAATCATGGATACAGGGAATGATGAAGAATTAGGGCCAACGATGTTATATATGGAAAATTGAAAACATTTGCATAAGTACAGTGAAGAATATAATGATCCCTCAGGTCCCTATCCAGTTCAGCAGTTATCAACATGTGACCAGTCTTTCATTCATGTTTATGTAGTGCATCACAGTAAGAGAGTTACATATGTCTGGTTGTCTGTTTTTGTATGTTAAGCTGCATTAGTTGATTCAGATGTTACCAGCTTATCCGTCATTATCAGGTTTCTCATTAACCTTTTACTTAATGGTTTTAATAGCCACCGTTCAGTGCTTATCAAACATCTGCAATGAAGACCATTTAAAAAACATTTCCAGTACTGAGGACTGCTACTTTTGTAAAATACAGTAAATTTCTAGACAAATGAAAATTTAAAATCCAATATATTTTAAAAGCCCCCAATTTTTATTATAGATGCAACAGAAATAAAATTACTTTGTCAACTTGTTATGCAAATTTATGGATGCTTATATAAAACTTATGGATTCTTTTTTTGTCATGAACTGGTAACAGTTTGCTTAAAAACGTTCCTTCACTAACTATGTGGTTACCCTGGTAAAGTCAGAATACATGCTTGATTCATTCTCATTATTAATACTATTTTACCAATTTTGTAAATAGTTTTTTCAGATTTTATTCATTATTTCCAATGGTGCAATTAATGTATGCTGTATAATAGAAAGGGTCGTATGTAGAAAAGAGACTGGGTTTATGAAGTACAGAAACATCTTGAAAAATAGACCACATACTACCACATACTAAATACTTGTGAAATTGTGACACTCTATTACTTGAAGTTTAATTTTTTTTCTTTTTCTGTTTGAGACAGAGTCTCACTCTGTCGCCCAGGCTGGAGTGCAGTGGCACTATCTCAGCTCACTGCAGCTTCTGCCTCCTAGGTTCAAGCCATTCTCATGCCTCAGGCTCCCGAGTAACTAAAACTGTAGGTGTGCGCCACCACGCCTAGCTAATTTTTTTTGTATTTTTAGTAGAGATGGGGTTTCACCATGTTGCCCAGGCTGGTCTCAAACTCCTGAGCTCAAGTGATCCACTCGCCTCAGTCTTCCAAAGTGCTAGGATTACAGGCATGAGCCACTGTGCCTAGCCTAATTTATTTCTTAAGGAAAAAAAATGTATAAATGTGTTAATATTTTAGGAATAGTGATCACGTGATAATCAAAATTGAGAGTGTTCACAAATTCAGTATATTTAGAAAAATACAGCCCTTTGATTATCTTTCATCTCTTCATAAAAACTGTCTCGTATTTTAAGGTCATCTTTATTAGTACATTGATAGTATGGGGAGACAAACTGAAGAGAACGAGTCAGAGTTTGGGTATCCATCTGTATTGTTTTCATTTCTTCGCTTCTTTGCAAGATGCCTTTGGTTCTTCATGCAAACAGGCTATACATGTGCACATACTTAAAATCACCTTCAAAAGTAATTTTTGTTAAAATACTAGATCTCAGTCTCCTCAGGAATGCAGAGTGAGTCAAGACAACTAAAGGTGAATGTAAGAAAAAACCCAAGGAGTTTAACAGAACAACTAATCAGACTGAACATAGTTCAGAACTTTTCCTTCTAATATTTTGATAGTTTGACAACAGTTTTTACTGAATGTTTACCCTTTTCAAAATTGTGTATGTTGCCAGCTTTAGGAAACAAGCAGGTTGATTCGGGCTGATTGATACTGGTTTAAACCTACGCAAAGATAACCTTGTTCCTCAGTTGGCTAATGCTTGTTATTGAATAGAAAAACTAGCTATAATAAAGATTTTAATCTTTATTATATTAATAATATATTAATATTAAAAGGATTTAAATATCATGAGGCAGGCTGGGCATGGTGGTTAACACCTGTAATCCCAGCACTTTGGGAGGCTGAGGCGGGTGGATCACCTGAGGTCAGGAGTTCAAGACCAACCTGGCCAACATGGTGAAACCCCGTCTCTACTAAAAATACAAAAATTAGCTGGGCATGGTGGTGCACTCCTGTAATCCCAGCTACTTGGGAGGTTGAGGCAGGACAATCACTTGAACCTGGGAGGCAGAGGTTGCAGTGAGCCAAGATCGCACCACTGCACTCCACCCTGGGCAACAGAGCGAGACTCTGCCTCCAGAAAAAAAAAAAAAAGAAAAAAAAATCACGAGGCAAAGAACAGTATACTTTCATTTTAGTCAACAGTGCCAACTTTTCGTAGTTATTTGAGAACTGGTCACATACGTATATTGTGTCAACAAAATAGTATTGCCTTAACTTTCTGGAAAGACAAGTCTTAGGATAATTGAAACTCGAGGGGAAAATTGGCGTTGTTTTCAAAGGTTAAAAAATCAGATTAGAAATTGTGGCCCTGGACCAACTTTAAATTTCCCCTCAAATTAGAAGAAAAAGATAATAGAGAATTGTTCTATTTTCTTACCCCTAGTGTTCATAATGTGCAGATTACATACAGTAGAACTGTATTCAGTTTACCTGAGAAGATAGAATTCATCAACCCAATTCCATGATTAGGGTATGTGTATGGGGTTCTGGCTGTCTTTAGGTGGGTGCTAGAACTGGTAACTAAGTTGAAGCTAAATTGCTTTTTAGTTCATTGATTTAGATAGTACATTCAGCTGTTCATTATATTCTGGGAAGGTGCCCACATGAACTTGAAAGGAGCTATTGGCCCCTTGTAGATAGGGTAGAAGAGAGTCTGGACTACTTTGAAAATCTAAGAGATGTGTTTGGTTAGCAAAAGAAGATGAAGCTGCAGTCAGAGGTACAAACTGGTTCAGTTAAGGAGGAAAAATAATTGAATTTGAAACAATATACGTAACACGTAGAAACTAAATAGTCTTTAATGAATACCTACTAGCTTGAAATCTCATTAGGGAAAAGAGTTTTTTCAATGTATGAAGTTATTAACCAAGAGCAGTGAAAAGCTGACATAACATATGTCAGTAGAGACTTGTATTTCCCAAATCTATCGAACATTGAAAACTTAAACATAGTAATTTATTGAAGGCACTCCCATAGAATCCTATCTGTTGTGTACTCAGATTAAAGGAGGTAGTGAAAATGAACTCAGATGAATTAAGTGATTGAAATTTTTGTTTATATTTAATATCTACACATTTGTTAATATAAGACTAATGGAACAAAAGTTAGTGATCATAATTTAGGCAACATGAAACAGTTGGTAATTGGTAAACATTGTTTATATGACCAAATGTAGATCTAATATTGTACATTATTGCATCAGGGTATGTCTTGTGACTTCCAGATTTTTCTCAGGTATAAACACAGTTTTCTAAAGGCATTTTATACATTTGTTACCTAAAATGAACAACTGTGTAACTGTCAGCTATACCTAGAATTTTTTATCAGAAGTATTTTAGATTTTGGATTTTGGAGTATTTGTATTATACTTACTGTTTGAGTGCCACTAATCCAAAAATCCAAAATGTTTCAGATTTTTGGATTAAGGATGTTTAACCTGTATATAGAAAGAGACTTATTTAGACAAACTTGAAAGACTCATGTACTACTTACACATAGGGTTTTGTTTTGTTTTGTTCTATGTTTTGAGAGAATCTCGCTCTGTCACAGCCCAGGCTGGAGTGCAGTGGCATGATCTTGGCTCACTGCAGCTTCCGCCTCATGGGTTCAAGTGATTCTAGTGCCTCAGCCTCCGGTGTAGCTGGGATTACAGACATGTGCTACCATGCCTGGCTAATTTTTCTATTTTTAGTAGAGATGAGGTTTTGCCACGTTGCCCAGGCTGGTCTCAAACTCCTGGCCTCAAGTGATCCTCCCATCTCAGCCTCCCAAAGTGCTGGGATTACAGGTGTGAGCTATGGCGCTCAGCCTTCAGTTGGTTTTTAAATGTTTTGCTGACTAAAATATTAAGGGATTGCACTTGTCCATTCATAATTGTAGGAATAATAAGTTGCTACACTTTTCTAGGGATCTTACTCAACTGTTCACAGAATACATAGAGAAATGGCAAACTTGGTGAGTTATATAAAAATCTAGCATGTCTGGCTGAGTGCGGTAGCTCACACCTGTAATCCCAGCACTTTGGGAGGCCGAGGCGGGTGGATCATGAGGTCAGGTGTTTGAGACCAGCCCAGCCAACATAGTGAAACCCCGTCTCTACTAAAAATATGAAAAATTAGCCGGGCGTGGTGGCAGGTGCCTGTAATCCCAGCTCATCGGAAGGCTGAGGCAAGAGAATTGCAGTGAGCTGAGAGGTTGCAGTGAGCTGAGATCGCGCCACTGCACTCTAGCCCGGGCTACAGTACAAGAGTCCATCTCAAAAAAAAAAAAAAAAAAATCTAGCATGTCTATTCCTGATGACTTTTTTTTTTTTTTTTTTTTTTTTTTTGACACAGAGTCTTGCTCTGTCACCCAGGCTGGAGTGCAGTGATGTGATCTCCACTCACTGGGTTTCATCATGTTAGCCAGGTTGGTCTCGATCTCCTGACCTTGTGATCCACCCGCCTCAGCCTCCCAAAGTGCTGGGATTACAGGCGTGAGCCACCGTGCCCGGCCTCCTGATGACTTAGCTGGGCTCACCTCTGTTTCTTCCCTTGAAGCCTTGGGATGTCTTCCTGTTCTATGAGAAATTCCTTGAGACACACTGGGAATCCCTTTCCCTTAAGGAAAAGCTTTTCTGCAACTTTATGTGACTCAATATGAATTAACATAATATTAACAATGGCAATGATAGTTGTGTCATTGGACTAGTGGAATTTTAAGATATTAATATTTAAGATATATTGTAATTTCAGAGATGCGTGGCTTCTTTCACTTGGCAAGTTTGAAATGATTCATTTATGTTTTGGGGATTTTTCAGCCAGAAAGGACAGCATACCACTCTGGAGCAATAGAGAATTTTAAAAGAGCAGTTTGGCTAAAGAGTAGGCCAGGTTCTTATAGGTCTTGGGAAATATTTTGAGCTTTATTGAACAGTCTAAGGGGAAGTCACTGTAAGGTTTTGAGCAAAGGAAGATTTGAATCTGATTTTTTTTTTCTTTCTTTTAAGCACACTGGCATGTTATCCAAACTCAGTATCACCAGTAATGGAACAAAATGACATTGTGTCTTTGCATTGTATCATATCAAGAGGAGGCATGATAACATTACCAATGTAAATTTCTTGTCAAATGTTTATCTAGAATCTGATCATGATACAACAAAGAGATCCAGTGTGGGACATTCTACAAAAAGCTGGTCTGATCTTTAAAAAAGGTCAATGCCATAAAAGACTATAAAAAGGTGAGGAGGTGAATAGTTGAAGGAGACAATGTATGACAATGTGTGTACTGTGTGTGTGGTCCTTGATAGATTATGGAATTTTTTAAAAACCATAAACACCTTGTTTTTGACAATTGGGGAAACTTATATGTAGATAATTATCAATGTTAACTTTCTTGGATGTGATAATGATATTGTAGTTACATAGGAGATTGTCCCTGTTTGTAGGAGATGCATGCTGAAAAGGTTTTGGGGGAGTGAAAGGTATACAGTTTAAGTCGTTCAGGTGGAAAAAGTGTATGTAGATGGAAATAAAGCAAATACAGCAAAATGTTACTGATCATTGATATAGATGAAGAGTGGTGTTTATTGTACCAAACTTTCAACTTTTCTTTAGGTTAAAAAATTTAAAAATAAAAAGGGATAGGGTAGAACAACAGAACTACAGAGTCTTACTTTTTGATTTAACATTTTAGTTTAGGTTCCAACTTCATTCAGTGTTATGTGAGATGATGGCCTCTTATGAAAAACCTCAGTAAAATTGACCAACATTCCTTTATTTTAATTATTAAAAATTTTTTTTAAGAGATAGGGTCTTGCTGCATTGCCCAGACTAGTCTCCAATTCCTGGGCTCAAGTAATCCCCCCTCCTTAGCCTAAAAAATTATGTGTGCTTTTAATCTAAAATACCCAAAGGCTTTTTTTTTTTTTTTTTAATCCAGTAATTTTGTTGGAGTATGTTTTAGGGTTGGTCGTTCTGAGTTCATAGACTAATTTTGATTCATGTTCTCTCTTGCCTTGTGTAATTTTAAAAGTATCTTTTAGCTACTATAGAAATAGTACATTCTAGTTTTGAGCTGAGGATGTCTTTCTTGCTTATTCTCATAGAGACATCATTCTGTTCTTTATTCCCTCTATTTTTTATTTTTATTTTTTTGAGACAGGATCTCACTCTGTCACCCAGGCTGGAGTGCAGTGGCATGATTATGACTCACTGTGGCCTCAACCTCCTGGGCTCCTCTCACCTCTGCCTCCCGAGTAGCTAGGACCACAGGCACGTGCACCCACTCCCAGCTAATTTTTTTTTTTTTTTTTGAGATGGAGTTTCACTCTTATTCAGGCTGGGGTGCAATGGTGTGATCTCAGCTCGCTGCAACCTTCACCTCCAAGGTTTGAGCAATTCTCCTGCCTCAGCCTCCCAAGTAGCTGGGATCACAGGCATGCACCACCACACCCAGATAATTTTGTATTTTTAGTAGAAATGGGGTTTTACCACGTTAGCCAGGCTGGTCTCGAACTCCTGACCTCAGATGCTTCACCCTCTTTGGCCTCCCAAAGTGCTGGGATTACAGGTGTGAGCCACGGCACCTGGCCTAATTTTTGTATTTTTTGTAGAGACAGGATTTCTTTATGTTACCCAGGCTGGTCTCGAACTCATGGGCTCAAGCGATCTGCCTCCCTCCACTACCGCCTCCCAAAGTGCTGGTATTACAGGCTTTAGTCACAGGGACCTGGCCTCCCTTTTTTTTACTTTTAGTAACTTTGTATGGGATTTAACTTCTATACTTTGTTTCCTTTTTATGTGAATTTAGTTTTCCTCAACTTTTAGAAGGAAGCTAGTCAAGATAACGTTTCTAACTTCATACAACTTCCTCTTCTGTTAAAAAATTATGGCACTTGTTTCCTAAGAATTCCTGGCTCTGTCCCTGTGCCCCATGTTAGTCTGTTCCTTCTCCCTTTTTCCTGTCCTGTTAGTTTTGGTCATCTCCCAGCAGTGGCTCTTCATAGCAGGCCCTCTCCTGGAAAGGATCTCTGACTGGTTAGTGTCAAGGGTTCATGGGGGTTAAACTCTCCTGGCCCCTTTATGTCT
Organism: Homo sapiens; assembly: GCF_000001405.40. NCBI lineage: Eukaryota > Metazoa > Chordata > Mammalia > Primates > Hominidae > Homo > Homo sapiens. The sequence goes on from NC_000003.12 coordinate 155,889,381, forward strand.
TACCTTGGGTTCCCTGCCACTTGTGTACTATTGGTGTGGGCAAACCTCCTCCTAGCGCGCTGCGGTTCTCTAATTGGGTGCTGTGCCTTCTGGGTCGTACCTCTTGGGTGTTGGGAATTCTCCTGTTTTCAGGTCCTTTAATAAGGCTGGATTGCTTCCCACGTAGGTGCTGTAGCACTAGGGTTTGTGGCTGTGGTAGTTTGTCACCACCAACTTGTATTTTGGGGTTCTTGTAAATGTCTTTGCTATCTAGTTGTTCAGTAATTATGTGGGATCCAAGAAAATCACAAAACATTTCCATAAACATTTCCATCTCCACTTTTCCAGAATCTGCTAGATCTTCTTACCCTATTCTTAAAGAGTTTGCTGTATATGGTTTAATTTTTTCCTTAATATTTTTTCTTGATATCTTAAAATATATCTATGAATATTGCTTATTTTATTATGATGCACTCAGGGCAGTGAGGGATATTCACCTTAAGTCTTTAGGCATTTGTCTTTTTAATAGCTTTATGTAAATAGATATGGTAGATTTTTCTATCTTGTGATGCTGAATTTTATTTGTCTCTGCATTGATGTGACTAAGTTTCTTTTTTCTCATTAGGATGGTTTTTCTAATATCTCGAATCTAATTATCAAACTTTACAACTGTGTGTGAAGTGTGAGCAAATAAATGCCAGGTTTTGAGGGAGAGGAACTTTGCTTTTACTAGTGGGAGCCTTTTTGTTTTCTCCTGAATTGTCAAAGCTGTGACAGTTGCTGCATAGGCAAGGTCATACCCACAGTAGAAGGAAATAGGGCAAGGATTCAGTTTCTTCAGTAATCTCTTGTGTCACAGAATTGAACATTTATTGCTAAGGAAACAGGAAAATTCTTTTAAAATACATTTTTTGAGTAAAGATTAGTTTACTTAAATAAATACAGGCAGTCCTTGCTATGCAGGATAAGTAAAACAGCTAAAAATAATAATGCAAGCTGAAACCATGCAAAGCAATTTTAATAGTCAGTGGGAAAATTACAATTGTTTTGTGATCTTTAAAAATTTTTGTTAAATCACTAAAAACTTTTGTCAATTACAAAAGTGTAGGGAAATAAAAAAATAGTAAAACTACTGTTTACTACAGTATAATTTAAAATACTAGGAACATTGAGAATTAAAGTATTTTATTTCTTTGTAAAAAGCTTATCAATAGTAGTTTAAACAGCACTTCTCTGTGTCGTTTCTGTGCCTTGGTTGCTTCCAACATTTTATCCTTTGCAGTTTTAATGTCATGAAATATCTCCTAGAGTTGCTTTAATGTGAAGTATTTTCCTGGAGTCACTTCCTTTGGGACGTTGCCATTCTTTCCATCACAACCAGTTTCCTCACTGATGTTGGTAAGTTCTGTGGCTGTATATCTAGAGGCTCTCAAACCCTGTCAGCCTTGCCACAGTCAGCATTTTCTTCTGTAACTCCATATATTCAAATTTCACTCCAGCATTATCACTTTTCATTTCTTTGCTGCATTTTCATCTTTGTTGGCCAGCCCCGTTTGGATTATCTGTATTTGTAAAAAGTCCTTTGGGGTTTATCAGTGTAAGACAGGCAACACACTGCACTCTGGCTGTTTGTTGTCCATTGACCAATCACCAATAGAATGAAAGAAGGGAGGTGATTGGTCACTGATCCTGATGTTCATCTGTTATTTACATGGTGGTTTGTGGACTGAAGAGCTGGCAATGAAGTTTGTCCTTTATATAATTACTCACAGTAATGTATGATAACTGAAATTTGAGCCATGTTGTTGGGGACTGGTAATTAACTAAACCTTGGTATAAACCATGGTAATTGAAATTTGTGCATATTAGGATTATGCAAGGCAGGAACTCTGCCTGTAATGTAAAAAAGCATACTTAGATTTGGTAAAAATGGTAAAGATAATAATGGGACTGAGTCTGAGAAATTTATGCAATAATGTAGTGTTTAAAAATATTTTTTAAAAAGTTAAGATTAAGGAATTATAGAGAAAATCCATGAAGGGGTGTGTGTATGTGTATACATTAATACTAAGGGTAAAGGTCTGAAAGGACAAAGTTGTAGTTTGTTCTGTGATTTCACTTTTCTACGGTATTGAATATTCATATGACCAGAACCTTCATTTCTATGACCTGAGTAATTTCTTCTGGCACCGGATTGGCTCCCTCTCACAAATCCTCCTCTGTAGATGACTGATTTGTTTGTTACTTTTTTTTTTTTTTTTTTTGAGATGGAGTTTTGCTCTTGTTGCCCAGGCTGAAGTGCAATGGCGTGATCTTGGCTCACGGCAACTTCCGCCTCCTGGGTTCAAGTGATTCTCCTGCCTCAGCCTCCCGAGTAGCTGGGATTATAGGTGCCCACCACAATGCCTGGCTAATTTTGTGTTTTTAGTAGAGGCAGGGTTTTTCCATGTTGGTCAGGCTGGTCTTGAACTCCTGACCTCAGGTGATCCACCTGCCTCGGCCTCCCAAAGTGCTGCGATTACAGCTGTGAGCCACCATGCCTGAACGCTTGTTCGTTTTTGCAGCAGACGGAATAGTGGTGTTGTAGGTTAGGCCTGCATTTATTTTTTGCAGATAAATGGAGAAGGGAGGAATGGTGGAAAAGATTACACAAGTGGCTAAAGGACTGACTTAAGGTTTTTATCTGCAAATTTTACAACTAGAGGGAGAAAACCTCCCTAAATATGTTTATTGTAAACATTTAGGACATATTGAAGAGTATAAAGAAATAAAAATATAAAATCACTTATAGTTCCATTACTTAGATGAACTACTTCATCACTCTTAATATTTTGGTGTATGGCCAGCCATACTCTTCCTTTTTTATACATGCATACAGACTTTTGCACTTTTATATAAGACACATTGAAGTGGCATTATACTGTACATGCTTCCTATAAGTGGATTTCCAGGGTACACACAAACTTTTAAAGCGTTTCTTTATGTAAAATTTAAAATATACAAACAAACAAAAAAGCAAACAAAAAAAACCCCCAGGATAGAAACCAGACGAGTACAATGAACTTAATGTACCTATCACCCAACTTCAGTGATTTCAGTACACGGGCAGTCTTGTTTCATCCATAGCCACCTACTTTTGCATTATTTTGAAGCATCTTCCAGGTAAGTATTTTGGTATATTTCAGTTAAAAACTTGACATTTTGCCAAATTAACCTTTCAGAAAAGTGTTATCCATGTATACCTGACAGCAATCAGATTTAAAAAGTCTTTTTATTTTTATTTATTTTTGAGACAGAATTTTGCTCTTGTTGCCCAGGCTGGAGTGCAATGGCATGATATCAGCTCACTGCAACCTCCGCCTCCGGGGTTCAAGCGATTCTCCTGCCTCAGCCTCCCCAGTAGCTGGGATTACAGTGCCCGCCACCATGCCCAACTAATTTTTTGTATTTTTAGTAGAGACAGGATTTCACCATGTTGGCCAGGCTGGTCTTGAACTCGTGACCTCAGGTAATCCACCTGCCTTGGCCTCCCAAAGTGCTGGGATTACAGGCGTGAGCCACCGCGCCCGGCCTAAAAGGCCTTTTAAAAATCTTAGTGTTATGAGTTAGATGCATATATATCATTTTCCTCAGATAATACAAAAAAAATCCTAACAGTGAATTTGGCCATGCTTATACTCTAGTGTCAAACTTCTAGTTTCCCCATCAGTATATATCCCTCATAAAAATGTTGTGCCTATTGATAGGGTGACCGAATAACTTATTGTCCAAACTGGGACACTTTGAGATTGAAAGGATGCACTGTTAATAATAATGCCCATGTAATAAACATAAACCAGGACTATATTTTGGCGCAGCTGGATTGTGTGCTCATCCTACCATTAGATCATGCATGTAAGATATATATACACATGATCACTATATTACATAGTCAATAAGTGGTAAGATTTATTAAGTTTAAGTGTTTAATATATGCCCATGCATGGATATATATTAAAATCTTCCCTTTAAAAGGGGTATTTTGAATTGGTAACTCAGAAAGTCCTAAGTTTTCATTCCTATGTGTTTTTGGAGCTGACAGTGATCATTAATTTTTTTTTAAGTACTGTAGCTTTAATTTTCATAATTAAGACTTTGTATTTGTATTGATATTTGCAGCTGGAGAATGCTGGAGGAGACCTTAAGGATGGCCACCACCACTATGAAGGAGCTGTTGTCATTCTGGATGCTGGTGCTCAGTACGGGAAAGTCATAGACCGAAGAGTGAGGGAACTGTTCGTGCAGTCTGAAATTTTCCCCTTGGAAACACCAGCATTTGCTATAAAGGAACAAGGATTCCGGTAGACTTTTCACTAATCTTTTCATGAGGAGATTGAACTTAGATTGTGGAATATTTTATTATTAATTTTCTTGAGCACTGAATTTTTCTACGAAAATAAGATATGGAATGGTTTTATGAGAAATTTCCCATGGCTCTGATTTGGGGAGAAAAAGGAAAAATTTAAGCTTTCAGTTTAAAAAGATTAATTTTAATTGTACAGTTAAAAGAACTTATCATTTGAGTATTTTATGTTTTATAGGATTTGTGGGTCAGAGTTAGATGTAGCTGTTGTGGCCATTCATTCATTTACTTAAAAGCATTTCATCAAAGGAAAGTAGGAAGTTGGCTAGAATACTCCAAAGAGAAGAAATCTGTGTACAATAAGTGTTTTTGCTTCCTATCCCAATAGACTAGTTTCTAAAGTATGGAGATTTCTTAAATCTAATATATGGGCTAATTTTGACAGCTTGTACCCTTAGAACTAGTCAAAATAACAGCCAGCTTATGTAGTTTCTTCCTTTAACAACTATTTTTGGTTAATGTCATGCTTTCTTTTTTTTTGAGGCGGAGTCTCACTTGGTTACCCAGGCTGAAGTGCAGCGGCACGATTTTGGCTCACTGCAACCTCCACCTCCCAGGTTCAGGTGATGCTCCTGCCTCAGCCTCTCGAGTAGCTGGAAGTACAGGCGGATGCCACCACACCTGGCTAATTTTTGTATTTTTAGTACAGAACGGGTTTCACCATGTTGTCCAGGCTGGTCTCGAACTCCTGACTTCAGGTGATCCACCTACCTAGGTCTCCCATAGTGCTGGGATTACCGGCGTGAGCCACCGTGCCCGGCCAGTGTCATGCTTTTTAATGCTTTTTTTTTTATTGTTGTTTTTTCTTAGATTAAGACTGTTACGTAGAAGCAAGCAACTGTAGTTTATGTCCTTAATTGGCTCTTAAACTCTAATATTAGATGTACTATGCTTCTCCCAAAATTTAAAATTTTATTTTTCTTAAAAGAATTGTCTTTCCAGTGTGAAAGTGGTTAAAAGAACTTTTAAAGACTTCACAGACATGTGTGCATTATCCTGTGTTTTGTTGGTTCTGAAGTAGAGTGAATTAGAAATTATAAAAGGCGGGCTTAAATTTAACTCTGCTCTGGTGTTAGGATACAGATAACAAATGACTCTTTTAAACTATGGAATTTTAGAGTAATAAGGGACCCTTGAGTTTATCTAATTCAGCTGATTTTATTTACCAGCAAGAACTAGTTTTTTAGAGGGATCAAAAAACTCTGTGATAAATCTGAATGCCTCTCTGTCAAATCAGAGCTCCATCATTCCCCTCACCCAAAACAAACAAAAAATCCCCAGCAAACTAACAGACTAAACAGATACTAGAATAGGATAGCTGAATACTTGGCAAGAGAAATCTAATGGTGTTTCATGTCACTTGATCATAAACAGTGTCTAGGTTCAGCTTGTACCTAGAATTTCCCTTATGTAGTAGGAGAATAGAAACTATACTGCTGTGGCTTTTATTACTGTAATCCTTTCTGTAGAAATAACTATTTGACCACCCCTTTTCTAGAACATTTTGTGACATGAGAGACATCTTAACCTACCTATTTTTATTTTTTTTTTATTATTTTTTTGAGATGGAGTCTCACTCTGTCGCTCAGGCTGGAATGCAGTGGTGCGATCTTGGCTCACTGCAGCCTCTGCCTCGCAGGTTCAACCTGGCAGATTCTCCTGCCTCAGCCTCCGGAGTAGCTGGGATTACAGGCATGTGCTGCCATGCCTGGTTAATTTTTTTATTTTTAGGAGAGATGAGGTTTCGCCATGTTGGCCAGTCTGGTCTTGAACTCCTGAGCTAAGGTAATCTGCCCGTTTCAGCCTCCCAAAGTGCTGGGATTACAGGCTTGAGCCACCCCTCGCGGCCCACCTATTTTTAGAAGCTTGATCTGCCTGATACATAAAATTGGTATTTGGAATGAATTACGGCTTATTGGGCCTTGTGATTGCAGGTTACTTTCAGAATAGCAGGATAGAAATGGAAGGCTCAAAGAGTGATTAGCTTTTAAAGATTTGTTGAAATAAGACTTTCTTAATTGGTTTAAGTACTACTTGAGTTTTATCCTTAACTAAGTCCATGACTTTTTTGTTTTTTTAATAGCACTAAGAATCTTATATCCTAGAGTTCTTTAGCAGATTAAGGGGTACTGGGCAGTCCCATGGTGGTTATCCTTTGTGAAACTAAATATAATATAATAGAATCTAGAGGTCTTGATTATTCAGTATGTGTTTTATAGAATTTTAGCTTCTGTTTTTTTTGTTTTTGTTTTTGTTTTTTTTTTTTGAGACGGAGTCTCGCTCTGTCACCCAGGCTGGAGTGCAGTGGTGTGATCTCTGCTCACTGCAAGCTCCGCCTCCCAGGTTCACACCATTCTCCTGCCTCAGCCTCCTAAGTGGCTGGGACTACAGGTGCCCACCACCATGCCCGGCTAATTTTTTGTATTTTTAGTAGAGACAGGGTTTTGCCATGTTAGCCAGGATGGTCTCGATCTCCTGACCTCGTGATCCACGCACCTCGGCCTCCCAAAGTGCTGGGATTACAGGTGTGAGCCACCATGCCTGGCGTTAGCTTCTGTATTTTTAAGGAGTTAGGTTATAGATCTACCCTTAGGGGTAACCCCATCCCCCTTTAGAATTGTTATCTTAAATATCATTTTTATCATCTGAGTAGCTTGTCTTCCATCTCTCTTTTGCAGGACACACACTAACAAATGTTTACCACATCTCAGGTTGCCCATACAAAGTTCAAAAGGTGCTTTTGAGCTCATTGAAGTTGCTGTTTTTTTAAAAAATGATCTAGCTTGCTGAGTATTTTTTTTTTCTCTCACTGTTTTGGTTTTTATTTTTTTAAATTTTTTGTAGACATGGGGTTTTGCCACATTGCCCAGGCTGGTCTCGAGCTCCTGGGCTCAAGCAATCTGCCCGTCTCTGTTTCCCAAAGTGCTGTGATTACAGGTTTGAGCATCCATGCCCAGCCTTACTGAGATTTTTTTTTTTTTTTTTTTTTTTATAAATTTGACTTATGTTGTATTGTTCTTCTGGATGTATTATAAATCTAGCAATATACTTTGTATATTTTTATATGACAGGGAATCACTATTTAAAAAGTGTGTTGCAGTCCAAATTTGTAAGTAAGTTTTTATTAGATTTTACAATGCCTTTTTCTTTGAAATACAGATAAGTCAGATTTATCTGCAAACTCAAAGTGAGTTAGAGAGTACCTTAAATTGAATAAAGGGCCTAAGTATACCTTCATTGTGTGAGTGGGCATGTGTGGCAAACTGGAGAGCATGTGCAGCTTGAAGGTGCAAGCCACTTTATGATTCCAATTGGTTGTAGTTATGCAGGAGTGAAGGCCCAGTGTTTCCAGATTTTTTTTTCCCTGAAGAAATTCCAGAAATCTGAATTTTTGTGAAATTCTTGATATTAAAATGTTTAAGTTTTTTTGAGTGAATACTCATGGCCAGTGTAGATGTATTAGTGGCCAGGAGAGGAACATAGGCCTCAGTTTGCAGTTTTCCCTTATTATAGTAGTTTGACTCCCAAGTTAACCCATGCTCTGCAAATTATAAGATAGCTAAATTATACTACTGACCTGATTTCTGAGAGCAGGGCATGTGGGGGCAGAAGTGTTACTAGCTCCCTTTCCTGGGCTCAGGGAAAATTGTTGGGGATGGTGGATGCTGTAAACAGGCAAAGTTGGGTAATGTATACTTTCTATTCTGCCGTCTTTTGTTGTAGAGTATTTTGCTCTGAGCCATCCAGGGCCTTCATAATACCTTCAGTTGTTGTTCTTTGACCTGCTAGGCTCTGAGAAGACCTGTATTTTCACCATCTCTAGAATTCTTACGTACTTCTTCCATTGATAAGGAAACAAGTAAAACAAATCCATGCTAAGTATCACAGATAGAAACATTGGTATTATCTATTTGGAAGTTTGTGCTTATTAACAAGTAAATGCTGAATTGATAGACTTCTAAACATTGCAGTAAAGTACAGTAAAAATAATTAAACCACGTAGGATGACAATTCGCTGTGATATAATTAGAATTTGCTACATTCTACCAAAAACAACGCAATTTCTGGATCTGTGTTGTTTCCCTCAGTGGTACAAGGGAGAGAGGGCATAGACCTTGTATAAAAATTAACAGAGATTCTTCACTGATTGTTCCTTAAATCACAGTGCTATTATCATCTCTGGAGGACCTAATTCTGTGTATGCTGAAGATGCTCCCTGGTTTGATCCAGCAATATTCACTATTGGCAAGCCTGTTCTTGGAATTTGCTATGGTATGCAGGTATGTCAGCAAATTTGTTTTGAAAGCTTACTTATATTTTATTCTGTTTGTGAGTCATACTGTATTAGTATTTTCTCTCTTTAGGATATTTAGGATACTTAGTTGGATGAGATAACTTGTGCATGTTACAACTATGTGAATTGCCACACTAGTATGGCAGAACTGGCCTGATAGGGAATCTATTTTCAAAGTAGTAAGTACACTGTTTCATGTAACAAAACACTATCCATTTAAAAAAACCTTGGACATGCAAATTTACATAAAATTTTCAGAAATAGTACATAGAGCTCCTGTATACCTTTACCCAGTACTCCAGTTGTTGACATTTTTGAACCATTTGAAAGTTGCACACGTGATGCCCTGTTACTTATATTTCCTAAATATTAGGACACTCTTACTGCATAACCACAGTACAACTATCCAGGTCAGAAAAGTTAACATTTACTCATTGTTAGAATCTAATCCACAGACTCCTTCACATTTCACAGTTTGTCTCATTAATATCCCTTATAGGCCACAGATCAGTCAGGACTATGTGTTGTTTTTAGTTGTTGTTTCTTTAGACTCTTTCAGTCTGAAATAGTTCCTCAGTGTTTCCTTCTCTTTCATGAGCTTGAAAGTATTTTTAAAAAGTACGTGTTAATTATTTTGTAGAACATTTCCCAACTTTGGTTTCTGTGATGATTCCTCATTGTTAGATTCAGGTTATGAACTTTTGGCAGGAGTATCACAGAATTGGTGCTGTGCTTCTCAGAGCATCTTATCAGGAGGCACACGGTGTGGATTTGTGGCATGACAGGTGATGTTAACTTGGATTATTTGGGTAAGATGGTATCTGTCGGGTGTCTCCATTGTAACATTAATTAATAAGTATATGTGCCTTGGTTTTATATCAAAAGTAAGAATAGGCCAGGCGTGGTGGCTCATGTCTGTAATCTTAGCACTTTGGGAGGCCGAGGCGGGTGGATCACCTGAAGTCAGGAGTTCGAGACCAGCCTGACCAACATGGGGAAACCCTGTCTCTATTAAAAATAACAAAAGTTTGGCCAGGCGCAGTGGCTCACGCCTGTGATCCCAGCACTTTGGGAGGCCGAGGCGGGTGGATCACCTGAGGTCGGGAGTTCGAGACCAGCCTGACCAACATGGAGAAACCCCCGTCTCTACTAAAAATACAAAATTAGCTGGGCGTGGTGGCGCATGACTGTAATCCCAGCTCCTTGGGAGGCTGAGGCAGGAGAATCACTTAAACCTGGGAGGCGGAGGTTGCGGTGAGTGGAGATCATGCCGTTGCACTCCAGCCTCAGTGACAAGAGCAAAACTCCTTCTCAAAAAAAAAAAGTAAGAATAAGTAGGGACTTACTGAGATCTTGAGATAAGATACTCTTCTTTTCTTTTTTTTTTTTCAATTACTTTGTTTTTAGAGGGGTTTTAGGTTCACAGCAAAATTAAGAAGGTATAGAAATATCTTATATACCTCCAACCTCTACACATGCATAGCTTCTTCCATTATCAACATCCCACACCAGAGTGATACATTTGATATAACTGATGAACCTACATCAACACATCATTATTCCCAAAGTCCTTAGTTTAGATTAGTGTTCATTCTTGATTTTTGTACATTCTATTGTTTTGGACAAATGTATAATGACATATATCTACCATTGTAGTATTATACATTTTCGACTGCCCAATCCTTTGTGCTTTACCTGTTCATCCCCCATATCCTGGCAACCACTGATATTTTTTTATCGTCTTTATAGTTTTGCCTTTTTCAGCATGTCATGTAGGTGGAATCATACAGTATGTAGCCTTTTCAGATTGGCTTCTTTCACTTAGTAATGTGCATTTAAAGTTCTTCCATGTCTTTTCAGTCTGGGTAGCTAATTTCTTTTTAGCACTGAATAATATTCCATTGTATGGAGGTATCACAGTTCATTCACTCATTCAGTAAGTGACAGTTTACTTATTCATCTACTAACGTCTTGGTGACTTCCAAGTTTTGGTAATTATGAATAAAGGTGCTATGAACATCCATGTACAGGTTTTTGTGTGGACATAAATGTTCAGCTTTTTCAGTATATTCTAAGGAGAGTAATTACTAAGTTGTTAAGAGTATGTTTAGTTTTGTAAGAAACTGCCAAAACTGTGTTCCAAAGTGGGTGTACAATTTTGCATTTTACAGTAAAAGCCTCTTCTTTCCTTTCAAAGTTCTTTGAAAAGTGTTTGATTATGAGTTTGACTTGGCAAAAAGAAAGATTTTTTTCCATCTAGTAGTCTTAGAAGAGCCTGCACCCTGATTGAGTTGAATATTGGATATTGGCTGGCTTCTTTTTTTTTTTTGTCCCAAGGTGTAATATATTTATATAATTTATTGATTTTCTTTGTCAGAGTACTCAGTGTTAATCATATAGCACAACTTATAGTTATATTAAATGGTTGTTAGTATATTGAGAGGCTTTGTAACATTTCCTAAGGAAGAATCTCACAAGATATATTTTTAAGGCCTACTTATAGTGAAATACGTCTGAAAAATGCTCCTTTAATTTAAGAGATAATGGCTTAGTGTTTCCCCATTATGTCAGTTTCCTGATATAATTATAAGGCCAAATTGTTCTGTCATTCACTAGGATGTTTTATAGCCAAAGCCAGGCCTGCTGATGTTAAATGCATAACAATTTTTGCCTTTATTATCAGCTGAACTTTTGTAGTAAGATAATGGGATATGCTGATCTTGGTTATTTGGGCAGAATTTGTCCTTCCATAAAATAATGATATAGATGATGCCGTCTAGCTAACGTGTGTTTGTAAAGGACTGCCACTTAGTGACTAGGTTGGGTAATTTTAGGACCTAAGTGTATACCTTTGCCCCCCATGACATTCTGAAATTTGAGCAATTTCAGTGTCTTATATACCATCTTTTCCCACTAACTGGACTCTCCTGTCAGAGGCTTTCTAATTGCTTCCTGGTGATTCTTTGCTTTAGAAGAAAAATGTCTATACTGCTCCCTTTATATCTCTTAACTGATTTACATCCCCCAGCCTAAAAAATAGAATATTGGTAGAGCTTTTGAAACTTTGTATGTCTCCATTCACATTCTTCTCTTCCTATCAGAGGTGACCAACTTTCCTGAATTTTGTTATTCATTCCCTTTCTTTTTTTTATGGCTTTATGCATATGTTTATATTCCTAAATAATATATTAGTTTTGCCGATTGACCTATATATAAGTGAAGTCATACTACCTGTATTATTTTCAACTTTGGTTTTGAGATTCATTCATGTTAGTACATTTTATTGTAAATTATTCATTTTCACTATTGAATTTGTTTGAATATAGCATGTTACTTTTACATTCCAGTGTTCATAATGTTGGCTTTCTAGTTTCTTTCTATTATAGACAATATTGCCATGAATATTTTTTTACTTGTTTTCTGGTGTTATACATACACAAAATTTTCTCTAGGGTAACTGGCCGTAGGAATGCTGGGTCATAATGTACATTTTCAGCTTCACTAGGTAAATGATATTTTTTCCCTCAGTTTATGTTCCCACAGCAATATATAAAAAATCTTCTGCTCTATATCCCTGCCAACCCTTGACATGATTAGATTTTTTTTTTTTGTATTTTCTTATCTGCAAAGGTATTAAATGGGGGTCACGTTGTAGTCTTAAAGTTAATTTTCCTTGTTATTGTAAGATTCATACGTTTATTTGCCATTTGTGTTTACTATAGACACTTGTTCATTTTTATATTAAATTGTCTTTGTTATTGTGTTGTGGGAGCCTTTATATATTCTGGATACTAAACTTTTCCCAACTATATATATTGCAGATACCTTCTGGATTGTGACTTGTCTCTTCACTCTTTATGGTTTCACTTGGCTTCTTTATATACTCCCACAAGATTTTGTCAAATTATTTTTATTGGGCAGAATTTCCTTCCCTTTCTCCCTTCCCAATCTAAAACTTATAAAACTTTGACATATAAGAAAGATAAGAGGAGATGATCTGATTAGGTGGTAGACCTGGAGTACTATATGGCTTTCTTTGAGGCAGTTAGAACCTTGGGGTTTATCCAGGAATCCATACTGGCCACATACTTTGCTAGGGCCCTTGGGCTGTGAAGAGACCTGAAGACATGGAGGAGAGAACATAGTCTATTTTGATAATCACTTTAGTTTGAATGGACTGGAGTAGGAAATGAGGGGGAAGGTGAATCCAAAAATTAGACAAGGGCCAAGTAAGGAAGTCTTGTGTTTAATATAAGGAACTTGGATTTTATCCTGTAGACCAGGCATCAGTAAGCTATGGCCTATAGACCAAATCTGGCCTACCACCTGTTTTTGCATGACCTGCAAGCAAAGAATGATTTTTTACATTGTTAAATGATTGGGAAATTGAATAAAAATTATATTTTGTGATGTGTGAAAAATAAAATTCAAGTCTGTGTCCATGATAAGGTTTTATTGCAACAGTCACACCCATTTCTTTGTAAGTATTGTCTATGGATGCTTTTGAGCTGCAGTGGCAAGAGCTAAATAGTTGCTACAGACACAGTAGGGCCTGCAGAGGCCAATATTTTTCTCTGGCCCTTTAAGAAAATTTACCAACCCTTGCTGTAGATGCTAGAGGGCTAATGAAGAATTTAATCATAGACTAACACAATCATCTTTATATTGTAGTAGCTAACATTGGTAGGTCTCTAGAATATTGCTGGAAGATGGGCAAGACTAGAGTCAAGGGAAATGATTAGACTGTAGCAATGTTTCTTAAATTGCATATTAGTTAATGTGCTACAGAAGAGAGTTTTGTTTTTGAGTCTTTAGTTTGACAAATACTGTGTTAAACAAGTGCTAGCAGGTGTCTTTACTGCTGGAGTGAGTTCAAACCTTTATTGTGGGACAGTTTACTGTGAATGCCTAAGAGGAGAATGTAGAGGGCACCATTTGCTAATGGTTTTGAAGAATATGCTACTCTGAGTTATAAGAATGAACATTTATTTAAGTCATCTGTCTTATTTTCTGTCAGGGGATGGGTCAACCTGCATTACACATTGTTAAGGCAGATATCTTCTGATATCTGTTGTGGAACAGATGCACTAAGATGAGTGGGAGTGTTTATATCACTGCAGATCTAATGTTTGCAAAAATCTTCTGTATATTTATCTGATATGGGAAGTTTGGAGCATGTAAATGATAAATAAGAAAAGAAGATTGATTAACAGTGGAGGTGCTGAATTGAAGAGACCATTTGAAATCAGTCGATAAGCGTATGGGACTTGAACAGATGAGCTTAACTGAAAGGCCAGATTTTCTTGCTTATCCCATCTCTATAGCACAGCCTTCGGCAGGCTTTCAGACTGTTCCTTTGGAGCCAAAGACTAAATAGCTTGGAAAAATGTATTGTCTAATTCTTGTTCTGGTACAAGGTTCTTGTTGTCTGCTGTATCTTTTTCTAAACTCAGAATACCTTTTAAAATGCTTTTAAATCAAACTCAGGTGTAAGTAATTAAGATATCTCTATTTTTAAGCAGATGAATTCATTAAAGTACACTAAGTGGAAAATCTGCCAGTGTTTGACAGAAATTAACTGCAGGTCAAATTTTGAATCCAATTTTGTTTTATAACAATGCCTGTTAATAACTGTATAGTTATATATAACAATACCAAATGGTCTACATTTATTAAACTCCTTTTATTTTGGGGATACAGGTATATCAGGTATTCTGAAAAGAAATAATATAAATTATTAAATCAGTATAACAAAATGGGTATTTTTCTTTTGATTTCTATTAACATTAATTTTTTTCTTTGAACAGATGATGAATAAGGTATTTGGAGGTACTGTGCACAAAAAAAGTGTCAGAGAAGATGGAGTTTTCAACATTAGTGTGGATAATACATGTTCATTATTCAGGTATTACATTTTTAGATGAATAAGAACAATAGTAATTAACTAATTTAAAGTTGATACTATTATTTTTAACAATTGGAGATTCTATAATTCATAAACAAAATTAAGGGTATAGTAGTGACCACAAGTGTAATTGTCATATTTGCCTTCCAGTTGAGTGTCAAGACAGTGTGGGTTGGTGGTGATGTTAATAGGGAATAAGGAAGGTATTTAAGAAATTTGAAAACGCCTGTGCAGTTGTGGAACCCTACTTGGAATCGTATATTGTGATACCAACATTTGTATTTTCCCTTTTCACTCTTTGATCTGTTTTTAAAGATTATTATTTTTCTTTTTCTTTTTTTTTTTTCGAGACGGAGTCTCCCTCTGCCACCTGGGCTGGAGTGCAGTGGCACCATCTCAGCTCACTGCAACGTCCGCCTCCTGGGTTCAAGCGATTCTTCTGCCTCAGCCTCCCGAGTAGCTGGGACTACAGGCATGAACCACCACGCCCGGCTAATTTTTGTATTTTTAGTAGAGACAGGGTGTCACTATATTGGCCAGATTAGTCTCAAACTCCTAGACCTCGTGATCTGTCCACCTCGGCCTCCCAAAGTGCTGGGATTACAGGTGTGAGCCACTGCACCCTGCCGAAGATTATTATTTTTCAAAGGAAGATTAATAAAAAAGCCAAGGTTGCTCAAAATAATTTTTTAAACTGAAGTTACTCATTGTCAAAATGAGTTTGAAATCCAGTGCTTGTTCAGCTTCATAATGGAGAGGTGTTGACACTTACATTCATCCTTATTTCATGTGACTCATCTTGAGAAACATTTCAGGAATCTTGTATGTGATATACCAGAAGAAGCTTTAAACATAAAGATTTGGTTAAGATTTGACATTTTTCTGTCTTTCTAGTTCTAAAATTCTGGGACTCTATCACAACCTATACTATTCCTAAACAACAATGTCAACAACAAACCCCAAAATATCTTTTTGACATTAATGTACTTTATCTTCTTGCTTTATTTTTAATTTACATTTTTATTCCTTAGTATTATTTATTATTTATTTTGTAATTTAATTTAATTTTTTTTTTGAGACGGAGTCTCACTCTGTCGCACGCCCAGGCTGGAGTGCAGTGGCAAGATCTCGACTCACTGCAACCTCCACCTCCCGGGTTCAAGTGATTCTCCCACCTCAGTCTCCCAAGTAAGTGGGATTACAGGCAAAATTTTTTGTGTTTTTAGTAGAGACGGAGTTTCACCATATTGGCCAGGCTGGTCTTGAACTCCCGATCTCAGGTGATCTGCCTCGGCCTCCGAAAGTGCTGGGATTACAGGCATGAGCCACCGCGCCTGGCCGTTCCTTATTATTATTTAATATCGAGTTCTTAGTCAGATTTTCCATAACGTAAACAGTATATTTTTATGGTTGATTTGTTTGAATCAGGGTCCAGAGAAAGTGTACACATTACATTTGATTAATGTTACTTAAGTCTCTTAAGTAACACTTACTTAACTAAGTTTCATTAATTTGTTTGGCACTAGAGGTCCACATTGGTACTGGGTTGTAATTGTTTCTAGGACTTTCAGATAACAGAGTTGGGCAGTACCTAGTCTTTTAGAATTGGGAAACAGAATCATTAGTGTATACTTATTTCCAGTTAAAATGAAAGATTATAGGGTTTTTACCTAACTCTTTTGATTTTGTATCTCCCTACTCTTAAGCTGAAAATGTTGATTACTAATTATTTGTTTTAACCTACAGTATGCCTGTATCTATATTGTACTTACAGTTACAGGATAACAGTTTCAGTACTAAGTCCTATTACTACTTACATAAGACTACCGAATGAAGTGTTAAGGTCTTTGAAATACCTCTGTTCTTAACATAAATCTCAACAGATATATAATGTTGAAATTATTGTTCTGTAATCTCTTGAAATTATTCCTGTGTGTCTGGTTATACTACCAACTTCATATATTTATTTGTTCTAGTTTCCTTCCAATTTTTATGGATTGCCTTTTTTAAGGTCTAAGGTTTTTTATTGGCTTTATTTGTAATGGACATAATATTTGAATTCTAGCAGTATTCCATTGTCACTTTTTTTTTTTCTGTTTTTCTAATCATGTATGGCAAGCTTGTGTTTCTAAAACAAAAGAACCCATGAATCATGTTTTTAATTAAGATATTTGTGTGTTTTATTTTTTGTATGTTTAGGGGCCTTCAGAAGGAAGAAGTTGTTTTGCTTACACATGGAGATAGTGTAGACAAAGTAGCTGATGGATTCAAGGTTGTGGCACGTTCTGGAAACATAGTAGCAGGTGAAAATTCTAAAAATTTTGCAGAGTTCATTTAAAAAACTTTATCTGAAGAGTAAGCATATGCTTCTGTATGAGGTACTCTTTGATTTTTCCTTTTTCTTCTGATTTTTCTTCTCTTTTTTTTAAAGATAATAATGAATGTAGGATTAACTGTTATGAAGGGAATTTAATAATAGGAGGATTATCCAGAAGTCTCTCACTTACTGGTTTACTGGTTTGCTTTGAAATACGTTGAAAAATGTTCATCCTAATATAAGCTTTTCAAACATAAAACACTATACTTTTGTAACTCAGGAAAAATTTGAGAACTCGCTGTCTTCATACTATACTATATTCAGAGTTACTTGTCTTTTATTCCTTTCTTAGGTGTACATAGCCCATAGCACCCAAATAAGTACTCAAGACATTTCCCTGAACCAGGGTTGGCAAACTGTGACTTGTGGGTCAAATCTAGTCTTTTGCCTTTTTTTAATGTCCAGGAGCTAAGAATGATTTTTACATTATTAAAGGGTTATAATAAAATACAGGGACTGTGTATGTTGCACAGAGCCCAAACTATTTACTCTCTAGTCCTTTGCAGAAAGTTTGCTGACCCATGCTCTTAAACCATTTTGTTCTCTAATTTTTTGAGGAAGGGGAATTGACTTTCTGGCTGTTTGGGGTTTTGACTTGCTTACCTGAATAATGTAAATGGTCACTAATATTCCTGGAAGTTAGTAAAAGAAAAAGGTGGGTTTATCACTAAAGTTCTCTTTGAGATACCACACCTAAATAATAAGTTGAAAAAAAGATTTGTCATGGACATGCTGAATTTAGTAATCTGCCTGCTGTTACTTAACAGACATTAGCATAATGTATGCTAATATGTTAGCATAGGAATGCCCAAGAATGGTTTTATACTAAAAGTTTTTTACTTCATAAAAAAAGATCAACAGTGGTAGATAAGCTTGTGTATTTTTATTCATCCAACAAACATTCGAGTACCTATTATGTGTCATGCACAGTTCTAGGTGTCAAGGATTTAGCAATGAATAAAATAGGCCAGGTGCGGTGGCTCTCACCTATAATTCCAGCACCTTGGGAGACTGGAAAGTGGATAGCTTGAGGCCAGGAGTTCAATCCAGCCTGGGCACCATAGTGAGACCCCATCTCTACATAAAAATAATTTTAAAAAAATTAGCCAGGTGTGGTGATGCACATTTGCAGTCCTAGCTACTCAGGAGGCTGAGGTGGGAGAATCATTTGGCCCTAAGAGATCATGACTGCGGTGAGCTGTGGTTGTGCCCCTACACTCCATCCTGGGCAACAGAGCAAGACCCTCTCTCCTAAGAAGAAAACAAAACCCAAAACCAATATAGCAAAAATGCTTGTTTAACACTGGAAAAAGGGAAAGTAAACAATAAAGAAATACAGAATATGTCAGAATCAGATAGTGTTTACATTGAAAAAATGGGGGAAGAGGGTATTCTGGAATATGTGTGATTAGGGTTGTTGCAATTTTATAGGCTATTCAGGGAAGGCATTCCTATAAGATGACATTGGACATGAAGAAAATAAGTGCTAACCTTTTTGGATATTTGGGGAAAGAGGAAACAGCAGTACAGAGATCCTGGGTGGGGACCATATTTGAGGAGCAGCAGGAATCCATGTGGTTGGAGCAGAGTAAGCATGGTGGGGAGAGTGAAAGAAGGTGAAATTAGAGAGGTAGTTGGATGCCAGAACACAGGACCTTTGGGCCACTGCAATACTTTGGCTTTACTCATAGTGAGGTGGGGTTTTAAGTGAAGGAGAGATGTGATCTAATTTAAGGATTAAGCTGTGATGAGGAGAAAAGATACAGGGTGAAAGAGAAGCAAGAAGACAAGCTAGGAATTTATTGTAGTAATCAGGAGAGAGACAGCGTTGTCAGGATCAGGATAGTAGTGATAGATGCAGGAGGAAGATAAAGGGGAGGGTACCTGGAGAATCTCCCACCAGCCTGCCTACTGGGAGAACAGGGTGGGGCCACAGGAAGTTCTCACCCTTTGCAGGAGGGAGGAGCCTGGCCTTTCCTGTTCCTGTGTGGTGACCTCGGATTCAATCTGTGAGATGGGGGCCTGTTAACAGGAAGCCTTCTCACTTTGCTGAGAGTTTTTTTCCCTTTTTCTCAATAAATTCCATTCCCCCTTACCCTTCAAAGTGTCTGCGTGCCTAACTTTTCCTGGTCATGTGAAAAGAACCCGGTTTTTTCTACAGCAGTAGAAGAGGAAGTTGTTAGGACCAGGGTGGCAGAGATAGAAGTTGTCAGGACTAGGGTGATAGAGGTAGACATTGTTAGGAGTGATTGGATTCCACTGTTTTGAAGGCAGAGACAGAGGATTTGCTGTTAGATTGAATATGGAGTGGGGAAGAAAAAGTAGAATCAAGTTTTAGCTCCCAAGTTTTTTTGCCTGAGGAACCAAAAGGAAGATGTTTCTATTTACCTGATTGGAAAGACCTCAGGAGTTTGAGTTTGCATATTAAATTCAAGATGGTTTATTAAACATCAAAACAAAGGTGCTGAGTAGGCAGTTGTATATATGAGCCTGGACTTTAGAGGAGAAAACTGGGCTGGAGGTATAAATTTGGGGGTTTACCAGCATACAGACAGAATTTTAAGGTGATGAGAGTATGAGATCTCTTAGAATATTTAGAAAAGAGATTTAAGGGCTGAGGACTGAGTAACTTCCATGTGTAGAGGTGGGCAAGATGAAGAGGAACCAGCAAAGAGATTCAGAAGGAATAGACAGTAAAATAAGTGAACCAAGAGAGTGGTATGCTGAGAGCCAAATAAAGTGTGAAGTACTGTGGTATAGTAGAATGAGTATGAGTTTGGGAGCCTGTCAGGCCTGATTTAGTTACTTAATTACCTGAGAGTTCATACAAGTTTCTTGATATCTCAGAGCCATAAAATAGGAGTAACACATGCACATGTAAAATACCTAGCCTAACATCTATTGCCCCATAGGTAATATTTGCCAGAAACACATTTGTCAAGTAGTTGAATATATTTTTGTGGTTAATAGTAGTCAAGAAAGAAACAGTATATTCTGACAAGTCTAATATATGAGATTCTTTTAATATAAGAACTTGGTAGCTGTACAATGCATTTGAAAGCCATGTGCAACTGAGAACCAAAATTGAATTATCAATGCACTAGATAGACAAGGCAACTGAAGTAACTTGGGTGGAGAGGTGAGAATACTGTGAAACAATCTCTATGTGGGACTTAATGTACGTCCTATACCTCATTAATTGCTGTGTCAAGAAAGACCTTTATAAAGAAAGGTTATAGCAATGTAGTTTTTGTCTTTGTTATGTATTTCCTATTCCTATAGCTAAAAATCTACTGAGACATACCAGTTTTAACATTTATAGAGGAAGAAGGCTGGGTGCAGTGGCGCACACCTGTAATCCCAGCACTTTGGGAGGCCGAGGCAGGAGGATTACTTGAGCCCAGGAGTTCAACAGGCAACAAGATAAAACCCCATCTCTTCAAAATATTTAAAAATTAGCTGAGTGTGGTGGCATGCACCTGTTGTTCCAGCTACTCAGGAGGCTGAGGTGGAAGGATCACTTGAGCCCAGGAGATCGAGACTATAGTGAGCTATGATTACACCTCTGCACTCCAGCCTGGGTGACAGAGCAGTAAATACCCTGTCTAAAAAATAAAATAAAATAGGCCGGGCGCAGTGGCTCACGCCTGTAATCCCAGCACTTTGGGAGGCTGAGATGGGCGGATTACAAGGTCAGGAGATCAAGACCAGCCTGGCCAATATGGTGAAACCCTGTCTCTACTAAAAATATAAAAGAAATAAGCCGAGCGTGGTGGCACACACCTGTTGTTCCAGCTACTCGGGAGGCTGAGGCAGAAGAATAGTTTGGACATGGAAGGCAGAGGTGACAAGTGAGCCAAGATCGCACCGCTGCACTCCAGCCTGGGCAACAGAGCGAGACTCCGTCTCAAAACAAAACAAAACAAAAAACAAACAAACAAATAAAATTGGCTGGGAGCAGTGGCTCATGCCTGTAATCCTAGCACTTTGGGAGGCTGAGGCAGGTGGATCACTTGAGGCCAGGAGTTTGAGGCCACCAGGCCAACATAGTGAAACCCTATCTCTACTAGAAATACAAAAAATCAGCTGGGCGTGGTGGCACACGCCTGTAATGCCAGCTACTTGGGAGCCTGAGGCATGAGAATTGCTTGAACCCAGGAGGCAGAGGTTGCAGTGAGCCGAGATCATGCCACTGCACTCCAGCCTGAGCGACAGAGCAAGACTCTGTCTCAAAAAAAAAAAAAAAAAAAAAATGAAACCATAGAGGCAGAGATTGTGAGAAATTAATTGTGGTTATTGCTTGAGTCTTTTCAGCATGAAAAAATTTTAATTTGTGACTATTTTCTCTATAAAGGCATAGCAAATGAATCTAAAAAGTTATATGGAGCACAGTTCCACCCTGAAGTTGGCCTTACAGAAAATGGAAAAGTAATACTGAAGAATTTCCTTTATGATATAGCTGGATGCAGTGGAACCTTCACCGTGCAGAACAGAGAACTTGAGTGTATTCGAGAGATCAAAGAGAGAGTAGGCACGTCAAAAGTTTTGGTAAGCAAATTATTATCTGGAAGTCTACAAATTTATATCAATAATATTGGAATCCAGGAGTTAGAGTCCTCAACACAGCCCTTAAATGTTCTACAGTTTTAGAGTGCTTTTCCAGTTACCATACATATCTTTGGTATAAATAGCACTTTTAGATAAAGATTTAAGCCAATAGTGTTTATTTTCTTTTTGCTTGTTTTGCTCATTTTGATTTTTCATTTTACCCCGTAGGTTTTACTCAGTGGTGGAGTAGACTCAACAGTTTGTACAGCTTTGCTAAATCGTGCTTTGAACCAAGAACAAGTCATTGCTGTGCACATTGATAATGGCTTTATGAGAAAACGAGAAAGCCAGTCTGTTGAAGAGGCCCTCAAAAAGCTTGGAATTCAGGTCAAAGGTATTGAAGAACCTCAGAAAAGTTAACTTACATGTTAGGACTTGTTTAATCAAATCTAGTCTTATGGTTTAAATGAGCACAATTACAGTTTTCTCAGTATGCTCAAGGTTGAAAATGTTTTTTATTTTTACAATTACCTCTGGTGTAAGAGAGGTCTCAGTATAAATTTTTAAACTATTGATTCTGCTAATTTAATACATAGATTGATAAATTAACATTTTCTAGCTACTGTTCAGTTCTCTTCTAGTCATTCACTTTTAAAATTATCTTTTCCTGGCCAGGCGCGGTGGCTCACGCCTATAATCCCAGCACTTAGGGAGATCAAGGTGGGTGGATCACCTGAGGTCAGGAGTTTTGAGATCAGCCTGGCCAACATGATGAAACCCCATCTCTACTAAAAATACAAAAAATTAGCCAGTCTTGGTGGTGGGCGCCTGTGATCCCAGCTACTCGAGAGGCTGAGGCAGGAGAATCACTTGAACCTGGGAGGTGGAGGCTGCAGTAAGCAGAGATCATGCCACTGCACTCCAGCCTGGGCAACAAGAGCGAAACTCCATCTCAAAAAAAAAAAAAAAAGAAATTATCTTTTCCCACTCTATTTAATGATATTTATGTACGAGGCTACCCAAGCCCTCCTCAGGTATGGGTATACAGATTATTTTGCAAACAGAAAAGCTTATTGTGGGAGAGGTAAAGATTCTATACTTTTTTTTTAAAGGGCCACTAGTAAACTTCTTAGTCCTTAATAACATTTACTTTTGTAGATACCTTTTATACTTTTTAAAAACAAGGTGCAATTGATAGTTATAATGAAATGAGGTCAGTAGTTTAATGATAAAAGTTATTGTACATATTATGGAATTAATTGGAATTGATACCAAAAGGCTGAATAAAATGAAGACTTGTAGGTAAGTATGATGTGAACATGAGTCTATTTTTTTGAAACTTCTCTAAAATAACAGTAAAAGCATAAAACAGTGTAATACCTTAAGGATGTGGGATAGAGGAGATGACAGAAGACAGATGGTTTCAATAAAGTGTTGGAAAGTGGAAAGCAGATGGGTAAAGGTGGATTTTCTCTGTTTAAGCTAGGGGGGTCTCTCCCAACATCCTGGGAAGGTCCCCAATGGTATCTTCACATGGTGATAGGTTTTTGTGAAATTTGCAAGATATTTTGATAATTTGTAGTTGTTTATTTTCTTTCAACTCTGACTTGTTTTCTGTTAGGTGGTGCTGGAATAGCTGTGGGCATTTTGAAATCAGGCTAAGACAAAGATGAGCTGGGGATGTGCTTAGTATGGGTTTAGTGGTATATATGTGATTTGCAATTATTTCTGTGTATAGTTAAGTACTTGTTAGCCATCCCAGTATAACTTAAGATTTTTAGTATCTTATTTGTTATTCTGGTTCTTGAAGGAGTCCTTCAAATTGTAAAACTTGGATCTGTCCCTGGTAACTGACATAGCAGAATGGAGGAATTCACAACCTTGGGGTGGGGTGGGAAGGAAGCCAATAAAAAGCAAGCTGATTTGTGCTGTAGACTTCTGGGGAGGCTCAGGAATTTGAAGCATTGGGTTCTTTTTGGGACATTGGTCTCTGGGTTAGCCTAAAACAGGGATTAGTTAAAAATCTGAGAAGCAGATCCTTTTCCTTAGCACAGGAGCAAACTGTGCTCTCCTTCCCCATCAGAACACTGTGGATGTATTCTCTAGAGGGGCTAAACGAGAGGTTCTGGGCTTGAGCCTACTAATACCAGGCATAGTTGAGGGTGGAGGTAAGACTCTACATTAAGAACAGGATTAAGTAAAATTCTCTATGCTGAATGGTGATTCCCTCTTCCTACCACTTCCTCTGTTTAACTGCCAGAATGCCAATAGGCAGGAGAGTAGATATGTCTTCTCTGGGTAGTTGACCAGGTACAGGAAAGACCTACAAATTCACTGGCTTTTCCACAATGAAATAGCCAGCTGCCTTGTCATCTTACGGTGAAGGCCTCCAGTAGCTAAGTTTTATTAGCAAATAGAGATCTTAGTTTTTAGTTTCTTGTCATTAAATAAAAAGCCAAGGATTGTTAAATGTATGTTCATAAATATTAGTTTTACAAGACACTAGGGTGTGATTCCAACAGCTTTGACTCCGTTTAGGAGCCGGTGCTTTTGACTTCTTTGGGGCTAAGCTTCTTGCTGTGGCTTCTGCTTGTTGCTCTGGTGAAGCACTGAAGAGAGGGAAAACAATCAGCATAAATTTTTTTTTTTTTTTTGAGACAGAGTCTTGTTCTGTTGCCCAGGGCAGAATGCAGTGGCACAACCTCGGCTCACTGCAACCTCTGCCTCCCAGGTTTAAGCAATTCTCTTGCCTCAGCCTCTGAGTAGCTGGGATTGCAGACATGTGCCACTACGCCCCACTAATTTTTGTGTTTTTAGTAGAGATGTGGTTTTGCCATTTTGGCCAGGCTGGTCTCACACTGCTGACCTCAAGTGATCCACCCAACTTGGCCTCCCAAAGTGCTGGTATTACAGGTGTGAGCCACCGTGCCGGCCCTAATCAGCATAATTTGTGATGTCATGGCCCTAGATCTAAATGCCAGGAGATTCTCACAGAAACAAAATTTAATGAGTGCCTGTATCTGAATTCTGTTACTCAGGATTTATTGATAGTTCTTTTTCTTTTCTTATTTTTTTTTTGGGGATGGAGTCTCTCTCTGTCACCCAGGCTGGAGTGCAGTGGCACAATCTCTGCTCACTGCAAGCTCCGCCTCCCGGGTTCACACCATTCTCCTGCCTCGGCTTCCCAAGTAGCTGGGACTACAGGCACCCGTCACCACACCCAGCTAATTTTTTGTATTTTTAGTAGTGATGGGATTTCACCATGTTAGCCAGGATGGTCTTGATCTCCTGACCTCGTGATCCACCTGTCTCGGCCTCCCAAAGTGCTGGGATTATAGGCATGAGCCACCGGGCCCGGCCAATAATTCTTGAATATTGATAGTTTATTGAAATTTGTAGGCAGATTTAGGGGAGATCAAAGGACTGCTCTTCAGACTGGGAAAGAAATAGCTTTTCTTTCTGTATTTTGACTTGTTATTTTTGATTAAAAAACATGTTATACCAATTTAAAACGCTTCTCCCCTTTCCTCCAGTGATAAATGCTGCTCATTCTTTCTACAATGGAACAACAACCCTACCAATATCAGATGAAGATAGAACCCCACGGAAAAGAATTAGCAAAACGTTAAATATGACCACAAGTCCTGAAGAGAAAAGAAAAATCATTGGGGATACTTTTGTTAAGGTACCTTTGTTTTTAATATCCTCAACATGTACTATTTTTGATGTGAATCTTAGTATTTGTTTTTCCTTGTCACTATATCAAATAACCAAATTAGCTAATTTTAATCCTTTTTCTTATGTGGCTGAGAGTTTTATTGTATATTGTCATTATATTGACCAGTAGAAACTGTTTTATGTTTTTTTGTTGTTGTTTGGTTTTTTTTTTGTTTTTTTGAGACAGAGTCTTGCTGTGTCACCAGGCTGGGCTGGAGTGCAGTTGCACGATCTCGGCTCGCTGCAACCTCTGCCTTCTGGGTTCAAGTGATTCTCCTGCCTCAGCCTCCTAAGTAGCTGGGACTACAGGGGTGCACCATCATGCCCAGCTAATTTTTGTACTTTTAGTAGAGACGGGGGTTTCACCATGTTGGCCAGGTTGGTCCGGATCTCCTGACCTCATGATCCGCCCGCCTCAGCCTCCCGAACTTCTGGGATTACAGGTGTGAGCCACTATGCCCAGCCAACTGTTTTATGTTTTAATAAACATGTTTGCCTACATTGCCAGGCTATTATTTTAAGAATAGATGTCTTTAAGAGTAGATGTATTCAGCTTATCATAGACTTTAATTCATTGATTATCTCAATGGCTAATTTCAAGCTCTTGAATGGAATGTTCACATACCTTTGTTTTTGTTTTTTTTTTTTTTTGGAGGCGGAGTTTTGTTCTTGTCACTCAGGCTGGAGTACAATGGAGCGATCTTGGCTCACGGCAACTTTCACCTGCTGGGTTCAAGCGATTCTCCTGCCTCAGCCTCCCGAGTAGCTGGGATTACAGGCATGCACCACCATGCCCAGCTAATTTTTTTCTTTTTTTGAGATGGAGTCTCACTCTGCCGCCCAGGCTGGAGTGTAGTGGTGCAATCTTGGCTCACTGCAAACTTTGCCTCCAGGGTTCAAGCGATTCTCCTGCCTCAACTTCCTGAGTAGCTGGGATTACAGGCGTGTGCCACCATGCCCGGCTAGTTTTTGTATTTTTAGTAGAGACGGGGTTTCACCATGTTAGTCAGGCTGGTCTCAAACTCCTGACCTTGTGATCTGCCTGCCTTGCCTCCCAAAGTGCTGGGATTACAGGCGTGAGCCACCACACCTGGCCACTAATTTTGTATATTTAGTAGAGATGGTGTTTCATCATGTTGGCCAGGCTGGTCTCGAACTCCTGGCCTCAAGTGATCCACCCCACTCAGCCTCCCAAAGTGCTGGGATTACAGGCGTGAGCCACTGTGTTTGGCCTCATGTACCTTTTTGAATCGTGTTAGAGGACATGTTCATTAAGGAGTTTATTTTGGAGATTGGTGGATTTTATTTTCTGATCAGTATTTCTAAAGGACTCTAAGAGATTTAGCTGAAAGTATAAACTTTTGCTTTTAAAAAAAGTTATCTCTTACAAGGCTGTTTTACTCCTGTTGATTATAGATTGCCAATGAAGTAATTGGAGAAATGAACTTGAAACCAGAGGAGGTTTTCCTTGCCCAAGGTACTTTACGGCCTGATCTAATTGAAAGTGCATCCCTTGTTGCAAGTGGCAAAGCTGAACTCATCAAAACCCATCACAATGACACAGAGCTCATCAGAAAGTTGAGAGAGGAGGTAAAAGTTTATGAAAACTTTTTCATAAAGTAGATACATGGAAAGTCTTCCATTCTTCCCTCCTCTTCCCTCTAATATTCACAGAATTGCATAACCATCACCACATCTAATTTTAGAACATTTTCCTTACCCTAAAAAGGAACCTTATACCCATTAGCAGTCACTCCTCGTTCTACCTGTTGTTGTCATTGTCATCCTGCCCCCACCCCCCAGCTCCTCCTTTCCTCCTTTCTTGCCAGCCCTAGGCAATTACCAACCACTAATTTATTTTCTGTCTCTATAGATTTGCTTATTTTGGGCATTTTATATAAATGGAATGGTACAATATGTGGTCTTTTATGACTGGCTTCTTTTACTTACCGTAATGTTTTCAAGGTTCATCCATGTTGCTGCATGTATCAGAACTTTATTCCTATTTATTGCCAGATAATATTCCATCTTATGGGTATAATGCATTGTATTTATCCTTTGATCAGCTGATGGGCTTTTGGGTTATTTCCACTTTTTGGCTGTTATAAGTAATGCCGCCATGAATACTGGTCATAAGTTTTTGTGGATATGTGTTTTTATTTCTTTTGGTATATGCCTGGGAGTAGAATTGCTAGGTCTTAAGGTTTAACATTTTGATGAATTGCCAAACTATTATTTAAAATGATGATACAATTTTACATTCGCACTAGCAATCTATGAGATTCAAATTTTTCCACATCCTCACCAAGACTTGTTGTTATCTCTTTTCTTATTGTAAAAAACACATAACATAAAGCTTACCATCTTAACTCTGATTTTTTTTTTTTTTTGAGACAGAGTCTCACTCTATTGCCCAAGCTGGAGAGCAGTCATGCGACCTCGGCTCACTGCAACCTCTGCCTCCCGGTTCAAGAGATTCTGCTGCCTCAGCCTCTCAAGTAGCTGGGATTACAGGCATGCGCCACGAGGCCCGGCTAATTTTGTATTTTTAGTAGAGATGGGGTTTCACTATGTTGGCCAGGCTGGTCTTCAACTCCTGACCTCAGGTGATCCGCCTGCCTCTGCCTCCCAAAGTGCTGGGATTACAGGTGTGAGCCACTGCATCCAGCCTCATCTTAACTATTTTTAAGTATATAGTTCAGTAGTGTTAGGTGTATTCACATTGTTGTAAAACAGATCTTCAGAACTTTTCATCTTGCAAAACAAACTCTATACCCGTTAAAAAACAACTCTCCCTTTTTTCTGGCCCCCACCCTCTGGTAACCACCATTCTGCTTTCTGTTTCTATGTTTCACTACTTTAAATACCTCATATAGGTGGAATCATACAGTATTGCCTTTTTGTGACTTGCTTATTTCACTTAGCATAATGTCCTTAAGGTTCATTCATGTTGTAGCATGTGACAGAATTTCCTTCTTTTTTAAGACTGAAAAATGGGCCAGGCACAGTGGCTCATGCCTAGCGCTTTGGGAGGCTGAGGCGGGTGGATCACCTGGGGTCGGGAGTTTGAGACCAGCCTGGTCAACATGATGAAACCCCGTCTTTACTAAGAATACAAAAATTAGCCAGGCGTGATGGCGGGCATCTATAATGCCAGCTCCTTGGGAGGCTGAGGCAGGAGAATGGCTTGAACCCTGGAGGCGGAGGTTGCAATGAGCCAAGACTGCCATTGCACTCTAGCCTGGGCAACAAGAGTGAAACTCTGTCTCAAAAAAACAAACAAACAAACAAAACAGACTGAGTAATGTACTACTATATGTATATAACACATTTTGCCTATCCATTTTTGTTTATCTTTTGGATATATGCCCAGAATTGGGATTGCTGGATCATATGGTAGTTCTCTTTTTAATTTTTTTGAGGAACTTATTGTCCATAGCAATTGCACCATTTTACAATCTAACCAAAAGTACATAATGACTCCAATTTTTCCAAATGCTTACAATTTGTTATTTTCTATTTTTTTATGGTTGTGTTATCTGACTTTTAAAAATTTTAGTCATCTGGCTCAGCACAGTGGCTCATGCCTATAATCCCAGCACTTTGGGAGGCTGAGGCAGGTGGATCACTTGAAGCCAGGAATTTGAGACCAGCCTGGCCAACATGGTGAAACCCTGTATCTACTAAAAATACAAAAAAATTAGCCAGGTTTGGTGGTGCATGCCTGTAGTCCCAGCTACTCTGGAGGCTGAGGCAGGAGAATTGCTTGAACCTGGGAGGCAGAGGTTGCAGTGAGCCAAGATTATGCCACTGCACTCCCGCCTGAGCGACAGAGCGAGACTCTGTCTTAAAAAAAAGTAAATAAAAATGTTAGTCATCCTAGTGTATATGAAGTGGTATATCTCATTTTGATTTGCATTTCCCTAATAGCTAATGATGTTGAGCATTTTTTCATGTTCTTGCTTATTGGCCATTTGTGTATCTTGGAGAAATGTCTATTCGTATCCTTTGCTCCTTTTTTTAAAAAATAATTTTAAGTTCGAGGATATAAGTGTAGGTTTGTTACATAGGTAAACTTGTGTCATAGGGGTTTGTTATACAGATTATTTCATCACCCAGGTATTAGGCCTAGTACCCATTAGCTTTGCTTATTTTTTAATTGACTTATTTATTTTTTTATTATTGAGTTGTAAATGTTCTTTATATATTCTGGTTACAAGTCTTTTATCAGATATACGACTTGCAAATGTCTTCTCTAGTTCTGTGAGTTGTCTTCATTTTCTCAATGATAACATTTGGAGAATTATAATTTTGGAACACTAGTATATTTTCTAATTGCTTTGTATTCTAATGAGAATTAGATCAGAGATGATGGATTGGTTTACCCTGATTTATTTATATTTAAAAAGCTTATGTTTAAAATGTGCTTCAAAGAGAAATAATACCCATAAGATATTCGTCTAATTCCTTATAGGCACTTAGGAACAAATACTTTAAAAGATGCATTTTTAGTAATAATCTGTTAGTCTAAGAAAAGTGGTAACAGGAAAAGCCAATAATTTATTACGCTTTGTTTTCCATGTCATCTTGGTTACTAGTTTATATTGGTTGGCTTCTTTCCTCCCTGTAGGGAAAAGTAATAGAACCTCTGAAAGATTTTCATAAAGATGAAGTGAGAATTTTGGGCAGAGAACTTGGACTTCCAGAAGAGTTAGTTTCCAGGCATCCATTTCCAGGTAAAAATTAGAACTGAATTTTGTTTGATTCATCTTTAGACCTTCATGTTGAAGAAAAATCAATTCAGACAATTCTGAAATAATCTGTCATCTCAGGGAATATGTAACATGAGAGAAAGGAAAGGATGGTTAGGGAATAATTGAAATCTTTTGAGTATCTACTGTATTTACTTCATTTTATTAAATACTCATTTTCCATTGTATCTGCATTTAAGTGTTACATTATCCTTGGGAGTCTGGCATCTGATGTTGCCATCAGATGAGAAAACCAAGACATAAAGATATTTTAATAATATTGCCACACAGTCCTAGTAGTAGAGCTAGGATTTGTTATATTATTTGTACCATACCGCAGTGCGTTCCATGGAAGATGTGAGGATTTAAATTTAGCTCTTTAAAATCCTTGTCCTATGTCTGACTTGTTTGAATGGATGAACCACTTATTCTGTGCAGAGAATTCCTGGCACAATGTAACTAATTCCTGAACAAATAATACTTCATTTGCTGTCATATAGAAAAAAATTAGAGGTGATACTTGTTTAAAGTTAGGACTGCAAGTCTTAACCTGTTTTTGTTACTAGTTCTTGAGAGGTTGGGCAAGTCTGTACATCAGGTTCTAGCTCACTGTAATAGTGATTAGGGGATGATTTGGGAGAATGACCTAATTGAATTGAAAAGCATAATAATAGCCAACATTTCTTAAGTACTTTCTATGTGCTAGGCACTCTGCTAAATACATTTTATTGTCTTA
This sequence comes from Homo sapiens, assembly GCF_000001405.40. Classification (NCBI taxonomy): domain Eukaryota; kingdom Metazoa; phylum Chordata; class Mammalia; order Primates; family Hominidae; genus Homo; species Homo sapiens. The sequence goes on from NC_000003.12 coordinate 155,920,090, forward strand.
TTTAATCTTCACAGTGGAAACTACTATTATCCTGTTTTACAGATGAAGAAACTTAGGGACAGCGACTAATTTGCCAAAAGTTATGCAGATTGAAAGGAGTGGAGCCAGAATGATATCCCCAATAATTTTTATCTCAGAGTTTATACTCTTAATGATCATATTGGCTCCATAAACAGCTTTACACATGTATAACCTATGTGGTGATTAGCACTTGTTCTCAAATCAAGTAATCAGATTGAGATCTTTAGTCCCTAACCTGCATGCCGGCGAAGAATGGTCTGTGGACCGGTGTGGTGGCTCATGCCTGTAACCCTGAGTCTACTAAAAATAGAAAAATTAGCCAGGTGTGGTGGCATGTGCCTGTAATTCTAGCTACTCGGGAGGCTGAGGCAGGAGAATCGCTTGAACCCGGGAGGCAGAGGTTGCAGTGAGACAAGATTACACCACAGCACTCCAACCTGGGCAACAGAGCATGACTCCATCTTAAAAAAAAAAAAAAAGAAAAAAAAAAAAGAAAAGAATGATCTGTGAATGTAATGGAGGGAAGCCAAGTGTTCTATGTCCTTGGTCATTATTTCATCTAGACTCACTTGATGTTTTAAAAATCTATTTTGTATGTTGAGTTTTCTATTATGTAAGACTTCATTGGCAAAAATGGTTTTACTGCTTTAAAAACTATCTTAAGTATGCTGTTTATTCTAAAGGTAAAGAATGGACTAGGGAATTAATTGGACATAGCTGAGGTTTTGCCTATAACTAGGCATCTCAAGTGATGCCTTTTCTGTTGTAGTAAAGCAGCAGGATCCAGTTTTCCATAGATCTATGCACACCTTGTGTTTTTATCAACTTTTAAGTATTTGGTAAAATAGAGGTTGGGTACAGTGGCTCATGCCTGTAATTCCAGCACTTTGGGAGGCCTAGGCAGGCAGATCACTTGAGGTCAGGAGTTCCAGACCAGCCTGGCCAACGCGGTGAAACCCGATCTCTACTAAAAATACAAAAAATTAGCTGGGCATGGTGGTGCATGCCTGTACTAGGTACACTGGTGGCTGCTAGGGGAGGGTAAGGCAGGAGAATCTCTTGAACCTGGGAGGTGGAAGTTGCAGTGAGCTGAGATCGTGCCACTGCCCTCCAGCCTGGGTGACAGAATGAGAGTCTGTCAAAATAAAATAGAAATACCAGTTCACATTTTTTGGTATTAAAAACTCACATTATTTATTAGATTATGTGTATATTTTAACAGTATAATACCATTCCTAAAATTAGATTGATAGTTGAAGCTGGATGATAAGTAAGGTAGTTAATTATACTGTCCTCTTTATGTATATGTTGGAAAATTCCCTTATTAAAAACTTTGGATGAGCACATATGTTATAAACTAAAAATATTTACTGGATAATTTTGTGATACTTAATACATGGACTGTAAAAATAGGATAGGCCAAGTGCAGTCAGTGGCTCATGCCTGTAATTTCAGCATTTCCAGAAGCCGAGCTTCTGGAGTTCAAGACCAGCCTGAACAGCATAGTGAAACCCCTATCTTTACTGAAAAAATTAGCCAGGCATGGCTGCCGGTGCTTGTAATCCAAGCTATTTAGGAGGCTGAGGTGGGAAGACTGCTTGAGCTCAGGAATTTGAGGCTGCAGTGAGCAATAATTGCACCACTGCACTCTAGCCTTGGTGACAGAGCAAGACTCTATCTCTTAAAAAAAGGGAGATAGGAATGATAGGGAGAGAATTAAACATACTGTCTTATTTGAGCCTCACAATGGAAACTATGATAGTATTACCCTGTTTTATAGATGAAGAAACTTAGGGACAGAGATTAATATGCCAAAAAGTTATGCAGACTAAAACGTATGCATAATTTAAATGTTGCAGCATTCTAAATGTTACAACATTTTTAGAATGTTGAAGCATTCTAAAAAATGCTGAGTTGAATGGGAAACTAATAGCTACATTTGGATACTTATGATGGGCAGATGGATTTTAATTTTGGAAAGGTTTTATGTTTTGAAACTAGTGGCATTTTTATATTAGATTTTTATATTAGAAATATAACATTAATGTTAAATACTATTATTACTCCTACCTTTAGGTCCTGGCCTGGCAATCAGAGTAATATGTGCTGAAGAACCTTATATTTGTAAGGACTTTCCTGAAACCAACAATATTTTGAAAATAGTAGCTGATTTTTCTGCAAGTGTTAAAAAGGTAATATTTGATACAGCTAATCATTACAAGAAATTGAACGGATTCTTATTATATACCAGCATTTATAATGAATTTTTTAGGGTTTTATTATTTGAAAATTTGGTGTAATATAACCTTTGAAATGACTGTGGAGAAAATATTCCACAGATATTCTTATATGCATATTTTTCTTTCCAGCCAAACAAGACTGGATATCCTGAGTCTCTAAAAATGTCAGATAAAGTATTTTAAAGCACTCTTTTATGTGTATTTCAAGATAGTAAGGGAAATCCTTTGAGTCAGGAATTTATTGGGAGCATCATTTCAAGAAACCAAAGCTGTCTGCTCCTCTGAGGACAGCTACTAATCCTTTGTGGTCTAGGATTTGGGTTTTTACAATTTCATTCATGTACAGGTGTCTGAGTATGAGACTGGGTCCAAGAAGGGCCAGAGATTGGATCAGATATCTTCACACTATGCAACCCTTTAGCTCCAAATTGAAGATGAATGGAAAAATTCCCCAGTCTACTTTATTCTACAGATTTGGGGTTTTAATTTATGTAATGTGTGTGGTCTGAAAATTGCAACGAAATAATTTTAAAGTGGATCTGGGTTGGTAGTGCTTATGGGAGTTAGGCAAGGAAAAATGCAGATTCTCTTTAGAATATCTTCACCTAGGTCCCAAAGGATTCTCATAGATAGATTTCCAACAAATATGAGGTTATAATAAAAAATACAAATCACATATAGAAGTATGGCACCATGAATGAGAAAGGAAAAAACTGTCAGAACAAGACCCTCAAGACTTTACTGGAATTAACAAGCAATATGTAAAGTAAATAGAAATAAGCTATTCATAATAAGAATAATGTATAAGAGACTACTAAAAATAACTGGGCAGATTTGAAAATAATCTAAGTTCTGGGAATGAAAATAATAACTGAAAAACAGCTGAAAGAGAGAATTAATGAACTAAAAGAAAGTTGTTTAGAGATTATCCAGAAATTAGGACAAATCATCATAAAGAAAATATGGGTAGAAAAGGTTAAGATGGAAGGATAAGGCAAGTGCTAACATATGTCCAGAAGGAAATAATAGAAAAAAATGTATTAATTCCTCCACACTGGTAAAAGACATGATGGCTCAGATTCAGGAAATGTAACACATCTCAAGCAGAATAAAGGGAAAGAATTTGACACCTAGTAAGCACATCTTAGAGAAATTAAAGACTGCCAAAGACAGAGCAGCTGCGGAGAACAGATCAATTACCTACCCAGGAAATTATACTGAAACAGTAAAGGCAAGACTTCAAAATACCAAGAGAAAATAATTAACTGTAGTGAACAGCTAAACTGTCTTTTAAAAACAAGGGCAAAATAAAGTTATTTCGAGATTAAATAGAATTTACTACCAACAGTCCCTTACTGAAGAAACTAAAGGCAATGATTTTCAACCCTGGCTGTATGTTAGAATCATCTGGGGAAGCTTTTGAAGTATACTATTCTTGACATATAGCCCTAGAATTTAATTGGTCTGAGATGGGACCTGGGCATTCCAAGTAATTTGTGCAGTTAAGGTTGAGAACCATTGTTTTTTTTTTTGTTTGTTTGTTTTTTGAGATGGAGTTTTGCTCTTGTTGCCCAGGCTGGAGTGCAATGGCACGATCTTGGCTCACTGCAACCTCCGCCTCCCAGGTTTAAGCGATTCTCCTGCCTCAGCCTCCCGAGTAGCTGGGATTACAGGCATGTGCCATCACGCTTGGCTAATTTTGTATTTTTAGTTGAGACGGGGTTTCTCCATGTTGGTCAGGCTAGTCTCAAACTCCCGACCTCAGGTGATCACCCGCCTCGGCCTCCCAAAGTGCTGGGATTACAGGCGTGAGCCACTGGGCCCGGCTGAGAACCATTGTTTTAAAGAACTGACTTGAGGAGAAGCAGCAGGATGCCAGGAGAAAGTCATGAGATACAAGAAGGAATGCTAAGCAAGGAAAATGGTAAATGACTAAAACTGAAACAAACATGGACTGTATAAAATGATAAAAATGATTATAAAATCGAGAGTAGAGGTAAAAATGATATCTACTTGTTCTTGTTTATTAGAAAATGTGTAACAATGTTTAGCTGAAGTAACATGTAAGCCACAAAGGGATTGATTTGAGCTAAGGAATTCAAAGATGTCTGTGTTATTTGCCAGAAGGACAGAAGATTGATTATCTTTTAAGTATCCTTGTTAACACTTAAGGACAACTACTGCAAGAATAGAAATAGAGGATTTAACTTCAAAACCGGTAAAGAGGAAATAAATGAGCTGGGAGAAATCACCAGTTCAAAAGACAGCAAGAAAGGAGTAAGAGTAAAAAATGGGTTAAATAGATAATTACAGAAAAAGATTGTAGAATGAAATTCAACTATATTGATAACCTATAATTAATTAAAAGGACTATAACATTCCTAGTTAAGACATAGACAGTCAAACTAGATTGAAAACTAAAATCTGCTTAGTATAGAATAGTAGACATGAAAGGTATAGTCTATTCACAACAGGCATTACTAATACCTAGGGATAGTAGGAGTGAAAATTAAAGAATGGAAAAACATATACCAGGTAAATAAAAAAAAAGAAATGGCTAAAGCTATATTAATTTCAGACAAAACTGACTTTATGGCAAAAAGCATTAAGATAATATTTGACTCAGATAAGGTGCATCACTTGCTGGTGACAGGGTACTAAAGCCTGAATGTATGTAAATATAATCTGCATTTCTTATCCTAAGACTTCTTCATAGTCCTAGCCCTCAGGTGTGAATTTCTGGCATAGTGCATAGCACACACAACTCAAGGAGATACCAAATACAATCCACTGCTAAAAACCAGTAAAATACATAAGATAGTAGTAGATAATAAAAGAGTGAATACCTTATTTCTTAAAACTGAAAAAATGCCTCTTTGGTTTTTCTCAGCCACATACCCTATTACAGAGAGTCAAAGCCTGCACAACAGAAGAGGATCAGGAGAAGCTGATGCAAATTACCAGTCTGCATTCACTGAATGCCTTCTTGCTGCCAATTAAAACTGTAGGTGTGCAGGTGAGTTGTGTGAATTCATTCACCAGTGATATACTTTTTTTTTTTTTTCTTTTCTTGAGACGGAGTCTCACTGTGTTGCCCAGGCTGGAGCGCAGTGGCGTGATCTCAGCTCATTGCAACCTCCGCCTCCTGGGTTCAAGCACTCTTTCTACTAATCTTGAAATAAGGATTACTTAGGAAAATGAAATATGTGAGTATATATACCAAGTTTAGAGAAATAAGGTAATTTTTTATAGAATGTTTAGGGAGTGAATAGTTAATGGAACTAAATAGTCAGGCTGAGATTTTGTAGTTTTGGAACATCTATGAACTCTAACCAAAGGTAAATATTGAAAGCAACCCTTTCCTATAGGGTTGGCATGCTTACTTCTGCCTTGTAGGGCAGGGATCAAGAGGTCATTTATCCTAGGTGTGAAATATACTGTGGTTTTAGAAGTCTTTAACTGCAGGAAGGCCTCCAGATGAGTAAGTTACACCATTTAGGTGTTGTTCTCAGCTTGTGTATTCCCTGTACTAGGGAACACATTCTACTGATGTTGTGTTTATTCTGCCTTTCTAGTTGTAAAAGAACATGAGAATAATATAGTTCTCAATTATAAAATGCTACTTGCAAAATGACTAATAACTAATAAGATAGTATGTTAATTTCTCCTCTTTTTTCTGGAGACAGGGTCTTGCCCTGTCGCCCAGGCTGGAGTGCAGTGATGTGATCATGGCGTACTGTAGCCCTGAATTCCTGGGTTCAAGCGACCCTACTACCTCAGCTTCCCAAGTAGCTGGGACTACAGGCAAGCACCATCATGCCTGGCTAATTTTTAAATTTTTTTGTAGAGATAGGGTCTCCCTGTGTTGCTCAGGCTGGCTTTGAAATTCTGGCCTCAAGTGATCCTTCACTTTGGCCTCCCAAAGTGTTAGGATTGGAAGCATGAGACACTGTACCCGGCCTTCTTTATATGATCCTCAAATGAGTTTTTGGGGAGCAAAAGTGTGGGAGGGTAGGGAAGAGAAAGGTTATTTTCTTCTATTTCAAGTTTGTGGTTAAATGGAGACACTAGAAGAGGTGTCAGTAGTTCAACTCGAAAATGGTATAAGTGCCAGTTATTGGGTTAATGTGTTTATAATGTCCTCTTACAGTAAAATTATGTGTAGAATATACATATGTAACTAACCTGCACATTGTGCACATGTACCCTAAAACTTAAAGTATAATAATAAAAAAATAAAAAATAAAAAAAAAGAAATTCTGTTTCAGAGATTATTCTTCTAAAACCTAATAAGCATTTTTTCTAAATATATGAATCTGTCAGTTTAAATTCCCCTTTGCTCTGAATTCATGCAGTTCTGCCTGTAAATAAAACAAGATAAAAATTGATTGTTGCCAGGCGCAGTGGTTCATGCCTGTAATCCCAGCACTTTGGGAGGCTGAGGCAGGCGGATCACCTGAGGTTGGAAGTTCAAGAGCAGCCTGACCAACATGCAGAAACCCCATCTCTACTAATTAGCCGGGTGTGGTGGTGCATGCCTGTAATCCCAGCTAGTCGGGAGGCTGAGGCAGGAGAATTGCTTGAACCCAGGAGGCGGAGGTTGCGGTGGGCCAAGATTGCGCCATTGCACTCCAGCCTGGGCAACAAGAGTGAAACTCCTTCTTAAAAAAAAAAAAAAATTGATTGTTATTTTTAAAGTAAACTAAAATATTTTATTTCATGAAAGTGATAGAGCCAGCTATTGGGTTAAGGAACTCTTGCCTTCTTTTTAAAGGCCAAATGTTGTAAGCTGCTTATGTTGTTTTAAAATCACTATTGAAATAACCTTACTTGGAGTTACTGATACTTTCTTTCAGTGGTTTATGGATTATCTCATTCATACATAAATTTATTTTGAAATTTGCAATGATACTTACAGGCAGTATTACCCTAATATATAAAAATAGAATTGTGGACAGGTTATTTAATTCTTAAAAGTTTCTGAGTTTTAAGTAGATTTGTTATAGAGAACTTCAACGTCTGTGTGCTAACTGCTGCTACAAAGGGAGTTGAAATAGTTCCCCACTCTTCTTTTTAGAGAAGTGTTACAAAAAATAGATACTTGAGATAATCTGATGAATGAGTGATTTCTTTCTTGAAAATGAAACTTATTCAGGCTCTACTACTTTTCCCACCAAAATAAAATTTTCTTTTGTTATTGGATAACTGACTTTAGTCTCTTACCCTTTGAAGCTTAGACCCTTGCAAGCCCAGATAAAAATGATGGTTCATAGTTAGTATAACAATGCATTTTATTTTCTAAATACCAAAGTAAACCGTATTTGTAAAAAATGAAAATACATTAAAAAAAATTCTTTGTATTTCTACTCTCCAGTTAAGTTTTGTATGTGTCTTTCCAGAAACACTTTAAAAAGAAAATAAAAGAGGGGATTTGGGGTACACATTGTCAACTTTTTTCTTTTAACTGAACATCATGAACTTACCTTTCTGTGCCTTTCCAAGTAGATGGTTCTTAACTGTTCCCTCATATTCTATGCATACCATCATTTATTTAACTATTCTTCTAACCAATGGGCATTTAAACTGTTCTGTTTTTTATTATTATAGGCATCCCATCAGTTATCCATGTATTTATGTAGGATCATTTTATGTGCATGTGCATTTTACACTTTTTTTTTTTTTTTTTTTTTTTTTGAGATGGAGTCTTGCTCTGTCACCCAGGCTGGAGCACAGTGGCTTGATCTCAGCTCATGGCAACCTCCACCTACCAGGTTCAAACGATTCTCCTGTTGCAGCCTCCTGTGTAGCTGGGGTTACAGGCACACGCCGCCATACCTGGATAATTTTTTGTATTTTAGTAGAGACGGGGTTTCACCACGTTGCCCAGGTTGGTCTCGAACTCCTGAGCTCAGGCAATCCACCCGCCTCGGCCTCCCAAAAGTGCTAGGATTACAGGCATGAGCTACCACGCCCAGCCCATTTTACACTTTTATAGATGCTATCACATTAGCATTCACATATGTTGAATTTTCACATTCTTAGTACCTGCCACTTTGGGCATTAGGTACTTCTCTAATCTGTTACTTTTTAAAATTGCTTTTCATAAAAAAAGCAAATTACTTGGATTAAACAGGACACAGGAAAAGAGAATAAATTATCAGTTTTATTTACTTATTTTAAAATTAACTTTTTTTTTTTATTATACTTTAAGTTTTAGGGTACATGTGCACATTGTGCAGGTTAGTTACATATGTATACATGTGCCATGCTGGTGCACCGCACCCACTAACTCGTCATTTAGCATTAGGTATATCTCCCAATGCTATCCCTCCCCCCTCCCCCCACCCCACCACAGTCCCCAGAGTGTGATATTCCCCTTCCTGTGTCCATGTGATCTCATTGTTCAATTCCCACCTATGAGTGAGAATATGCGGTGTTTGGTTTTTTGTTCTTGCGATAGTTTACTGAGAATGATGATTTCCAATTTCATCCATGTCCTTACAAAGGACATGAACTCATCATTTTTTATGGCTGCATAGTATTCCATGGTGTATATGTGCCACATTTTCTTAATCCAGTCTGTCATTGTTGGACATTTGGGTTGGTTCCAAGTCTTTGCTATTGTGAATAATGCCGCAATAAACATATGTGTGCATGTGTCTTTATAGCAGCATGATTTATAGTCGTTTGGGTATATACCCAGTAATGGGATGGCTGGGTCAAATGGTATTTCTAGCTCTAGATCCCTGAGGAATCGCCACACTGATTTCCACAATGGTTGAACTAGTTTACAGTCCCACCAACAGTGTAAAAGTGTTCCTATTTCTCCACATCCTCTCCAGCACCTGTTGTTTCCTGACTTTTTAATGATTGCCATTCTAACTGGTGTGAGATGGTATCTCATAGTGGTTTTGATTTGCATTTCTCTGATGGCCAGTGATGATGAGCATTTTTTCATGTGTTTTTTGGCTGCATAAATGTCTTCTTTTGAGAAGTATTGATGGGACATATCTCAAAATAATAAGAGCTATCTATGACAAACCCACAGCCAATATCATATTGAATGGGCAAAAACTGGAAGCATTCCCTTTGAAAACTGGCACAAGACAGGGATGCCCTCTCTCACCACTCCTATTCAACATAGTGTTGGAAGTTCTGGCCAGGGCAATTAGGCAGGAGAAGGAAATAAAGGGTATTCAATTAGGAAAAGAGGAAGTCAAGTTGTCCCTGTTTGCAGACAACATGATTGTATATCTAGAAAACCCCACTGTCTCAGCCCAAAATCTCCTTAAGCTGATAAGCAACTTCAGCAAAGTCTCAGGATACAAAATCAATGTACAAAAATCACAAGCATTCTTATACACCAACAACAGACAAACAGAGAGCCAAATCATGAGTGAACTCCCATTCACAATTGCTTCAAAGAGAATAAAATACCTAGGAATCCAACTTACAAGGGATGTGAAGGACCTCTTCAAGGAGAACTACAAACCACTGCTCAAGGAAATAAAAGAGGATACAAACAAATGGAAGAACATTCCATGCTCATGGGTAGGAAGAATCAATATCGTGAAAATGGCCATACTGCCCAAGGTAATTTACAGATTCAGTGCCATCCCCATCAAGCTACCAATGACTTTCTTCACAGAATTGGAAAAAACTAAAGTTCATATGGAACCAAAAAAGAGCCCGCATCGCCAAGTCAATCCTAAGCCAAAAGAACAAAGCTGGAGGCATCACACTACCTGACTTCAAACTATACTACAACGCTACAGTAACCAAAACAGCATGGTACTGGTACCAAAACAGAGATATAGATCAATGGAACAGAACAGAGCCCTCAGAAATAACGCCACATACCTACAACTATCTGATCTTTGACAAACCTGAGAAAAACAAGCAATGGGGAAAGGATTCCCTATTTAATAAACGGTGCTGGGAAAACTGGCTAGCCATATGTAGAAAGCTGAAACTGGATCCCTTCCTTACACCTTATACAAAAATCAATTCAAGATGGATTAAAGATTTAAACGTTAGACCTAAAACCATAAAAACCCTAGAAGAAAACCTAGGCATTACCATTCAGGACATAGGCATGGGCAAGGACTTCATGTCCAAAACACCAAAAGCAATGGCAACAAAAGCCAAAATTGACAAATGGGATCTAATTAAACTAAAGAGCTTCTGCACAGCAAAAGAAACTACCATCAGAGTGAACAGGCAACCTACAAAATGGAAGAAAATTTTCGCAACCTACTTATCTGACAAAGGGCTAATATCCAGAATCTACAGTGAACTCAAACAAATTTACAAGAACAAAACAAACAACCCCATAAAATTAACTTTTAAGCTGATACTTAAACACGTTGATAAGTAAATGTTTATGAATTGTTTTTGTCTCCCACTTAAGAATTCTTTATCCACTCAAAAAACACAGGCAGATCTTGTCTGCCAAATTATAATTTTTCATAATTTTATTTTATTTTTTTGAGATGGGGTCTTACTCTGTTGCCCAGGCTAGAGTACAGTGGCATGATCACTGCTCACGATAGCCTCGACCTCGTTGGGCTCAGGTGATCCTCCTATCTCAGCTTCCTGAGTAGCAGGGACTACAGGTGCATGCCACCACACTGCCCAGCTAATTTTTGTATATTTTGTAGAGACAGGGTGTTGCCATGTTGTCCAGGCTGGTCTCAAACTTCTGGGCTCAACTGACCCACCCACCTCGGCCTCCCAAAGTGCTAGGATTATAGGTGTGAGCTTCTGTACCTGGCCTTGTCTGCCAAATTAAATATGCTGGTTATCCACAGTTGTGCAGGTAATGGGAATGTTGAATACTTTTTTTTTTTTTGAGACAGAGTTTCACTCTGTCACCCAGGCTGGAGTGCAGTGATACGATCTCTCAGCTCACTGCAACCTCCACCTCCCAGGATCAAGCAGTTCTCCTGCCTCAGCCTCCCGAGTAGCTGGGACTACAGGTTCATGCCACCATGCCTGGCTAATTTTTGTATTTTTAGTAGAGATGGGGTTTCATCATGTTGGCCAGGCTGGTCTTGAACTCATGACCTCAGGTGATCTGCCCACCTCGGCCTCCCAAAGTGCTGGGATTACAGGCATGAACCACTGTGCCCAGCCTAAATTCTTGATATTACCATGATACTTTATGTATGTCTTAGCTGATTCAGGTAGGATTTAATATGGGATTTTAATTTGGAATTTATTTATACCATTAAAGAAGCATTTAGTATATACTTTCATTCAAAATTTCCAAAAATCCATTAATAATGTCACCATGCATAAGATATTTTTCAATGCATCTTTTCTTTTTTTTTTAAAAAAAAAAAAAAGCTTTGTCAAGTTAAACTGGTGTATCTTTTGACTATTAAAAATTATTGATTATCTTTTTATTTTCAGGGTGACTGTCGTTCCTACAGTTACGTGTGTGGAATCTCCAGTAAAGATGAACCTGACTGGGAATCACTTATTTTTCTGGCTAGGCTTATACCTCGCATGTGTCACAACGTTAACAGGTGTGTTTCACAGGAGCTAGGGTGGGGGCTTGTGTAATGGAAGGATGTATTTCTTAAGGGCTTTCAATTAATGGAAGACCAAAAGGCTCAAATGTAGATATAGGTAGGTCATGTAGATAAGAGTAAATGGCTGTGTTTGTAATTCAAATATGCACATAGGTTGCAGTTAAGTAGATATTTAATATTATCTTGTGTTTTGACTCTTCATCACAATGTAGTCATCTGTTAAAAATTATTTAAAGGAGAAAGATTTTTATTTTAGTGTAAAATATTAAAGGCAGCTGTAAAACATCTTCTAAATTAGTGGTTTATATTAGCTGTTGGTTTTATGGTAACATGTTTTATTCCAGAAGGATTGAAAAAAGTATGTCCAGGTTACAGAATTACAAATAAAGTAACACACACACACACACACACACACACACACACACACACCCCTACAAAACAAACAACCCCCACTCCAAACAAAAATGGAGACTTGGTTAATTTAGTAGTAACCCCAAGGAAAAAAATCAAAGAAAAGAAATAGGCATGTGCCAGATAGCATTAAAATAGTTACATTTAAATATATAATTTACATTTAGATTAATTTCCCTTTAATTTGCATATTAACTTCTTACATTGGATATATCAACAGCTGATTTATAATCTATTTCTAATCCTCAATTTCATCGTACCATATATAGTTCAAAAATTCACTTATTTTGTACTAGATTGCTAATTAAATGTTCTTACTTCACAGTTATTCTCTCTGTTCAGTTTTCTTCATGGGTGTTAGGCAGTTAACAACCAAAAAGAATTACTTGAGGTTTCATTTTACTCAAATTGCTGCAGAAATCAGAAGCTTACCTTTTAATGTTAAGCTAGCAGAGTCTGTATAGTTCGAGATAAGGAGTTACAGGGAAGCCATGTTTTTACCGATGGGAACATGCTCATTCAAAGGCTTACTCAAATGAACTGAAAACCGTCAAATACAGAAGCATCTTTAAAATGCTGAAAAATAGAATTATTACTATCTTCAATAATGGGGGCCAGGCATGGTGGCTCACGCCTGTAATCCCACCACTTTGAGAGGCCAAGGCGAGTGGATCACTTGAGCCCAGGAGTTTGAGACCAGCCTGGGCAACATGGTGAAACTCCATCTCTACAAAAAATACAAAAATTAGCCAGGCATGGTGGTGTGTGCCTGTAGTCCCAGCTACTCGGGAGGCTGAGGCAGAAGAATGGTGTGAACCCGGGAGACAGAGCTTGCAGTGAGCTGAGATTGCACCACTGCACTCAAGCCTGGGCGACAGAGCGAGACTTCATCTCAAAAAAAGGAAAAAGAAAAAAAAAAGAATCTTGGTGAACTTTAGATTTATTTGCTGGGGTCTTTTTGATGAATTGGAGTTTAAAAATATTCTTCCCTGTTTGCCGGTTTTTTTCCTAATTTGGATAAGGGAATCTTTGTACAGGGAGGGACTGTTCCAGTTTTACTGTCATATATAGTGTGGGTAAATACCTGTCCCAGTACACTCTAGTGATTACTTTTGTTTGTAAGAAATGAGAAGGTGAAAAGAGCAGGTTCATGGCATTCTCTTAACTTTCTCCTGTAAAGATCTTTTATGAACTTTAGGAACTGTATTGTTTAGAAAAATTATAACTTACTGTCTATACGTGGGACAAAAACCTTGCTTCTGTTGTAGTATGTTTGGAAGGAGACAATAAAGTAGTTGGTGATACCGGTGGTTTTGTGCTAATATGGTTTTCTATTGTGTATTTTACCTAAGTACATATTAAGAAAAGAAGAAAAAACATTAAACTTTACCATGATAGTTTCCGGGGAGATTTATTTTCTTTGCTAAAAACAGGACTAACGAAAAGTGAATAGGGAGAACTAGCTAAGTGGCACTCATATCTCTACCCTGATTCCCTCTTGTTTTCTGGGTGAAGATTGTGAAACAGATCCCTTCAAACCAGTGGCCAGCTACACTTCAAGTTGTTAAAATTGTCTGATTCTAATTTCCTCAAGTTATGTTCCAAACTGTACTCTCATTAACTCAAGATATTTGTGGTGTATCTTCATGTCTTTCAAACAGACATTTATATAAAACACTAATGAATCATTTTTTTGGAAGGAAGTAGTAGGATACTAAGTCCTATTTCAATGGCCTTTTTAATGAAGTGCAAATGAGAATCTCTCTAGAATGATTGTTTCTCAAGTAGAGAAAAAAAGATGAGTTTACTAATTTTGGGAAATTCACTGTAGTTTCCTCTTGGAGATTTCCAGTGCATGTTAGCATAGTATATTAATAGTTTCTGAAGTCTTGTCATAAAGACACCTATTTTTAAATTTTAATTGTGTATTTGTTTCCTAGGACTACCCATAACAAATCACCACAAACTAGGAGGCTTAAAACAACAGACATTTATTCTCTCACAGTTTAGGAGGCCAGAAGTCTGAATTCAGTGTTGGCAGGGTCATATTCTCTCTGAAGACTCTAGGGGAGGATCCTTCCTTGCTTCTTCCTACTATCGAGTGGTGGCAGCATAGTCCAGTCTGTCTTTGTGTTCACATGACCCTCATTCCCCTGTGGGTATCTGTGTATCCAAATTTCCCAGCACTTGGAAGGATACCAGTCATTGGATTAGAGCCCATCCTAATCCAGTATTACTTCATTTTAACTTGATTACATTTGCAAAGACCCTTTTTCTCCCCAGAGATTCTGGGTGGGCATGAAGTTTTGGGGATACTCTTCGACCCAGTACATTAAGTGAAAAGAGAGTTGTAATAATCACTTATATCTTTGCACATTCTGAGATACAGAATATTCCAGAGAACACACTTTGAGGAAAACACGTAGAACACAGACCTTCCTATAATCTTATATCTTGTCCTATCCATCTGGGGAGTTGAAGTGGGCAGGAGAAGGGCCTGAAACTAAGTGGGAAATGGAAAGAATGTTACTGTTCTAAGTGCCTTGCTTCTCATACTAAAATGTAATTTCTACATTTGAAATGTAATTGCTGTATTATTTTTACCTCTTTGTTTCCAGAGTTGTTTATATATTTGGCCCACCAGTTAAAGAACCTCCTACAGATGTTACTCCCACTTTCTTGACAACAGGGGTGCTCAGTACTTTACGCCAAGCTGATTTTGAGGCCCATAACATTCTCAGGGAGTCTGGTAAGTTGCTCATGTTTTTGATTACTACCCTCTGAAACTAGTTTTTGGAAGCTTGATATTAAGAGTAGGAGGATGTGGCTTTTGCTTTTTAGATGCTTTTGTTTTTATTATTTAAATCTTTGAATGTTCTATGATGTTGCTTTTTTTTCTTGAGACGGAGTCTGTCTTGCTCTGTCGCCCAGGCTGGAGTGCAGTGGCACAATCTTGGTTCACTTCAGCCTCTGCCTCCTGTTACAAGTGATTCTCCTGCCTCAGCCTCCCGAGTAGCTGGGATTACAGGCACCCGCCACCACACCTGGCTAGTTTTTTGTATTTTTAGTAGAGATAGGGTTTTGCCATTTTGGCCAGCTGATCTCGAACTCCTAACCTCATGTGATCAGGTCAGGAGTCAGGTCAGGCCAGCCTTGGCCTCCCAGAGTGTTGGGATTACAGGCGTGAGCCACTGCACCTGGCCTATAATGTTGCTTCTAAATAAAATATATTCCCCTTTGTGGCCATTTGTGGACATGCACAGAGCAGCAGAAAATTTGAATTTCCAGACTTAGATGTTCCCAGCTGAGTTTGAACAAGGTGACGCTATGCCTTCTTGTTTTCAGCTCTCATAATGTGAACAAGTCTTTTTCATGGTCTCCTTGATGCTATATCTTTTGCATTTTTATGTCTTTTGTTGGTGATTTTGCTGTTTAAAATGGATCTCAACTATAGTGTTGAAGTGCTGTCTGGGTTCCTAAGCACAGGAATGCTGTGATGTACCTTACAGAGAAAATCTGTGTGTTAGATAAACTTCATTCAGGCATGAGTTAAAGAGCTACTGATTGTCAGTTCAGTGTTAATGAATCTATAATAAATATTAAATACAGTGTCTTAAATCAGAAACACATAAAACAAGGTTATATATTAATCAGTTGATGAAAATATTACAACCAGAGGCTTGCAGGAACCTAACCCTCCATTTCCCCTGGGAGAAATGGTTCAGTATTCGCTAATTCGTTGTTTGCAGTGTAGAATATAACTATACTGCAAATTATAATAGAGAATAATGAGACTGGACTGTTTCTGTTTACAGCACATCAGTGAAACATCACTGATGTGATCAAATTCTGTTTTTTGCATTTGTGATTAAGTCCATTTAAAATGCTCTGCGAGTAGCTGAAATCAATGCATGATGACAGTCTTAACTACGCTGTGTGTGTATATGTGATTTCAGATATTGCCTGGGAGGATTTAATTGAACTGAGTTAGAGTGCTTTTCTATGGTGTGGTGATTGGTTCTACATATACCTTTCTCTAGGGTATGCTGGGAAAATCAGCCAGATGCCGGTGATTTTGACACCATTACATTTTGATCGGGACCCACTTCAAAAGCAGCCTTCATGCCAGAGATCTGTGGTTATTCGAACCTTTATTACTAGTGACTTCATGACTGGTATACCTGCAACACCTGGCAATGAGATCCCTGTAGAGGTAATTTATATATTTTTTTCTAATGCACGTTCTCAGTACCTCTTACATTTTATAATATGGTGAATGGAATAGGCTATGCCAGTGCTGTATTTCTTATGTTGGTTTTCTGTTCATAAGATAGGCTTTTTTTTTTAAATTTTCACATATTTGATTAATACACTGGGGCAGAAAAAGGCTTTAAATTATATATGCTCTCCAATTGTGTGATTACTGTATAAAAAGTAATTGATTATAATTTTAT
Source organism: Homo sapiens (assembly GCF_000001405.40). Taxonomy (NCBI): domain Eukaryota; kingdom Metazoa; phylum Chordata; class Mammalia; order Primates; family Hominidae; genus Homo; species Homo sapiens. The sequence goes on from NC_000003.12 coordinate 155,936,752, forward strand.
CTAATCCTGCCAATTTCTACTTTACAAACAGTATTCCCCAAATAAAAAAGAAAACTCTAGGAGTGAAGAAGAGTTTGTTAGAAATAAGGATGCAATTTGATAGCTTTATGGCCAGACACCCAAGAATTGCCTAAATGTTCTCCCTACTACCAATTCCAACTCAATTTTTGATCCTTCTTTGTCTTCACCAGAACATTCCAAAGGAGCTACTTGCATAATAGCAAGTGAAAATCAAAGTGAGACTCTATTAGTTGGGCCACTGCCTCCAGTGCACTAACACGAAGCTGTCGTGATAGCTAGGTAGATGGGTTGGTTCGGAACGTGGCTTAGAGTCATTTTTCTCTTAGGCTCAAATTTGTCAAATTTGACAAGTGAGCAGGCTATCCTCTCCTGTATACTTGATAATGATTATTACAGTGTACTCTGTGCCACCTTGGTGGCCCTTAGAGTTGTATGTTTAAGCTGCAGATAATTTGCAGAGCATTGGCTGAAACACATAAAATCACATGCTTGGATGCCACAGCAATGTCAAATCGCTATATGTTCTTAAGCACTTGTGGCTCAGTCACAAACACAACTTGCAGACTAGCACCTGTTTGTGGATCACACTTTGAGTAGTACTGAGTTTAAGTCACTAATATTTTAAACCTTAATAACTTACACCTATCCCTGCAGAGGGGAATAGGTTCATTATATAAGATTAATCAGAAACCATCCCATATACATGGAGGACAATAGTGAAAATAGTCAAATTTTAATTTCAAATTACAAATGTAAGCCCTCTAGGACTGCTGGACATGCAGTGGATGCTGACTTTTCTCTATAATTTTTTTTAATAGGTGGTATTAAAGATGGTCACTGAGATTAAGAAGATTCCTGGTATTTCTCGAATTATGTATGACTTAACATCAAAGCCCCCAGGAACTACTGAGTGGGAGTAATAAACTTCTTGTTCTATTAAAGTACCGTGTGCAGTTTAAATTGATTAGAAATCATTCCCATTATTGACATGCAGTACTGTGAAAAGAGTTACTGGAGCAGCTACATCACATCTGAGTTCTCCACAGCAAAAATCTACGGCTTAAGAGCTGAGTTGGGGATAACCAAAAGGGACTGAAGAGTTTGTACGGGTAAATAATCAAAGCACCATTGCCTACACTCAGACAGATTGATACTGCTTTTGCCTTTGCCTCACTTATTCTTTATGTATAAATTCACTGTTGATGTCTCTGTGAATATGTATGAAGGTGGGTGAATTTGGGGGTAATTATGGGCTTCTGTCTCCTTACCAGTTTCTAAGAACTGTTAGAAACGCCCATTATTTACCAGTGTTACTTACTACTTATATATACTTTTTGGAGAATCAGTTTTCTTATAAGTAATCTTATTTCTCCAAAGGGTGAAAAAGAGATGAACATATCAGATAAAGGTATAGGTGGGCTATTCCAGCCACTTTTGAAGGACACTGAGGGTATAAAATGTAAGCTACCATAAGATGGAAAAGCACCAGGAATTTGTTGATGTACTTTTGAATTTTATTTCACAGCCTTGGGAGGAAGAAACTATGAGTGGTCTCAGATGTCTATGAATGGTCTTAAAATGTTTTCAAACCATGTTCCACATAGATGCCATGTTATTCAATGTCAGCTTGTTTATTAGTAAGGAGCTTTATCCTCCTAGCCTTATATTACCAGCCCCCCACAGCCTTGCATAGAAAGTTTCTGTTATCTCCTTAGAAGAAACTGGCTCAATGACGTTTCTGGTGTAGTGCAGATAGAGGTCAAGAGGAGCATTTTCATCTCTTCTTTTGCTGGTCAGAGAAACGGTTCTGAGATCACAGAAGCTATGATGCATACCTACAGCTTACAAAAGGGAGAGGAAAAATGTTTATATCATCTAGTAAACAGTTGTAAAATGAGCTTTTAAATCTAATCTATAGACATATTATTCATTGCTCAGACACCTGTGAACAGTCTTGATACATGCAAGATGTTTGCCAAACTTTGTAATCCTTTCTACTAGCTATAAGAGAGGATTTAAGAACTGGTGTAGGACTTGTTGCCATCACCACCAGTTTCTAACAGATCTTTTATAACATTCACATAAGTACTGTAGACAGTAGTAGACTTAAACTCTCCGTTTCTCTCAGTATTTTAGCTAAGAATGTTACCATATTTTTCTCTTAACAATTCCATCTCAGGTTGCTGCTGCTTGTCTAGTTTAAAAGGTCAGATCTATTAATCAGGAATGAAATTTTATTTGGGATTCAGTGTTAGACAAACAACAAAATGATGCGTGGCAGAAGTCATCTTTTTATTCTGGCTGGTCCAGGGAACAAGAAAACTGCTGCTGGACCAGCAAGGGAAGAGTTTCTGTCTGTCTTAACAGAAATCTGTCCCCAAGACAAAGGGGTACTTGACTCCTACAAAACTTAAAGGGTACATTCTCTATCTGATGAGGAGGTACTCATTATGGCCTTCTGGAAAGAGGCTATGTTAGTGATCTGGTCTTTACAGATTTAGAGTCATGTTATTTGAAAGCTAGAATAGACAACCTATAAAATGCTTACCAACATGTGTCAGTACACGTTTATGTTTATATGAAAAAAAATTTCTAGCCACAGTGTCTTATGATTTTGTATTGAAGCAAACAGTAGGAATTTTGGAAAAATAGAGAGTAAGAATGTGTGTTCTATGGAACACTGCTCCACTGAGAAGGTCCATGTAAAAAGGATTAGGTGGTCATATAAGTTTGGGGAACATAAGCTCACTTGTCCTTTCCTGGAGATTCATGGTATATAATATTCAAAGCTCTGAGAAATTCTGAAGTTAAAAACAATTGTTAAATTCTGCTTAAATTAGTGTTTTCCTGATATTTGTTTTTTGAACACCTTTTATATAATCCCTTCTAATATATACTTAGTATATACTTAATATAATATTGGGAAAATTGTTACTCCAAAGCACATCTTGACATGACATAGTTTCTTAAAAATCCAAATTTTCTGGAACTCAGAAATTTCCTAATATTTAGCACACTGTCTTCTTTTGCACAGCACTTTTTGCTTTGTGCCATATAGCATTACTCTGTACCTTCACAGTATTTCATCTGAGCCACTGAGGAAAGTTAAAGGTTGCACTTCCATTTTACAGTTAAGAAAACAAGCTCACCTTAGGCATGGTTACTTAATTAATTTCAGAATTAAATTTCAGGTTTCCTTAGTCCAGATTGTCCTGATGTGTATTCTGACACCTAAAATTATATAAACATTTATGGGATGCTTATTTTACTAAGACTAGAATGGTGGCTACCTGGCTAATAACATTCATCATTGGTTATTCTGGGCATATCATGACTTTATTCCCGTTGCTTACCATCTACCTGGGACACATCTCTCTTTGATTAAATATATTCTTTTTCTTTGTACTTTTTAGGTAGACAGAGAATGTAGATCATTGAAAGCATTATTTATTCCTAAGATTGGCAGGCACAGAATCATTTTTAAGAACCAAATACCCAGTCCTGCCTTAAAGGCCACATCTATGATCATCAGCTCTGTTAGAAATAACAGCCTGGCATAATTCCTAAATACAAGTCTGTAGATATATCCAGGAGATAGGGTTACACTGTTTTCTAACCTTTTTTAAATCCCTTAATCTTGAGGTAAACTGCATGCATTTAGTCAAACAAGCATCATAAAATTTGTTTCCTCACTGTTTGGGCTTAACCTCCTGATAGCCTGTTTTACTGAATAACTTGACCCTAACCTGTAGAGAATAAGAGCATTCAAATTAGGAAGGCAGGACTATCCATCTTTAGTGCTTTTCCTGCCGTTAAACAACAATGTGAACTTGGTCAAGTCATTTCTGTTCTTTATCTGTGACATGAGGTAACTGTATTAAATTTTCAGCATCAAATCCAGCTATAAATTTGTATTTTGTAAACAAGAGAAAGTAAAGCAGGAGACAGAATGGAGAAGCTGGATAGTGTTTTTTTTTTTTTTTTTTAAGGTTCTTTTATCATCAGATATGACACAAAGGGAAACATCAAAATGCACCGTAAAGTTAAATCCTAGTTACCTTTTTTTGAAGCTGTTGGCAAGGTTTGACCACTTGGGGCATCTTCTGCTGTGAGATGACACTTGAAAAACACCCATCAAAGTTTTCCTGGTAGGAATCTCTCTTTACTGCGTGTTTTTTTGAAAAGCTGACAGAGAATATGCTTTGGCTTTGACACTAATGAAGTCACCCATCATCAATTACATACAGCTAATTGTTGGGAGCTAGAGCTAGAATCCAAGCTTTCTGATTCTCTGCATGGAAGAGGAAATGCTCTAGGGCCCTTCAGGGCAAATCTTAAAAGGAAGTTCTTGGCCGGGCGCGGTGGCTCATGCCTGTAATCCCAGCACTTTGGGAGGCCGAGGTGGGTGGATCACGAGATCAGGAGATCGAGACCATCTTGGCTAACACGGTGAAACCCCATCTCTACTAAAAATACAACAAATTAGCTGGGCGCGGTGGCGGGTGCCTGTAGTCCCAGCTACTCGGGAGGCTGAGGCAGGAGAATGGCCTGAACCCAGGAGGCGGAGCTTGCAGTGAGCTGAGATAGTGCCACTGCACTCCGGCCTGGTGAAAGAGCGAGACTCAGTCTCAAAAAAAAAAAAAAAAGGAAGTTCTTAGTGTGTAATTGACCATCAGGGATAAATGGGCTTCAAAAGTGTTAATTGTCTCCTTACTTACAGTGAGTTTCTAGAGATAGCCCTGTCTTTCAGAAATTCTCTGACATCTGCTTGCGCAATGTTATAACCACTTTCCCACACTACTCCCCTCCAGAAATCTCATTGATATGTGGCGAGGACACGCCTTAGCTATCACCCCAATGGATGCTTCTTTCATTGACCCAAATCCAGAATGTAATGGGGAACTGAATACAAGTTGGATGTCTCCACCCTTGGAAAGCACATCTTTTGTTCTTACTGAAGTAGTTTAACACCACCAGATGATCAAGGGATCAGGGTATCTTTCTGGTATCTTTTTAATCACTGAAGGACTTTGACAGCAGTAATGGTGGCATTGTTGACTCTTAAATTTCTGAACGTTTCACTTAATGGCAAGTGAAGAGATATAGAATCCCCCAAAGAGTGTCAAGATGCTAACTTCCAACCCTATTTTTATGTACTGAAGAGGCCTCAGTGTCTCACTGAACTCTAACCTTTTTGTCAGTGTTCCTCAACACTGGATGCGTATTATTACATAACCTGAGGAGTTAAAAAATACAATAACCAGATGTCCAATTAAATAAAATTAGAATCTGGAGGAGGTAGAACTCAAGCATTTACAGTTTTGTTTTGTTTTTTTTTTAAGACAGAGTCTCGCTCTGTCCCCAAGTGCAGTGGCACAATCTCGGCTCACTGCAAGCTCCGCTTCGTGGGTTCACGCCATTCTCCTGCCTCAGTCTCCCGAGTAGCTGGGACTACAGGCGCCCGCCACTACGCCCGGCTAATTTTTTTGTACTTTTTAGTAGAGACAGGGTTTCACTGTGTTATACAGGATGGTCTCGATCTCCCGACCTCATGATCCGCCCGCCTCGGCCTCTCAGAGTGCTGGGATTACAGGCGTGAGCCACCACGCCCGGCAAGCATTTACAGTTTTAAATCTCCCAGTCAGAATAAATTCTTATTGAGGGCCATACCTAGCCTGTCTTCATCAAACTCATAGGTGAATCTTTGTCAAACCTATAGGAGAGAGATGCAGGCCATAGAGATGGTCTTGCTGAAGGTCTTATAGCTAAATTAGTTCAGATCCAGGAACCAGATTCTGGAACTGATTGCACCTATATTATGTTGTGTGTCAGACACTCCCAGGACCTGTTTGGTAATAATTAGGACAGCTGACATACTTGTTGCTAATTTTGAGATCTGGGCAACAACTGTGTAGGCTGTTCTTTCAACCTCTTTCTTCTTACTTCTTTACTTTTCCTTCAGAGAGGAGAAAGCCACCCCTGTGCTATAGCCACCGCTCCAATTCTGACTCTAGCTAGGTCATGAAACAGACTGAGCTATTATTGCATCAACACATAAATCCTGTCATTTGGGTATTATTCTTTAGAGAACTAGAGATTACCTAGCTGCAACCTAAGTTTCCTGAATTAGAATCATTTGAGCAGCACCATCTTAATTGGCTCATTAACATATTTGTGACCAGGCACAGTGGCGCATGCCTGTAATCCCAGCACTTTGGGAGGCCGAGGCGGGCGGATCTCTTGAGGTCAGGAGTTTGAGACCAGCGTGGCCAACATGGTGAAACCCCATTTCTACTAAAAATGTAAAAATTAGCTGGGCTTGGTGGCGCGCGCCTGTAATCCCAGCTACTCGGAAGGCTGAGGTGTGAGAATCACTTAAACCCGGGAGATGGAGGTTGCAGTGAGCAGAGATTGCGCCACTGCACTCCAGCCTAGGTGACAAGAATGAGACTCCGTCTTAAAACAAAAACAACATATTTGTTCACTTTTGAACCCTGTGGTGTCTTTTAACTTTGTTAAGGGCCCTTGGTTAGCAAAATTATGAAAGTTTAGGAAATTTGGCTATTGAGTATATTAAGTACAACTACAAAATCCTCTGAGTTCTCCAGGAAGCCTAAACCTTGAGCAGTATCTTATTCAAGTGGAGTATATATCTTCAAGAATACAGATTTTTAAGGTAAGTAGTTTTTCGTCTTTGCATCTCCTAAGACCATTGTTAACAACCTTGATATTAAACGAAGAAGTGAATGTAAACCTCCTTTTGAACATATTTTTTATAAAGAAATATTTTGTTAATTGGAGTAAGTAGTATTGTTATGAAATCACTGTGTAATTGTTAATTGTAAACTGCAATGTCTATTTTGTGTTGTAACAATGTTGCCATAAAATAGCTTTGCTAAATGTGAAATGACTTTAATCCCTTTTGTCTTCAATATACTTCATAAAGGAGGAAATGATGATTTACACAATTTGTCATGAAGCTTCCGTGTTTATGAGAAATTCCAAGAAGTAAGAGCCAAGAGGACAGATATTATCAGAATATGGGACATAAGAAATTGCATATAGTGTCAAGGGTTTCTATATAACAACTTAATTTATTTCCCTTGCATATATAGTAGGGGTTAACATTTTGCTCAATGTTAACGGGGGACATAATGGACATAAAACATTGGATAGCTTTTTATTTAAATGAGCTAAAGGTGTGCGTATACACATGCACTTATAAAATTAAAGTCATATATGTATATACACACAGACTTATGTGACTTATTGCATATTCATTTACGTTTGACCAAATCTTTTGTCAATTTCTCAAGAACAAATTAACCTTTATTTAATACATAAATCAGGTCCTTTTAAGTGTTTGGAACTATGTTATCAGAGTTGATTAAACCCATCAAAGTAAATGTACTAGTGAGTCATCAATATGAAGATTAGAAGAAGTAATCACTTTGAGAAACTGAATTCCATAGTTACTTTCAGGCAGTCATATTACTGTGGTTTGTTTCCCTTCAAGTCAGTGCCCTTGCCTGGCCTTCTGTTATCTGAGAAGAGTGTATTTGAGACAACTATATTTTGAAAATTTTTTTACCGTTTTAGCATAATTCATAACAAAAGTATTAGGTTTCTAATCTCGAACTCCTATATTTCAAAACTGACATTCTGTCTCTTAATACTCCTTTTATCAAAAGCTATATTAAGCACCACACAGCTGTTTTTGTTTTTGCTTTTTGTTTTTTTGGTAGATTATTAGTGAGTTATTCTAATGAATTTATATAGATTATAAGAAAAGCAGCTAGGAATCTTATGTTAACCTCACTTTTCAAGTAGTGTGTCAAATTCTAACCATTAATTCCTTTTTTTATATTTCAGAATGCCATTCCATATGTATATATTACTGTTCTTTTAGGTAATATGAAACCTGCCAAAACATTCTTTTTTAAAAAATAACATTATTAGAGAAAACTTTTTAAAATTCCCACTTAATTTGGCTACATAAATGGTGTGGAAAACACGAACCTTTTGTCAAGATGTCTTTATCTAATTGCATTAGGATGATTGATACTCTGAATAAGAAGAAAGTTTCAGTGGACTAAAAATGTATCTGGCTAAGTAAGAAAATCTCATCTTTTGATTCTTTTGGAAAACAACTTCTATTTTATCATGAGTAGTAGTGAGGATATAATAGATTGAACTGCTTATTTATAGTGCTTATTTTGTTTATGGGAGAGTACCAAGAATTATGTATATCATTACTATTAGGTGTTCAACGACCTTTTTAAAATTATTGTGAAAATGCTCAAGCAGGCTGGGCAAGGTGGCTCACACCTGTAATCCCAGCACTTTGGGAGGCCGAGGTGGGTGGATCACGAGGTCAGGAGATCGAGACCATCCTGGCTAACCCGGTGAAACCCCGTCTCTACTAAAAATACAAAATATTAGCCGGGCGTGGTGGCGGGCGCCTGTAGTCCCAGCTACTTGGGAGGCTGAGGCAGGAGAATGGCGTGAACCCCAGGGGGCAGAGCCTGCAGTGAGCCGAGATCGCGCCACTGCACTCCAGCCTGGGCGACAGAACGAGACTCCATCTTAAAAAAAAAAAAAAAAGAAAATGCTCAAGCATACACAAAAGTAGAATAATGCAATTAGCACACCCCAATATTCCTATTACTCAGACTCAAGAATTAGAATAACATGATTTCTTAGTGACTGAATTCGCCATATAGCACACGGTTGAGATTTCCGAAAAGTTGGCAATAAGTACCCAGGGATTTTTTGTTTTTTTCAGATGGAGTCTTGCTCTGTTGCCCAGGCTGGAGTGCAGTGGTGTGATCCTGGCTCACTGCAGCCTCCACCTCCCAGGTTCAAGCGATTCTCCTGCCTCAGTCTCCCAAGTAGCTGGAACTACAGGTGCACGCCACCACTCCAGGCTAATTTTTGTATTTTTGGTAGAGATGGGGTTTCGCCATGTTGGCCAAGCTGGTCTCAAACTCCTGGTCTCAAGTGATCTACCTGTCTCAGCCTTCCAAAGTGCTGGGATTACAGGCATGAGCCACTGTGCCTGGCCAGTACCCAGAGATTTTTTTAAAGAAATGAGATGGCTTAGATAATTCATTTACTTAATTTAATGCTTATGCTGCTGTCCTGGCCTATTTTCTGTTAGATTTTGCTTAAAGAGAAACTTAAAGATTCATCATTGAATAAGATACATTTTGAATGGCATTTTTTACTTGTGTTTTCTTTTTCTGGTCAGGCTGCTAGAGTACCTGATGTGAATTTAGTATAGAGGTTCCCAAACTTTCTCCTTTGACAGTTCCCTTAGTAATTTTAGTAGTGTCCCTAGGCCAAAATAAGTAACAGTTCCATTTATTAATAGTTATGAAACAACTTAAAAATATGCTAACAACATAGCCATTTGAAAAAATATTATATGTAAATGAAAAAATTCATTCTTTTCATTCTTAAACTATGAATGGGATATATGCATCTGTTGAGCACTGTATAGCTTATCAAATCACTGCCATCTTTGTTTTGTTTCATGCTGATTTTTGCACCATACATGTTTTTAATCACAGCCACTGAAAACCCAGCCAGCTTTGTAAACATGACATCATTAAATGGAATGTAGCATGATGCTGTGTTGAAAACTGACCACAAGCTAATAGTTCACTTTGTGTCTATGTGAGTTTGTTACAGTGGCTTGGAGTTGCCTTGGTGCACGGTTTGAGAACCGTGGTGTCTGATTATTGTGATTTTTTTTCTTTTCTCAATTTTTCTTAACTTTAAAGGATATATCTTAAAATATATATGTGTCCTTGGGTGGCTGCAGTGGCTCATGCCTACTGTAGTCCCAGCACTTTGGGAGGCTAAAGCAGGTAGATCGTTTGAGCACAGGAATTCAAGACCAGCCTGGGCAACATGGCGAAACCCCATCTCTACAAAAAAACACAAATATTAGCCAGGTGTGCACCTCTAGTCCCAGCTACTTGGGAGACCGAGGCGGGAGAATCACTTGAGCCCAGGATGTCACAGCTGCAGTGAGCTGTGATCGTGTCAACTGCACTCCAGCCCGGGTGAGAGAACGAGACCTTGTCTCAAAATATATATATATATCTCCTTAATATTGAAAGTGTTGTCTTTTCTGTTTTGACATTTAAGAGTTGGAATATTTTACAAAAATATAGATACTTAAGAATCTTATTGCATCTTCGTGGCGTAGAGGTACAGACATCCCATATATTTCTTAAAGTAGACATGTATAGAATGTCCCTAGATCCACATTTAAAGCCTACTTAAATTCACTTTGGAGCTAGCTTTGTCAGGTAACTGGTATTACTACAGAGATTTAAAACTATCTCATACCTTTTAGACCATTATGATAGAAGTGAATATTCTAATATACTGGATTTAGAAAAGGCCAGATATGCTATTTACAGTTGTGTTACTATATTGGTTTCCCTTTGTAAAGTAAGGGGAAATGGTCACCACATGTATTTTTAAATTTTTCCTGTTAAGTAAACAATAATGGCCATCCTTTGGATATGTTTAAGTTTAGAGATGTCGTTCAGTAAGGCAGAGAGGGAATCAGCATTGCTCACATTAGTTTGGAAATAAGTTGAACTTCAAAAGCTTACTAAAGAAGTGTAACTATCTTTATATTTTCATCTTTGTGTGATTTCTTTACCCTGAATTTCAGAAGACCATTATAGAAAATGTAAAAATTTGATCTCTGAGAAATAGGAATGAGGCATCTTCAGAGTATCAGTGACATAAAAGTAAGATTCCTAGTTGAGTTAGGTATAATCTTGGGAATCTGTTTTATCTAATATTTGTTCTAGTGTGTTGGAATATTCACTCACAACATATAGGTCTAAATCTGTTGGTAAAACATTGGCCTAAAATCCAGTATCTTATTTCTGACTGACTCCATGTAGCCTTGTAACCCTGGGTAAGGCAACAATCTCCTTGGCACCATGTCACTCATGTAATGTAGGAATAATACTGCCTCTGTGGGTCAAGTGAAAGAATGTGTAAGGAATTGATTTACCAGTATATTAAGTATAAAAATATGTATGAGAATATGCTTTATGTATAAAATAAGCGTAATCTCATTTAAAACATGGCAGTGCAGATGAAACGAGTGCTGTAGGATTAATAATCTCATTGTGCTCAATTAGTTGGGGCAAATCCGATAAATTTAGACTATGACAGAGTCCCAGATTTTGAAGATGCTGTGGGGTCACTTGCTTTGAACTATATGGGGCTTATACTTGCATCATTATGAAATGTATGCCACATGATATTAACCCTAACAGAACAGTACACAGACTCCTGTCTCCTAATCTCCAACCTTGCATGCTATTCTCCATGCTATCATATTTTAATTTACAATTCAAACAGAATCTGCCAAGGCACAGATTGTCTATGTAGAGTTCTGAAAACAAACAAACAAAACAGCATTGCACTTAGGGCTGTAACAGAAAAGGCTGAAGCTATACATAGGGAAAAAATATAAGTGGGTTTCCTTTTTGGTGATGTGAAGTGTGAAGCCAAGGATGCAGGCTAAGTCCTGCCCACGTTCAGCTTCTTCACTTAGGTGTCTAATACTTGGAATTCTACTATTAGACATTTATTCCTTTGATGTAAACCTTGCCCTCTTCTTGCAGGTCTCTTAAAAAGCAGAAACTGCCAGGTGCAGTGGCTCATGCCTGTAATCCTAGCACTTTGGGAGGCTGAGGCGGACGGATTGCCTGAGTTCAGGAGATGGAGACCAGCCTGAGCAACATGAGGAAACCCCATCTCTACTAAAAATATAAAAAATTAGCCAGGCATGGTGGCGTGTGCCTGTAATCCCAGCTACTCGGGAAGCTGAGTCATTAGAATTGCTTGAACCTGGGAGGCAGAGGTTGCAATGAGCTGGGATTGTGCCACAGCACTCCAGCCTGGGTGACTGTCTCAAAAAAAAAAGAAAAGAAAAGAAAAAATACATAAAAGTAAAAAGCAGAAACTCCTTAAAGAGATCACTTTAGTGATCACTTAAAGTGATCAACTCCTTATAGATTTGATCACTAATACCTCACTGTAAATAAGGTTGTTCATTTATTCAGTTTTTACATTTTATGAACCAGGCTCTGAGAGTTCAAAGACAAGTAAATTACTGACCTTGACTTGAAAAATGTTTAGTTTAGTTTAGCTTGGGCTTGGCATAGTGGCTGACATCTGTAATCCCAGCACTTTGTAAGGCCGAGACAGAAGGATTGCTTGGGGCCAGGAATTCGAGACCAACCTGGACAACATAGTGAGTCCTTTTGTGTGTACAAAAATTAAAATATCCAGGCATGGTTATGCGCACCTGTGGTCCCAGCTACTTCGGAGGCTGAGGTGGAAGGATCACTTAAGCCTGGGAGATTGAGGCTACAGTAAGCCTGTTCACACCACTATACTCCAGCTTGGGCGACAGCAAGACCCTGTCTTAAAAAATAAATAAAAATAAACTAGGGGATTCTGAAACACTGAGTTATATAGGGGCATGAGAACTAAAAAAATCAGAGTGAGTCTTGAGAGGCCGTGTTGGCACTGTGCAAGGTGAGGTTATGAGTAAGCAGGGTAAGGTGGTCAAGTGAGAGCAGAAGAGATACATAGGAAGGGGCAAGGGATTCCGGGAGGAAGGGGATGGTGGTGGGAGAAAGATTTCTTGCCACCAGAAGACATCGTGGTAATGTGGGCTTTGTTGTTCTTACCTCTCCTAGGGCTGTGACAGTCTAGTGTTAACTGGTGTGCTTCTCCAGACAGGGAATTACTGCGAAATTGTCTGCAATGCAATTCCCGGATCCACTTGCCCCAGGACTCAGTCCTGTCAGCATTGGAGAGGAGTGGCAAGAGCAATATTTGTTCTTTCTGGGAGGCTCACATGTAATCACTTGGGGCACCAGAGTACAGGGTGCTGGGCTGGTGGATTCCAATCACGATTCCTGTGATGGGTAGGAACTTGGCATTATTATCCAAAAGAACCAAGCCAGAGAGCAAAGGATCCACAGATGAAGGAATGTAAGTTGACGTTAAATGAGGCTGCAAGTGTTGAAAATGTGCGTGACAGAAGGAAAAAATCTGAGTTCAGTTTTGCAGTTTAGGATAATCAAACTCATCATCCTGGTTTAATAGTTAAGAAATAATGTTAAGGTTTACCTGAGTTCTCTTAGCACAAGAGTTAAACACCTCCCAAATCTCCACCTCCTCCAGTGCACCCCTCCCCCACACCCTCCCCGACCCCCTTGCTCTAGTGAGGCACAAAACCTTCCCTGCTTTATTTCTGATTCTACCTGGGAAGAAGTTTCTATTTTAATTGGTTCCTTTTCTTCATCTTTTAGTAAAAAGCCAGCCTGCCTCCATTTAAAATAAATTTGCAGCACCAATATCTGGGGGAAAATAAGTGAAGTCAGGTTTCGTGTTTTTGTTTTCTTTCTTTCTTTCTTTCTTTTTTTTTTTTTTTTGTATTCTTTTAGATCTTTGTGGTTTCCTAGGAAAAACAAAAATAGGGTATATGAATTGGTGAAGTGCAAGCTGTTGAAGCTAGCATAGTATGACTTGGTCCAATTATAAGTTTAAAGTGCGTTTTGGTATCTATCCATCTGAAAGCTATGCAGGCCTAATTATGCCCCGTGCCCTCTGTCTTCTTACTGCCTAGCTATTGAACTACTCCTTTGTCACTGAGAAGGAAAGGCATGAAAACACAAGCTATAGTTGATTCTTGAACAGCATGGGTGTGAACTGCGTGGGTTCACATATCCCCGGATTTTTTTCAACCAAATGTGGATGGAGAAACAGCATTTTCAGGATATGAAACCTATGGAGGGAGGATTGGCTTTTCATATACCCAGATTCTTCAGGGCTTACTGGAGGACCTGAGTATGCGTGGATTTTGGAATACACGGGAGTCCTGGAACCTTACATACACAAGGGTTGACTATAGTTTTATTTCCTTTTTTTTTTTTTTTTTTTGAGATGGAGTCTCGCTCCGTCGTCCAGGCTGGAGTGCAGTGGCGCGATCTCAGCTCACTGCAAGCTCCGCCTCCCGGGTTCACGCCATTCTCCTGCCTCAGCCACCCGAGTAGGTGGGACTACAGGCGCCCGCCACTGCCCCTGGCTAATTTTTTGTATTTTTGGTAGAGGCGGGGTTTCACCGTGGTCTTGATCTCCTGACCTCGTGATCCGCCCGCCTTGGCCTCGCAAAGTGCTGGGATTACAGGCGTGAGCCACCGCGCCCGGCCTAGTTTTATTTCTTGATAACTTCAGCCCAGACATAGTGTGAGTGGGGGAGGAAATACACTATCGGCCTCAAGGTTATTTGAGGCTTATCTCTAGTTCTTTCAGATTTCTAAAACATGGGAATTGGTAAGGACCCAGGAAAAGCGTTTAGTTTTATCCCATAGGGCAACTAAGTTTCCAGCAGTGGAAAGATTGCACTCTGGTTAAAGCTGGAGCTGCAAAGAAAACTCCCGTCTTGGGACTCCTGCCTGGGAGCACTTACCACCATATTAGACTGCCTGCTGGCCTGCCCTGAGGATCCTAATGGTCAGGGTAGACTTCCCCCAGCCCCCTCCTAGCACATTTGAGAGCAAATACCTTTTTCCATTGGTCAGTCTTGTCTATGTCTTGGGTCATTGCTATATTGTTTATATGCCTTTGCTTCTCCTTCCCCCCATCAAGTTCACTTTAAAAATAAACTCATTCTGCTTCTTTCTTAGAAAGACCAGCGTCCTTTTAGCAGACAAACATCACCTGAAAAAGTTTTTCTTCCCCCTTCAAGCTAATCTGTATCAGATCATAGGGACTGATTTTTCAAACTTAGAGGTCTTTTAGAAAGCAGAGTTCTAAAAAGAGTTTTAGAACTTTTAAAGTGTTCTTATTCTAACTTTTTAAGTGTTTGAAGAAAAGAGCAATTTAATGCCTTCAGAAGCTAATTCATTTACTTATTTAACCAACATTTGAATTCCCACTCCGTGCTTCAGTCACCTCATTATACTGAAACAGAAGAGAGTCATAATGAAGTTCTCAGATACTTTGATTCTGCTTTAGACAGAGCTATGGAGGGAGTGATGTTTCCTTTATTAACTCATGCAGCTTTTTGATGAGGCCTCCTGGGATCTCAGTAGCGGGCCTGGATGAGACAGAGATAAGCCTCCAACATGAGGGCAGGCTCAGCTTCCATAATTAGGGTTATAGAGAGGCAGTGTGCTTTGGTGGCTAAAAGAACGAACTGTAGAGTCAGACAGGCCTGGGTGCATTACTGTGTGGTACATTTATAACAGTTAAGGAACTCATATTTGTGCATTAGTAACCAGGCACATTTTATTAATAGTTCACTAGATTTTTCCTAATGTCCTTTTTCTGTTCTAGGATCCCATCCAGGACACTACATTACATTTAATTTTCATGTCTCTTCAGTCTCCCCTTGTCTGTAACAATTTCTAAGACTTGTTTATAATGACCTTGACAGTTTTGTTTAGTACTGAAGTGGCGTGGACATCATTTGTCTGGGTAAATACCTGAGGTTGGTTGTCTCATGCCAAGGAAATTGAAGACTTAGACACACAAGGAGTGGTTTTAGGAGCAGAGGTTCAATAGGCAAAAGTAAGAGAAAGGAGTATAGCTCTCCCTCCTGCAGAGAGGGGGGTGCCTGAGTGGGACTTCTGGTCCGCAGCTGAGTGCACAAGATTTTATAGACTGGCTTGAGGAGGCAGTGTCTATAGGACCCAAAGATTGGTTGGACCAGGTGTGATGTTTACATAGCACACAAAGAAGCTGTCCACCCACCCTAATCTTTTTATTATGCAAATGTGTTTTCTACCTGGCTGGCTCCATGTTGTCTGCTCCTTACTGTACACATGGTTGGCAAAGAAGAGGGAAGATGGAGCTGCCATGTTGAACATGCCTAACCCCCACATAGCCTTTTCCTATTGGTACAGCTGCCAGCATTCACCCATGCAAGCTTCCAGCTTGCTTATCTGTGTCTGCAGCTTGATTTTTACAGGCTATTCTTTGTTTTGTGACAGCTTTTCATTAAAAGGAAAACCTTACCGAGGACTTCCTTACCCTCACTATCTACCTAAGTAATTTCTTTTTACTTCCTATATCAGTACTGGTCAGGTACTTTGTTGAATGCGCCTTGTTTTGTTTTCTTTTTAATAATTTTATTGCGATAGAATTTACATAACAGAATTCACCCATTTAAGGTGTACAATTCAATGGTTTTAAGTATATTCACAGAGCTGTGCAACCATTGCCACCATCAATTGTAGAACATTTTCTTTTTTAAAAGATATATCACAATTTGTTTATTCACCAACTGATCGACATCTGGGTTGCTTCTAATTAGGGGCTGTGATGAAAAGAGTTGCTATTGTAATTGCCCATTGGGTTTACCTTGCCTGCTGCCTACACAGAGCCAATTTATCAAGACAGGGGAATTGCAATAGAGAAAGAGTAATTTACACAGAGCCAGCTGTGCAGGAGACCAGAGGTTTTTTATTACTCAAATCAGTCTCCCAGAGCATTTGGGGGTCAGAGTTTTTAAGGATTATTTGGTGGGTAGGGGGACCAGCGAGTTGGGAGTACTAATTGGTTGGTTCAGAGATGAAATTATAGGGAGTTGAAGCTGTCTTCTTGGGTTGAGTCAATTTTTGTGTGGGGGCTACAAGATCAGATGAGCCAGTTGATGTATCTGGGTGGTGCCAGCTGATCCATCAAGTGCAGGGTGTGCAAAATATCTCTTGGGAGCAGTTTAGAGAGGTCAGAATCCTGTAGCCTCCAGCTGTGTGACTCCTAAACCATAATTTCTAATCTTTTGGATAATTTGTTAGTCCTACAAAGGCAATCTAGTCCCTAGGCAAGAAGGAGGTCTCCTTATTTTTATTTATTTATTTATTTATTTTTTGAGACAGAGTCTCGTTCTGTTGCCCAGGCTGGAGTACAGTGGCGCGATCTTGGCTCTGCAAGCTCCACCTCCCAGGTTCACGCCATTTTTCCCGCCTCAGCCTGCCAAGTAGCTGGGACTACAGGTGCCTGCCACCACACCTGGCTAATTTTTTTTTTTTTTTTTTTGTATTTTTAGTAGAGACGGGGTTTCACCATATTAGCCAGGATGGTCTCGATCTCCTGACCTCGTGATCCGCCCGCCTCGGCCTCCCAAAGTGCTGGGATTACATCATCTTTGTTTTAAACTCTAAATTAAGTTCCTCGCAAAGTTAGTTTGCCCTATGCCCAGGAATGAACAAGGACAGCTTGGAGGTTAGAAGCAAGATGGAGTTGGTTAGGTCAGATCTCTTTCGCTGTCACAGTTATAATTTTGCAATGGTAGTTTCACTATGACGTTGTAGAAGCTTTCATGGATATATTCATTCATTTATCTTGGGCACATTCTTAGGAGTGAAATTGCTGTGATATATGTTTAACTTTTTAAACATTATCCAGTATAATTCTTATTTTATTTATTTTTTTCTTTCTAAATTTTATTTTAGGTTTGGGGGTACATGTGCAGGTTTGTTACATGGGTAAATTACGTGCTGTGGGGGTTTGGTGTACAGATTATTTTGTCACCCAGGTAATAAGCATGGTACCTGATACATAGTTTTTTGATTCTCTCTCCTCCCACCCTCTACCCTCAAGTAGGCCCTGGTGTCTGTTGTTTCCTTCTTAGTGTCCATGTGTACTCAGTGTTTAGCTCCCACTTATAAGTGAGAACCTGCAGTATTTGATTTTCTGCTCCTGCCTTAATTCACTTAGGATAATGGCCTCCAGCTCCATTCATGTTACTTCTGGGGACATGATTTCATTCTTATTTATGGCTGTGTAGTATTCCATGGTGTACATGTACCACATTTTCATTATCCAGTTCATGGGCATTTAGGTTGATTCTGTGTCTTTGCTACTGTAAATAGTGCTGTGATGAACATATGCATGCATGTGTCTTTATGGTAGAACAATTTATATTTCTTTGGGTGTATACCCAGTAATGGGATTGCTGGGTCAAATTGTAATTCTGTTTTAAGTTCTTTGAGAAATCTCCAAACTGCTTTCCACAGACGCTGAACTAATTTACACTCCCATCAGCATAAGTATTCTCTTTACTCCATAACCTTGCTACTATCTGTTATTTTTTGGACTTTTTAATAATAGCCATCCTGATGGTGTGAGATGGTATCTCATTGTGGCTTTTTTTTTTTTTTTTTTTTTTTTTGAGACAGAGTCTTGCTCTGTCACCCAGGCTGGAGTTCAGTGGCACGATCTCAGCTCATTGCAACCTCCGCCTCCTGGGTTCGATGCCATTCTTCTGCCTCAGCCTCCTGAGTAGCTGGTACTACAGATGCCTGCCACCATGCCCGGCTAATTTTTTTGTATTTTTAGTAAAGACGGGTTTCACTGTGTTAGCCAGGATGGTCTCCATCTTCTGACCTCATGATCTGCCCACCTTGGCCTCCCAAAGTGCTGGGATTACAGGCGTGAGCCACTGTGCCCAGCCTCATTGTGGTTTTGATATGCATTTTACTAATGATTAGTAAGCTGTTGAGTATTTTTTCATGTGCTTCTTGGCCATGTGTATATCTTCTTTTGAAGTGTCTGTTCATGTCCTTTGCCTGTTTTTTAATGGGGTTATTTGTTTTTTGCTTGTTGACTTAAGTTCCTTATAGATTTTGGATATTAGACCTTTGTTGGATGTATATTGCAAATATGTTCTCCCATTCTGTAGGTGTCTGTTTTCTCTGTTAATAATTTCTTTTGCTGTGCAGGGGCTCTTTAGTTTCATTAAGTCCCATTTGTCAATTTTTGTTTTTGTTGCAATTGCTTTTGGAGTCTTCATCATGAAATTTTTCCCAGGGCCTATGTCCAGAAAGGCATTTCCTAGGTTTTCTTTTAGGGGTTTTTTTTTTTTTTTTTTTTTTTTTTTTGAGACAGGGTCTCACTCTGTCCCCCAGGATGGAGTGCAGTGGTGCAATCTCGGCTCACTGCAGCCTCTACCTCCTGGGTTCAAGCAATTCTCATGCCTCAGCCTCCCGAGTAGCTGGGATTACAGGTGTGCGCCACTATGCCTGGCTATTTTTTGTATTTTTAGTAGAGATGGTGTTTCGCTATGTTGGTCAGGCTGGTCTCGAACTCCTGGCCTTAAGTGATTTGTCTGCCTCGGCCTCCCAAAGTTCTAGGATTACAGGTGTGAGCCACTGCGCCCAGCGTAATTTTTTATATGATGAAAAGAAGGGGTCCACTTTCAATCTTCTGCATATGGCTAGCCAGTTATCCCAGCACCATTTATTGAATAAGGAGTCCATTTTCCATTGCTTGTTTTTGTCAACTTTGTCAAAGATCAAATGGTACGTGTACAGCTTTATCTCTAGGTTCTTTATTCTGTTCCATTGGTCTGTGGGTCTGTTTTTGTACCAATACCATGCTGTTTTCGTTATTGCAGTCTTGTAGTATAGTTTGAAGTTGGGTAGTATGATGCCTGCTTTTATTCTTTTTGCTTAGGATTACTTTGGCTATTCAGGCTCTTTCTTGGTTCTATATGAATTTTAGAATAGTTTTTTTCTAATTCTGTGAAAAATGTCATTGGTAATTTGATAGAAATAGCACTGAATCTATAAATTGCTTTGGGCACTGTGGCCATTTTAACAATATTGATTTTTCCTATCAATGAGCATGGAATATTTTTCCATTTGATTGTGTCACCTCTGATATCTTTTGGCAATATTTTGTAATTCTCATTATAGAGATAATTGTACAACAGTTTTATCACCGCTAAAAAAAAAACTTCAGTAATAAGACTGACCACTTGAAAAAAATAAAAATAAATAAATAAAAAGAAACTCCCTACCCATTAGTGGTTATTCTCAGTTTCCCCTCAAACTTCCCTGCCCTAGGCAACCACGAATCTACTTTCTGTCTCTATGGTTTTTAGGGCTAGGGCAGAAGATTGTCTATTCTGGACATTTCATACACATGCAATGAGATATTATGTAGTCTTTTGTGACTGCTGTCACTGAGCATGCTTTCATTGTTTATCCACATTATAGATTGTACCAGTATTTCATTTACTTTTATTGCCAAATAATATTTCCTCAATTTTGGTTTGCATGATATTTCTTTCAGAATGAAGTTATGGATTTTGTGAGGAAAACCACAGAGGTGAAGTGCCTTCATGATGTCATTTCAGGAGGAACATGCTATCTCTGTGACTTGGCACTGGTGATGTTAACCTTGACTACCAGGCCAAGGTAGTGTTGGCCAGGTTCCTTCACTGTAAATTTACTTATTCTTTCCTTTCTATACTCTACTCTTTGGAAGCAATTGGGGGAAGAGAGTGGAAGGTGGGAGTATCTACATGAAGTAGAGTTCTGTACAGGAGATTTGGCTCTTTTCTCCCATTCAGTCATTTGTTTAGACCAGTATGTACTCATGGATATTTATTTTATTATACTTTGGGACTATGTTATTTATTTTGCTGTTGAAAGTGTTCCGGCTTTGGCCACTGGGAGCTCTTTTAGGTTGGCACCTTTGTCGCTTTGACATGTCTGATCTTTTTTTCTTTTTGTAAAGCCTTTCTTTCTGTCATATTCTAGGTTCACCTTATATATTCCCTGCCCCAGCCCTAAAATCAGCCACTTCTTCAAAGAGCTCTGGTTTCTTTTGGAGAATGGTATAGAAACCAAGATCTAGCAGCTTGTTGCTACTGGGGTGTGTGTTGCTGCCTCCAGGCCCTCTCAGTGGACAAGCTAGGAAATATGAGTGTATATTAGCCCATGTGTATACACATGATTCTAATTGTTTTGATATCTATTTAACTGTGTCTATCTTAAGGTAAACATGGCTTTGAAGTAACGTCACTTTTAAATAAACACATTGTGAGATGGGCAGACACCTCAAGAGAGGTTTAGTGTTTAAACGCTGTGGCCTCTTAACACAGGATAGGACTGTTCGTTCCATAAATGGAAACACAGTTCCAAAGAATCCTCCACCTGATATAACCTATGCATTTCACACTCAGCTGTAAAGGCACTGTGATTCTCCTCATTGGGAGAGAACTCCCATCACACCATGGGCTCCTGTTCTCAGGGTCTCCAGTGGGGTGTCTCTTCTAGGTGCAAATTCTCAGAGTCCGATAACCTGAGACAGCAGCATATTGGTTAAATGAATTAAAGTACATCCATGTAATAGATTATGAAAATTGATGTGATAGAAAATTGTAATCGCAAGAAGATACTTTTGGTATATGAAACATTATGTAGTAGTTAAGCTTATTTCTACAAAAATATGCATATGAAAAAATTTTAAGGATGTTCATTAAAATGTTTTTGGTGAGTTACCACAGGATAATGAAATTAGAGAATATTCCAATTTTCCCCCCTTTTTGGTTTGAATTTTCTAAATTCCCCACAACACATGCTACTTTCATAGGAGAAAAAAAAATATTCCCCAAGTGATACTCCTCTGAGTATCATTTTTATTTTTATTTTTTTTGAGATAGAGCCTTTCTCTGTCGCCCAGGCTGGAATGCAGTGGCACAATCTCGGCCCACTGCAACCTCCACCTCCTGGTTCAAGCAATCCTCCCACCTCAGCTTCCCTAGTAGCTGGGATTACAGGTACATGCCACTATACCTGGCTAATTTTTTTGTGTTTTTTAGTAGAGATGGGGTTTTACCATGTTGGCCAGGCTGGTCTCAAACTCCTGACTTCAAGTCATCCACCTGCCTCAGCCTCCCAAAGTGCTGGGATAACAGGTGTGAGCCACCGTGCTCGGCCAACTAACAGCACTTTAAACGCTAATTTTGTTTAACCAGTACCTGAAGAAACCAGGAATAGGACTTTTAGATAAAATTAATGGTTTAAAAGTGATTTGCAGGGCCTTGGGGACATGTGAAAGGGAAGTCTTGATAAAAGCAAAAGATTTTGGTACTTGGCAAGGGGCTTTCTTGAAAGCCCAAGAAAAAGTGAAAACACTACAGAAAAGCAGTTGCCTACCAGGAAACCCCAATCTTGTGGTTTGACTTAATGACCTTGTTGGACCAGGTGTTTTGAACTAAATAGTTCTCGGGAAGCTGGGCACCTTGTAAGGTGAAACGAGCTCCATGTTACCTAACTTGTATAAGTAAATCCACAACTGGAAGTCACGCCACTAGGGACCTGCATTAGAGAGGGGAAAACCATGAGTTATCTGCCTGCAGGAGAGACAGCTCAGGCCTCCAGGAGACTTGAACATGCATTCTGTAGCAGGTAAACAGTGACTCTTGAAAGGTGCACATAATTGGAAATGGATGTGTTTGTGAGGGGGTGGGGAGCGATGGTGTACACCTAACGATATACTACAACACTAATTGTTTTATCTTTGGTTAGTTTGTTTCTTGACTTTTAATATTGGGTCACTGTCAATAATTAACATGTGATTAATAGTTACCCTAACCAGAGAAATTTATTTAGAAAAACACAAACTGGTTTACATTGATCTAAATTCATTGTAAGCTTCAGCAAACTTTCTTTCCCAGATATCAAAATTTGTTGTCACATGAGAGTTAAAGGGAAAAAGCTTTCATAGTTTCTCAAGCTATTTAAAAAATTCCATAGTTTTTGCTTCTGGCTCTCCTAACTTTTTTAGGTTTTGTTTTCATGATAACATTTTATTCAAGATTTAAATATTATTAGCCAGGCATGGTGGCAGGCACCTGTAGTCCCAGCTAGTCAGGAGGCTGAGGCAGGAGAATCGCTTGAACCTGGGAGGCGAAGGTTGCAGTGAGCCGAGATCGTACCACTACACTCTATCCTGGGCAACAAGAGTGAAACTCTGTCTCAAAAAAAAAAAAAAAGATTTAAATATTAAATTTCTTAAATCATAAATTTCAACTGAGCACTCAAGAACAAGTGCTAGAAAACTTGGAGACTAGTAAAGATGGGATTGGATAGATCTTCTAGGTCCCATCTAATCTCCATCATAGTGAACTGGAGGACTGAATGAACCAGTGGTTAAGGGAAACAGAAAAGGTTGAACCCAAAGAAGATGAAGCATGGCTAAATGACTCTACCACGCAGTAGATACGGCCTCAGACAAACTTACTTAACCTCATATAACCTCACAGCTCTGTCAAGTAGGTGTTATTATTTTCATCCCCAGTTTGCAGATGACAAACAGGCAATGAGGGCAAAGCCTTTAGAATACAGCTTGGGCTATAGAAAGTTCTACATAAGTGTCGTTTAAATAAATGCACACAAAAAGGTAATTGGTAGAAAAATTTAATGAGCCAATTGAGACCATACTGTGTCTGTGACCTTGTCCGTGCCTCAAAACTCTGCTTGTGAATCTTACAGCCTCTAAGGAGCAAAGATGGTTGATGTCAAGTTATTTTCCAGACTGATAAATTTAGATCCTCAGCTGCTTCTTGATGACTGGATACTGCACATTTTTATAAACGTAGGCTTAAAGGAATTCCAAGTTTGGCAACTAGTGCTGCAGGAGATGAGAAGAGAGGATAAACTATCCCTCATATGTGATATCTACCCTGGCTTCATATAAGCTGGCTCACGTATATAGACAAAAATGTAATGTACTTTCCAAAGTATTTTGTAACAACATTTGGCTGGGCGTAGTGGCTCACGCCTGTAATCCCAGTACTTTGGGAGGCCGAGGTGGGCGGATCGCTTGAAGTCAGAAGTTCGAGACCAGCCTGGCCAAGATGATGAAACCCCATCTCTACTAAAAATACAAAAATTAGCTGGGTGTGGTGGTGCGTGCCTGTAATCCCAGCTACTCTGGAGGCTGAAGCAGGAGAATAGCTTGAACCCGGGAGGCAGAGATTGCAGTGAGCATAGATCACACCACTGCACTCCAGCCTGGGCAACAGAGGGAGACTCCATCACAAACAAACACACAAAAAGTATTTTGTAACAATATTCTAGAAGCTAGGGGATTGCAGGACAAGGGTATTGTTCTATGAAATTTAACTCCTGGTTTGTAAAATCTAAAAAGCCATTTTCTCTAGTCCACAGTGTGTGTATATATATTTAACTGAAAATTCGGAAAATAGGGAATTTGAGGAAAGTTTCTGCTGCTATATATTAATATGTATTTTATATATATATTAATAAGTATATTTAAAATATACTTATTATACTTTCGGTTCTGGGATACATGTGTAGAACGTGCAGGTTTGTTACATAGGTATATATGTCCCATGGTGGTTTGCTGCACCCATCAACCTGTCATCTACATTAGATATTTCTCCTAATGCTATCCCTCCCCTAGCCCCTGACCCTGTGACAGGCTCCGGTGTGTGATGTTCCCCTCCCTGTGTCCATGTGTTCTCATTGTTCAACTCCCACTTATGAGTAAGAACATGCAGTGTTTGGTTTTCTGTTCTTGTATTAGTTTGCTGAGAATGATGGTTTCCAGCTTCATCCATGTTCCTGTAAAGGACATGACCTCATCCTTTTTTATGGCTGCATAGTATTCTATGGTGTATATGTGCCACGTTTTCTTTGTCCAATCTGTCATCGATGGGCATTTGGGTTGGTTCCAAGTTTTTGCTATTGTGAATAGTGCCGCAATAAACATACGTGTGCATGTGTTTTATAGTAGAATGATTTATAATCCTTTGGGTGTATACCCAGTAATGGGATTGCTGGGTCAAATGGTATTTCCAGTTCTAGATCCTTGAGGAATTGCCACACTGCCTTCCACAGTGGTTGAACTAATTTACACTCCCAACAGTGTAAAAGCGTTCCCATTTCTCCACATCCTCTTCGGCACCTGTTGTTTCCTGACTTTTTAATGATTGCCATTCTAACTGGCGTGAGATGGTATCTCATTGTGGTTTTGATTTGCATTTCACTAATGACCAGTGATGATGAGCTTTTTTTCTTTTTTTTTTTTTAATTTTTTTTATTTATTTAATTTTTTTTATTTTTTATTTTTTATTGATCATTCTTGGGTGTTTCTCGCAGAGGGGGATTTGGCAGGGTCATAGGACAATAGTGGAAGGAAGGTCAGCAGATAAACAAGTGAACAAAGGTCTCTGGTTTTCCTAGGCAGAGGACCCTGCGGCCTTCCGCAGTGTTTGTGTCCCTGGGTACTTGAGATTAGGGAGTGGTGATGACTCTTAACGAGCATGCTGCCTTCAAGCATGTGTTTAACAAAGCACATCTTGCACTGCCCTTAATCCATTTAACCCTGAGTGGACACAGCACATGTTTCAGAGAGCACCGGGTTGGGGGTAAGGTCATAGATCAACAGCATCCCAAGGCAGAAGAATTTTTCTTAGTAC
This sequence comes from Homo sapiens, assembly GCF_000001405.40. NCBI lineage: Eukaryota > Metazoa > Chordata > Mammalia > Primates > Hominidae > Homo > Homo sapiens. The sequence continues at coordinate 155,962,070 of NC_000003.12, forward strand.
AGAACAAAATGGAGTCTCCTATGTCTACTTCTTTCTACACAGACACAGCAACAATCTGATTTCTCTATCTTTTCCGCACATTTCCCCCTTTTCTATTCGACAAAACCGCCATCGTCATCATGGCCCGTTCTCAATGAGCTGTTGGGTACACCTCCCAGACGGGGTGGCGGCCGGGCAGAGGGGCTCCTCACTTCCCAGAAGGGGTGGCTGGGCAGAGGCGCCCCCCACCTCCCGGAAGGGGCAGTGGCCAGGTGGAGGCTGCCCCCCGCCTCCCTCCCGGATGGGGCGGATGAGCTTTTTTTCATATGTTTGTTGGTCACATAAATGTAAACTTGGCAAATTTACTCATATTTTTGGACTTTTGAAAGCTGAGCTGTTTTATTTCAGAAAATGTATTTCGAAATGAATTATCAATACCGTGTCCATTGAGCTTCTGAAAGTGTAAACATTTTATGTCTCTTCCTTTATCCCTCACTATTTCTCCCTGTTTCTCACTCTTTTGACTGTCTTCCCTATGCATTCCAGAGAAATGATGTCTGTTTTGACAATACTTTAATATATTTATTGATAAGTGTGTTTCTTGGTCTTAATTCTATTAGTACATTTCACAATTCTCTTTATAAAAGAAAACTGTTCAGTTGACCTTAATTCTACATTTCCATAAGTTTCCATAATGATTCATAGACATGCAGATCCTTGATTTAGATAATGATGATTATGAAGGAATGTTCTTAAAGAAAACAGGGTAGGAAAAAAAAATCTCATTGTCCACAGAAAAATGGCCAAATACAGTAAGGTTCATTTATAATCAAGTATACATGTAGCTGTTTAAAGTAATACAAATTTCCATGGGCTGATGTAAAAATGTATAACAATCATATTTATATTTGAAAAAATATGTAAATGCCTAGGAAAAAACCATAAACTTTATAAAGTAGTTATCTTTGGGGTGGATGAGTAGAAGAGATAAGGAAATTGGGGCTTTAACATTTTACTTTGTATTCTATATGATAGAACCTTTAAGAGAATAAATTAATATGTTATTTCTATTTCTGTATTACTTTTAAAGTCCACAGTAGTAATACAATGTTTCTGGCTTTTTGTGTAGACGGACAGAATATGGCACAATGGAAGAAAAGTTTGTCTTCCACTTGAAATTCTTTTTCCCACCCCTTTTTCTGAGCACATGTGTCACTTTTCTCCACTGGCCTGTAGCTTCTGCAGATCTTCTATTGTGATGTGAATACTTCAGATTTATTGCTTCATTTTCTACCATCAAAATTTTACCTGCCCATGTCTCTTTCTCCTGAAGCTTTCCTCCCATTAAATGAAAATGGGAACTTAGTATCAACAAAAAGCTACCTCAAAAGCCTTTTGGAAACAGAGTGTCAATCAATAATATATTAAAGAATATCTTTGTATGTTTCCTGGTAATGCTAAAAATTATGAACTTTCCTCAACCCATTTAAAAATTCCATGTAACATGAATGGCTGCTTTAGGCTGCACCAGGTTGGTATTTTGTGATGCTCCAGCTGGCTCAGCTACACCCACAACTTAAGTACAGATAGAGAATCTCCTCTCTGACTCCACACCCTGCAGTGTTTTAAAAATGGAGATGCAGGAAGAGAAAAGAAAAATATGATAACGATTCATGGTATTGAAAATGGAATGAGAAAGGGCAAGAAGCCAAGAGAAAAACACTGTGTCAGACATGGAAGAGAGCCGAAGAAACAAAAATACATTTCCAGGTCCTTACCCAGTGTGGGCACTAACACACTGATTCTCTTGAACTTCCCTGTGTGTAAAGGCTTCCTGGTGTAACCACACCACCACTAGATGTGGGATGGTGTGAGTCATTTGCACTTATAATGCCTGGGAGCTGGGTGGCCAGGTCTCTGAGCATAGGCAATTCAACATTTTTACTCCAGGAATGGCAACCTCTGGTAAGTTGACCTCGAAATGTGGGGTGGGAATCAAACCTGCGGCCCTTCAGAGACTCTAGGCTGTGGGAAGTGGCTCTCACAGCTGCCCTCCTACCCTGCTCTCCTTGGCCTTTCTCCATAGCAGACTCACTTCCCCAACTTCAGGGATGAGATCCCTGGTAGTTAAATCTTTGGTTATCTGATCCTTCCTCACTCTGCCATTCCTTCTTAATTCCTCTTAAAAGCTTGATGTCCATCTTACTAGCGGTTTACTATTGTACTCTCCCAAGTGTTAGTCCCAAGCAATGACCCACAGAGCAGAGAGAGAGTCTTACTTACATTTTATAGCCAGTACTTACCTTGACATATAGTGAACACTCCATGATTGTTAAAAGAAGGAAGAAAAAAAAAAAAAAGGAAGGCAGGAGTGGAGGAGAAAGAGAAATTTATTTTTGTTTCTTTGGCTCTCTTCCATGTCTGACTGACACAGTGTTTTTCTCTTGCCTCCTTGCCCTTTCTCATTCCATTTTCAATACCACTAATCTTTACCATATTTTTCTTTTCTCTCTCTGTATCTCCATTTTTCTTTTTATTCTCAGTGTTTACTTCAACTCCATTTGTTTGAAGCTGCTTCTTTCTGTGCAATAAACCCTTGCTATGTCTCACCCTATTACCTTAAAACAAATTGTTTTTAAGCTATAAGAAGCAGACCACATGGAAAATATCATTTGACCAACCACAGGGGCAGGGCCCACAGCAACTCAATAGGTTGAAGAAACTAGTTCTTTCCTAACCTTGTTCTTTTGAATCTAATTGGCCATATAGGTTTTGTCCTAACCCAATTTCTCTTTAGGCTTCTCTCTAGTCACCCTAAAGCTTTTCCAACTACCATCAACAAAGAAACTAACATTTTAGGGTACCAGATCCTTACCCACTGTGGGCACTAACTAGCTGGTCCCTATAAATAATTGGTCATCCAAGTTTGGCCCACTATTTGATGCCAGTCTCATTAGTTATCCTAAAGCTCTTCCAATTACCATCAACAAAGGGACCAACATTTTCCGGTACCCTGTTCCTCATTCAATGTGGACATAACCAGGCTTATCCCTATGGATAAAAATTTATCAAGTTTTGTCTTATCAAATATTTTGTAAGACAATGAAGAGTGCCAGTTTCCCCAATTCAACAGTAACCTTAAAACATTTCCAGTTATCATCCACAAAGGAACTAACATTTTCTAGCTCATCCCTATTAACTAAGATTGGTTACTGAGGTTTTGTACTGCCACAATTTCATTCCACATACCTCAGTAGTCTCTTTTACACTCCTGCAATTAACAGTAATAGGTGAGCCAACATTTTCTAGGGTCCAGTCCTCAATAATGTGGGCCCCACCTGGCTCTCTGGATTCAAGTATGCCATTTTAAGGCAACCTCAGGCACAGTTCTTAGTCCAGTTAAGATCCTAGTTCTCTACAAGGACTTCCTGCCCAACACCATGGCTTCATTATATTCCTTATATTCCTATTCATGCTCAGAAATCAACCCACCAATGTTGACACTTGTCAGTCCAGTGTTTCTGGACCTAGTTTGGATGATTCCAATCTTCTGGGCATCCTCCCAATTGTCCCAGAGGTGATACTCAATAAGGGGTAAAACTAGGACCCTTGTTAGGTACCCATCATCTGGCAGTTTCTCTTTCTCTTTGTTACCCCATTGTTTTCTTATCTCACTGCTTTCTTAGCTCATTGTTTTTGACACTCTTGTAACTTTCCCTCCCTTTGCCTTCATAGGTTTCAGAAGTGACACCAGAGAATCTTTCCCATTACAGTGAAAAGAATGCCAGTTTCTCTAATTCAACAGAACAGTTCCTGATGTTCTGATCCCAGACTTAGAAGGAAGTAGCCATCTCTCCACAAATTAGTCTGGGACTACTTCATGCTTTAGCTGTTTCTTATGGTTCTCTAACAGCCATATGTCTTATTCTATCCTTCTCCACCATCCCCTTTGTCTTCTGTTTATCATGAGTAAAGGCAAAATTCAGACACTTCATCTATCTTTCCTGGCCCAGCCTACTGCTGCTGAGTCCACAATTATCCTATGGCCCTTCCTTTCCACAAAGCTATCTCAGATGCCTGGGAAGCTCTGCCTTCTTAAAGGGGAGAGGGGGACCCTAAGATTCTGGAGCACCAGCCCGCATGTCCTAAGGCTGGCAACACTTTTCCTCCTGGGGAGAGGGGAGCTCCTTAACCACATTATGTGTGCTGTCTCTCTCTCTCGCTCTCTTTTTTTTTTTTTTTTTTTTTTTTTAATGTCTCAATACCCAGCTCAGGCCTCAGAATTTTTCTTCCCTGCTTAGAGAAGAGACACCTAGTGCTATGGTTTACATCTGTGTCTCCACCCAAATCTCAGTTGAAATGTAATCCCTAATGTTAGAAGTGAGGCCTGGTGGGAGGTGACTGGATCATGGGGGTGGATCCTTCATGAATGGGTGAGCACCATCCCTTTGGTGCTGTTCTCATGAAAGAGTTCTCATAAGATCTGGTTGTTTAAAAATATGTGGCACCTTTCCCCTCTCTCTCTTCCTGCTGCTCCAGCCGTGTAAGATGTGCCAGCTTCCCCTTTGCCTTCTGCCATGATTATAAGTTTCCTGAGGCCTCCTCCATAGCAGAAGTTGCTATGCTTCCTGTACAGCCTGCAGAACCATGAGCCAAATAAACCTCTTTTCTTTATAAATTACCCACTCTTGGGTATTTCTTTATAGCAATGCAAAAATGGACAAATAAATACCTAGGAATCTCAGATCTCACAGGTAACGTTCTTCTACGTCAGTCAGAGCTAAAGCAGCTTGGGTATGGAACTGACCATTAATATACCTACACCCAGATGGTGAAGTGAATTGAGATTAGAGTATTTTGAAATGAATTCCATGAATCTCCTTCCTCTGGAACAGTTTTAATTGCAGTCTGTGGGTCTTGGCCAGCCACACTCCATCTAGTTCCAACCACCTTCATCAGCCCAAACCTTATAACATTTCTTAGTTGGATATGCTGCTCCCTTATAAACTGTTGATTAAAAAGAAATCAATCTCTGCCTCTTCTGTTGTTCCAATAGGAAAGATGGGAAGGACACTCACTAGAGGTATTGAGACCTGAGATACTTCCATTCCAAAGCCTGTAGTGTCAAGTGCAGTCCCGGAAGATGATTATAGGATAGGCTTACAGTACCCTCTGAGATGACTCTCTCCTGGAAAAGTTGGTTTTCCACACATGGGTCAGTTTTCAGTTTCCAGGGTGAAGCACTTTTCTGGCTGCGAGGTTCCAGCAGAACCCACAGCTCTGTATCCACCTCTACACTCGCATGGCTGGGGCAATTCTTGACAGGTTCCACAGCAGTGGTCCTCATCTAAGCTCCCTCAGAGAGTGTGTTCAGGCTCTTCCTGATTGGTGTTAGGGACCAGACATCTTTTAAATTTTCCTTTAAGCTCTCCTTTTGCTGTTCTCTGAGCCAGTAAATTAAAAAATTTAAAAGATGACTGGTCTCCAGATTATCCTTGCCTCTATGGAACTCTCCTATCCCCAGAGATATGCTCCAGATTCCATAGGATACAGCTCAAGAAAACAATTATGGAATACTAGAGTCTACAGTGGCCTCCAAGGTGTGAGAATTTGGAGGTCATTCAGCCAATCACCAACTCTACTCAGTTCTACCCTCTTGGTCTATTTACTTTTCCATCCCTCTTTTTTTTCATCTTGGGTGTAGAATCCCATAGGCAATCACCCAAAATGAGTGGTTCCTTTGAACGCATACATTTTTTATTCAAAGTTATTCTTCATTATGCTGTGTAATTTTGTAATAGTGTGAAAAGAAGGTTCTTATATAGTATTAAATGAAAAAACCCAATATTATATTCACCCTATCATCATGTCTGTATAAAAATGTGGATGCTGTTGGAGCAGATCTAGAAAGAAATACAAAACTGAACCAGGTGATATGTTAGGAAAGTGGGTTTGTGAGTGATTGTATAATAGTACAAACTGATTACGCTTTTCTTTTTTGATTATGATTTCTTTTCTTTTCTTTTCTTTTTCTTTTTCCTTTTCTTTTCAAGACAGGGCCTTGCTTTGTTGTCCAGGTTAGAATGCAGTGTCATGATTATAGCTCACTGCCGCCTTGAACTCCTGGGCTTAAGTGATCCTCCCGCCTCAGCCTCCTGAGTAGCTAGAACTATAAGCATGTACCACCTGGCTAATTCTTTAATTTTTTTCTAGAGACAGGGTCTTGCTTTGTTGCCCAGGCTGGTATTGAAATCCTGAACTCAAGTGATCCTCCTGTCTCAGTCCCCCAAAGTGCTGGGATTAAAGACGTGAGCCACCAATCCTGGCCTGCTACAAAATCATATACAGCATAATCAGAAAATAAAATGGAAATAAGGGGAGAAGAAATTGGAACAAAAGGAGAAGGAGGTTGGAACTGTTGGCTAAGGTCTTGTAATTACTGCAGCTCTACAGATCCAGTGAACGACGGTAGAGCCACGAAGTAGAAAGAGCACAGGACCTGGCATCAGAAGGTAGGAATCTGAGCCCCAGCTAAGTGAGAAACAAGAAGGCAGCTCCTGACAGCTGTCAGCTGGGAGCTGGCCTGGCATGGGGTACTCTTGTTGAATGTAAACAATTTCACACAACACCAATATCTGATAAGGTCATTGTGTGTCCACAACAATGGGAGACAAAGGACCACACTTATAATCATGCCTGGGTGCTGACAAAAATAGAACATTGTACAAAATGCAAAAATACTAAACATCCCCTCACCTGGCTCACATGAGTGATCACTGCTTCTCTACCCATTACAGTATTAGCCCTGGCCTGCTAAATAAGAATTATCCAGATATCCAAGTATAGAATTGCTCCCATTATGTGAGAGCACCCAGTCCAGAAAAAACAAAACACAATGTGCTTCATCAATACAAGCCCAAATCACAAAATAAGCACTTGCTAAGAAAGTTTTATAAAAGGTCCCATGGCTTTCCATTCTTACAAGTATGTCATTAAACCCAGTTTTCTTCAGTTACAGGTGTGTTCTTGGCCATCTTTGGCTGCATTTTGCTTGCTGTAGGTTCTTTTTTCTTTTTCTTTTTTTTAGACAGAGTCACTTTGTTGCCTAGGCTGGAGTGCAATGGCGTGATCATGGTTCACTGCAGCCTTGACCTCCTGGGCTCAAGCAATCATCCTCAGCCCCCTGAGTAGCTGGGACTATAGGCATGTGCCACCACACCCAGCTAATTTTTAAATTTTTTGCAGAAGTGGGGTCTCACTTTGTTGCCCAGGCTTGTCTTGAAATTCTTGCTTCAAGCTCTCCTCCTTCCTTGGCCTCTCAAAGTGGTGGGATTACAGAAGTGAGCCACTTCAGCTGGCCTGCGCTGGGTTCTTGAGCAAAGCATTCAAACTTGCCATTCTTTGCTTTGATCTAGTCAGTGGAAAAGAAGATAATCTCTGGAAGAGAAAATAAGAAATTGCATGTGTAGTACACTGTACACCCTACAATGTTACCTACCCTTTACTTCCAGTTCTCTGAAAGCATAATGTTCTCTCAATTGCCTGGCTCTGCACATGCTGCCACTGCTCCCTCTGCTTGGAAAAACATTCCCTCAGCTGCCTATAAAACTGCTACTCATACTTTGGCTGTAGGTGCTGGGAATATTAGTGTATTAATTTCCTATTGCTATTGTAACAAGTTGCTACAAATTTAGTGCCTTAAAGTAACACAAATTTACTATCTTACAATCGTGGAGGTCAGAAGTCTGAAATGAGTTTCAATGGGCTAAAATGAAGGTGTTAATAGGGCTGTATGCCTTCTGGAGGCCCTAGGGGAGATCCATTCCCTTCCTATTCTAGCTTCTGGAGGTTGCCCGCATTCCTTGGCTTGTTGCCCCTTTATTTTCCAAGCCAGCAGCAGCCAGTTTAATCTTTCTCACATGTTGCTGAGGGTGCTATTTTTTTTTTACTGGGTGGCCATATAAGTCCTCTCTGATTGGGTGGTATGTGAACCAGGACCTGAGTGAAGTGAGGAAAGAGAGCTGCATGCATATCTTGGGAGGAAAGGTTTCTGGCATGGAGGATGGGGAGAGCTGCAGGAGCCACGTCAGGCAAGTAGCTGAGTAGGCCACATGCAAGCATGCTACTTATTTCTGAGTGCTTACCAGCAAGCCGACTGGAGGTTAATTTCTCAGGATCAGTTTCCTTGGTGCACTCTCCTAGCAAAGCAAAGCTTCACACTTCTCTGGAATCTATTCCACCAACCCCCAGCCAGGCTGTAAACCCCCAGAAGTGGGACTGTTTTGTTTACTGTTGCATTTCAAAAGGTCAGCATGGTGCCTAGGCTCTCCATACATGTCTGTTGTACAAATGGGAGACTATACTGATTCAATTTAGTGTAACCAGGCTTGAGGCAGAAATGGAACTGCTCTGGATGGGTTTGGATTTGAAATAGGCATGTGCCTCCTGATGTCTGTGAGACAGGTGGGAAGGGCTCCCTGGCAAAACTCCAGTTGCCTGTGCACAGGAAGGAGTGCACACTGGGGTGGAACACAGAAGTTCATGCCCTTTGCAGCAAGAGGAGGAGCCTGGCCCCTCCTCTTCCTGGGTAGAACCTGGAATTCAAACTGTGAGGCCGGAAGTGCACCAGCAGGGACTGGCTTTGCAGGGGGTCCCTGTTTACCTTTTTTTCCCTTTTCACCCAGTAAAACTCTGCTTTACTCACCTTTCAGATTGTCTGCGAGTCTAAATTTTCATGGCCATGTGACAAAGACCCTGTCTTTAGCTGAACTAAGGAGAAGTCCCGCAACATTTGGAGGATCAACTTTGATCTGTCTGGATGAGGAGAAGGGCCCTAGGACTTAGGTAGAAGACAGTGGGTGGGCCTGAGGGGTGCTGTGGCCAGAAGCCGTGCTAAGGAACTGCCAGTCTCACTGGTGCCTGAGGTGGTAGCACAATAGCAGCAACATTGGTTAAGAGAGGAGCAGGAATGGCTGCAGCCACAAAAATGGCAGCCACCTCGTGGTGGGGAGGCAGCCCTGTTAGCCATGGTGGCAGGGCTGGCAGCCAGAGGCACCATCCCAGACTCCATTCCAAAAACATAAGAGATGGTCACAGATAAAGAGGGCTGAGGCGACAAGTGGTGAGAGTCCCCCATTATGGAACAGAAGAGCCAATGGGTAGACTCCTGCATTCAGGCTGGTGGGGGTCAGCAAAAAGCTATAGACTTTGTCATTTTGTCTTAATTGCACCTTGAGATTACTGGTGGTGAGAAAGAACTCATTACATGAATAAGATATGTCACAACCAGACTCAACAATGGGATCCTCCCTGTGACAGCCTACAAATTCCCCAGGCTTCATTGCTGGGAGAGGTCACTTGGTGAAAGCATATCTTATTATTCTAGTCTCTGCCCCCCACAACCCCTTCCCTCCCTCCTGTCCTTCCTTCTTTCCTTCCTTTTTTTCTTTCCCTCTTTCACTCAACCCACTGGCATGCTGAAGCTGGCTCTCGCAGCTGGCAAGAGCCGACTGTGCACATCTTTCTCCAACCCTATGCTCAGGGATGTCATATTGGTAGCTGGAAATTGGCTACCAATTGGTAGAGCTGTAAGGGGGAAAATGCAGTATTAGTATGGCCCCAGAACCAGGTTACCTCCATTTGAATCCTGGTTTTGCCACTGCTAGCTTTGGTATGTCAGTGAAGTTGCTTAATCCTTCTGTGCCTCAACTTCTTCAGCAGTTTAGTAGGGATAATAATAATATCTGTTTTGGGGCAAGTTTTGGTGAGTAAATGAGTTAATATGTGTAAAGTGCTTGGAATAGGGCATGGCACGTAGAAAGCACAGATACTGTTCCAGGTGCTGTGAGAGCTAGTGTTTGCTAGCGGTCATTTCATATTTTCACCTTATAATGAATACATTTCAGAATTTCAGCTGCTGGAAGCCTACTCCCAACAATGGTTGGAGATGACGGGCTCTGCTTGTATATGTGAATTCCTGGTCCCTGTACACAACATATGTGCCTCTTGTCCCTTCTTGACACATTTCTTTCCCCAACATTGAGGAAGATGCATGGCATGGGCATTTTTTGAGCCCTGCCACTGGTCGGCACATCCTGTAATTGCCCTGGCACCCCTGAGGCACCCTTGGCCTTCAGAGCTCTTAGAATGGGGCAGATGGCTGCCAACATCTGTACGAATATCTGCTGAACATTTGCTTCCTGCTTTCCATACAACAGGCTAAGATATACTTAGAATGATCTTCTTTTAAAAGAAGGGAGCCTGTACTCTGTTTAGAAGGGTAAGTCCAATATCCAGGTCAGCCTTGTTTTATTGTGGAACCCAAATTATTTTATTATGAAATTATAGGGAGTAAATGGTATACAGGAAAAAGCACTGAACTAAAAGTCAGCTTAATCCTGAAAGTTTAATTCTTGAGTCTTGGTTCTGTCATTCCTTGTGTATTTGACCAGAATTTGACCAGAATGTAAGTATTTGGTAGTTGAATTAACCCAGATTATCTTAAAGGGCTCTTTCCCTTAGGACATGTTTTTAGGAAAATCACATAAGTGGAATATTCTCGTTCCTTCAGTCAGACTCATTTAAATTCAGGATGCAAAACAATTTACAACAAAAATAAGAAATATTTCTTGTAAGGAAGCCTTAGATGGTAGCCCATTATTTATGCAGCCAGTGAGTTATGAAGATTTGAAGCTATCGTGGAGTGATAAAGGTTAGTCTCTTAGTCCCTGAGTCTGGAGGGAAGGGACACACTTGCTGGGAGTATTGGGTTTGATCGTTCCGGGCAAAGCCTAGTGACAGTGGTCAGAAGATCATTTGATAAAAGAGGAATTGAGCTGAAACGTCTCTCCCTTGAAGAAATTCTGGTACAGAATAGGTGCAAAAACCTGATCTTTAAACATTCAAATTATACAGTCAGTGGGTCCCAATTGGGGGACAGTTCTTACAGAGACATTGATTGTGACCCATGGTCCGGAGCCCTTGGAAGCTTAAAAGAGGCAGTGGGCAATATTCTGTGAGCTTTCTCTTTCGTTAATGCAAACAATTTCCTTCTCAGCTTTTTCTTCTTTCACTTCTGGAGTCCAAGTCATTATGTCTGTATTGTTTCTCCTTTCCGTCCACTTTTTCCTTCCCTCTCCTCTCTATCCCCTCTCTGCCTGCAGTTACTCATTATTGTTAATATGGTGCTAGTTTCTTTGAGTTATTTGGTGACCTGAGTTAGTAACAGTTGGCCTTTGTACAATTAGCATCTTTGTTAGTTTGCTAGAGCTGCTGTACCAAAATGCCTCAGGCTGGGTGGCTTAAACAACAGAAATTTATTGCCTTACAGCTCTGGAGGTCAGAAGTCCAGGGTCAAGTGTAGGCAGGGTTGGTTCCTTTTGAGGGCTGTGGGGAAGAATCTGTTCCATGCTGCTCCTCTAGTTTCTGGTGCTTTGCTGGAACTTTTCAGCATTCCTGGTCTTGTGGATGCATCACCTCAATCTCTGCCTTCATCTGCACATGGCATTCTCTCTGTGTGCATGTTTATCTCTGTGTTCAAATTTCCCCTTTTTATGAGGACACAGTGATATTGGATAAGGGCCCACCCCAATGATCTAATTTTAACTTAATTACCTCTGTAAAGATCACATTTTCAAATAAAGTCACATTTTGTGGTACTGGGGAGGGATGAAGACTTCAACATATCTTTCTGCAGGGAGACACAATTCAACCCATAACAGCATCTAAGGGAATATCTGTGCAGCAAATAGATGTCTAAATTGTTCAATAAAGTAACTACAAATGTTACTGAGCATTTCCTATGGGCTGTGTAAATGTATGAGATATATATGTTATCTCATTTACTTGTTAAAAAAATGAGATAGATACTACTGTGAACTTCGTTTTACAGTTGAAGGGTGTGAGGCCTTGAATAAGTGATTTGCCCAAGGCAACACATGTGTTACCTACCAATACCATGTTTCAAGCTTAGAACTGTCTAATTCCAGCATCTGAACTTGTAGGCACATGCATAGTGCTTCCAGAATAGACCACTGAGCCTGTCAAAGAAAAATGTCCCATGCTCCTTACTTAATTTTTAAAAAGTAAAATCTATTTTTCCCTTTCTCCATTTCTGCTAGTAAAGTTGAGACCTGCTTTCCCCTCTATTATTTTGTTTATTAAGGTGTTCTTTTTTTTTTCTTTTTTTTTTTTTGAGACAGAGTCTCGTTCTTGTCACCCAGGCTGGAGTGCAGTGGTGTGATCTCGGCTCACTGCAACCTCCACCTCCCAGGTTCAAGTGATTCTCTTGCTGCAGCCTCCTGACTAGCTGGGATTACAGGCGTGCAGCACCACACCTGGCTAATTTTGTATTTTTAGTAGAGATGGGGTTTCGCCGTGTTGGCCAGGCTGGTCTCGAACTCTTGACCTCAGGTGATCCCCTCCTAGGCCTCCCAAAGTGCTGGGATTACAGGCTTGAGCCACTGCACCCATCCTAAGGTATTCTTTTGATGGATTTTGGTAACTGTACAAAATCATGTAGCCACCACCATAACCTAGACACAGAAGAGGTTCCTTATCCTAAAAAGTTTCCTCCTGGCCCTTTACAATTGAAGCTTGCCCACCACTACCCCTAGACCCAGACTACCAATCAGTGTTTTGTCTTTATAGTTTCCTACAAACTGTTTTGCTTTATAATGATAAAGTCCTAAAAAGAGCAAGTCTTTGTTAGTAACCAAAAGAGTCTGAGAAAGAGATGAAGAAGAAGTCTTCTCTTACAGTTCCAATGGGAGGAATAACTTTCGTGCATTAAAACTCGTTAAAATAATCTGATACGATAAGAGTTAATTTGCTAATATTCACGATATTATTAATTTTTCTTTTCTAATGTAAAATGGAGACTTGTAAGAACAGTCGTTATTGCTCATTTTTCTAACCTTAGTGCTTAAACACAATGTCAACACAGGACAGACGCTCAATAATTATTAATTCCATTAATGAATGAATGGGAATTAATGTTGAAGATCTTCCTATCTTTAAAGGAGCCAGATAGGAATCACTAGATTCTCTAAGGCTTTTTCTCTTTTTTGCCCCTGAAGAACTGGGAGTTTATAAGGAGTAAGAAAGTTCAGTTTATCATGCAAGTCATTTGCCTGGAAATTGAAAATACATACTTTGTTTTACATCAGAGGCTCTTAAACTTTTTTGGTCTCAGGACCAATTTATGCTCTTTTTTTTAAAAAAAAATATTTTAAGTTCTAGGATACATGTGCAGGACATGCAGTTTTGTTATGTAGGTAAACATGTGTCATGGTGGTTTGCCGCACCTATCAACCCATCACCTAGGTATTAAGCCCCGCATGCATTAGTTATTTATCCTGATGCTCTCCCTCCCCTTATCCCTCCAACAGGCCCCAGTGTGTGTTGTTCCCCTCCCTGTGTCCATGTGTTCTCATTGTTCAGCTCCCATTTATAAATGAGAACATGTGGTGTTTGGTTTTCCATTCCTTTGTTTAGTCTGCTTCCAGCTCCATCCATGTCCCTGTGAAGGACGTGATCTCATTCCTTTTTATGGGTGCATAGTATTCTATGGTGTATATGTACCATATTTTCTTTATCCAGTCTATCATTGATGGGCATTTGTGTTGATTCCATGTCTTTGCTATTGTGAATTGTGCTGCAATGAACATACATGTGCATTTATCTTCACACTCTTAAAAGTAATTGAGAGCTCCAAAGACATTTTGTTTATGTGGGTTACATCCAGCAATATTTACTCTCTTAGAAATTAAATGAGTAGTTATAAAACTGTTTAGCTGTTAATTCACTTTAAAAAGCAATAAAGCCATTACATGTTAACATAAATAATAGTTTTTCATTAAAAATAATGATTTTCCCAAATAAAAATAAATTTACCAACAAGGGAGTTATTGTTATACATTTTTACAAATCATGAGGTATTAGAAAACAGATTCTCACCTCTTCTGAATTCAGTTTATTGTGATGTGTTGTTTTGGTTCAAATATATGAAGAAAATGCAACCTAACAGAAATATGGAGGTGGAGGAGGCTGAGGCAGGACAATCCCGGGAGGGAGGAGAACCCGGGAGGGAGGAGAACCCGGGAGGTGGAGGCTGCAGCAAGCTAAGATCACACCACTGCACTCTAGCCTGGGCGACAGAGCGAGACTTAGTCTCGAAAACAGAAAAGAAATATGGAGGTGAAAAAATGAGGGTTATTTTAGTGGCCTTTTCAATTAATTGTGGGTATTCTTTTTTGATACTATATCAAAACTTGGCAAAGCTTGGTAGTTTCTTAAATGTTGGTTGTGATGTAGAATTTGAAATCGTATCATTGGCCTTTTCCTACTCTGTTACTTTAAAATTAATTGGTCTATTTTGCAGTTTGAATTGACGTTTTAACATCATGCATTGGTCATTTGGAAAATATTGGTTTGCTGAGTTATACAGATCATCTAAATGTGGCACAGTTCATTTTACAACATAAGAAAATTATATTTGTTAGGCAGGCCACGGGTGGCTCACGCCTGTAATCCCGGCACTTTGGGAGGCTGAGGTGGGTGGATCACAAGATCAGGAGATCGAGACCATCCTGGCTAACACGGTGAAACCCCGTCTCTACTAAAAATACAAAAAAAAAAAAAATTACCCGGGCGTGGTGGCGGGCGCCTGTAGTCCCAGCTACTCGGGAGGCTGAGGCAGGAGAACTACGTGAACCCGGGAGGCAGAGCTTGCAGTGAGCTGAGATCGCACCACTGCACTCCAGCCTGGGTGACAGAGCGAGACTCCGTCTCAAAAAAAAAAAAAAAAGAAAATTACATTTGTTAATATCAGCACTGATCTCATCAGAGAAGCCTTTGAGTATTGGGAAACTTTTCAAGTTCCTGGTAGCAGTTACAAGTTCTAAAAAATTCTAATTTCAACTTTAAATTTTGAATTGTATGATTAGGAACAAACACTGTCAGTTGTTTTCCTTGAAGTGATGGGCTCACTTAGTTCATTTTTGAGAGAATGTCTACCAAATACCCAAATCTAAATGGCCTAGTTTATCTGTCAGCTATTCTTTCAAGTAAAAATAGTATTCCATGGGAAAAGCAGTTCAGCTTGCAAAGCAAACAATCGCACAAGTACTTTTCCTCGAGATAACTATCAAAGTTGGATATGAAGCTGAAGGCTTCCATGTGTAGTTCTCATTTCATCCCACAGAATATTAAAAATACATGGACTAAACGGGTGAGATACAATAAAATGTGATAGTTTTTACTGCTTCATCAAAGACATTTGTAAGTGAAACTGGCTCCTAGGCCTCATGCCTCACTCCCTGCTAGTGCATGCTGGTGAAGAGTGCAGCAGCTACTGGCATAGTTTGCTCCTACACTGATTTATGCCAAGCCACCAATAGTTTCATCCACCATTGCTGTTACACCACCAGTGCAAATGTCAACACAATTAAAAATGCAAATAATGTTTTAGTGTTATTGTGGACATAGTTTTGACCTCACAAAATTTCTGAAAGGGTCTTGGGGCCTCCTAGGAATCTGAAAACCACATTTTAAGAACTACTCATCCAATGGAAACAGCAAAAACCAGAGTGAGCCTCTAATCAAACAATATGTTCTCAAGCCAGTAACACACGTGATATATGCACCTGTTTACTTGTACAAGATAATGTCATAGGTGATGGGCTACAGCATTATATAAAGAAGACATATTAAAATTCTCAGAAAACAGAGAAGAGTCACCTTATAACCATAAAAAATGTGATCAATTGAAGAAGAATTTTCAAAGGAAAAACAAGAACTTCTTACTTTATCAGTGGTTCTTAAAACCCTCAGCAATAAAAATTCAGGTTACAAGTAACAATGATATGTTTCAAGAGTCAGGCCGGGCGTGGTGGCTTACGCCTGTAATCCCAGCACTTCGGGAGGCCGAGGTGGGTGGATCACCTGAGAGGTCAGGAGTTCATGACCAGCCTGGCCAACATGGTGAAACCCCGTCTCTACTAAAAATACAAATTAGCCAGGCATGGTCGTGGGCACCTGTAATCCCAGCTACTCAAGAGGCTGAGGCAGGAGAATTGCTTGAACCTGGGAGGTGGAGGTTGCAGTGAGCCGAGATCATGCCACTGCACTCCAGCCTGGGCAACAAGAGTGAAATTCCATCTCAAAAATAAATAAATAAATAAATAAATTAAATAAAAATAAAGAGTCTTATATAGTGAAAGATTGAGGAGTTGCCATTCTTCATGAGGATCTTTCAGAACTCAACTTCAGCTTGAATTTTCTCAGGTCCAGGCTATTGTCAATCAGAAGTCAATCTGATATTTGATTATATACAAACATAGCATAGATATAAGTTACATGACATAAAAATAAAATAAACACTGATAAACCCACCATCTAGTTTAGAGCTGGAACTTGGGCAGTGCCCCTTAACCCATCCATATTCTTCTCTCCCGTTCTGTCCCTCTGCCTTCCCCACCAGAGGGAGACATTATCCTAAATTTTGGATTATTATCCTTTTGCTTTAAAAAAATAGTTATATCACGTATATATTGGTCATTAAATCATATTTCATTGGCTTTTGTGATTTATAAATGGTTTTTGTACTGTATGTAGTTTTGTAAAACATGTTTTTTCAATTCACTGTATATTTCTATGATTTATCCATGTTGTTGCGTATAGCTGTGATCCACTCATTTGCATTGCTGTACAGTATTTCATTGTATGAATATACCACAATGTACTTATCTGTTCTCCTGTCAGTGGTCATTTGAGTGTTCCCAGTTCCTTGCTATCATAAACAACGGTGATGTAAAAATAATTGTACATGTCTCTTGGTACATATGTGTGAGAGTTTCTGTTGGGTATATAGAAGGGGTAGAATTGCTGGGTTGTAAGATACACACATACTTACCTGTACATGATAATCTCAAATTATCTTCTAAAGTTTTTGTACTAACTTTAGTTCCATGTAGGAATGTATAGGAGTACAGCGATTTCCACTGGTCGACTTCCTTCCCGATACTTGCTACTGTCATTTAATCTAGTTGGTGTAGAATGGTGTCTTGATGTGATTTCACTTTTTATTTTCTGGGGAAGGTTAAACGTCTTTCTACATGTATATTCGCCATTCTTGCTCCTCTTCCTTGAAATACCTATTCATATCTTTTGCACATCTTCCTATTTAACATTTTTCTTATTAATTTGTAGTTCTTTGTGCATTCTTGGTATTGATTATTTGTCTGATATCGTCATGTGTTGCTTAACAATGAGGGTATGTTCTGAGAGATGCATTGTTAGGTGATGTTGTATTTATATGAAGATCATAGAGTGTATTTACACAAACCTAGATGGCATAGCCTGACTATACTTATACCCAGGCTATGTGGTAAACTTTCTTCTTGGCTACAAATCTATACAGCATTTTACTGTACTGAATACTGTAGGCAATTGTAACACAATGCTAAGTATTTGTGTATCTAAGCATATCTAAATATAGAAAAAAAAATAAAGATAAAAGATAACAAATGGTACACCTGTGTAGGGCACTTAGCATGAATGGAGCTTGCAGGACTAGAAGTAGCTGTGGCTGAGTGAGTGAGTAAGTGAGTAGTGAATGAATGAGAAGGTCTAGGACATTACTGTATACTACTGTAGACTTTAGCAACACTGTACACTTAAACATTTTTGTTAAAAACTGAGACACAAACACACGCATTAGCCTAGGCCTACACAGGGTCAGGATCATTCCTATCACTGTTTTCCACCTCTATATCTTTTCCCACTGGAAGGTCTTCAGGAGCAACAATATGCATGGAGCTGTCATCTCTTATGATAACAATGCCTTCTTCTGTAATACCTCCTGAAGTCCCTGCTGGAGGCTCTTCTTGAGGAAGTGTTACTCTTTTCCAAAATATGTCTATGGTGGTTTGCTTGGTTTGTTTCTTTTATTCGTCATAGATTTGCTTGTAAGCAGATAATGCACCATGAACTTTCTTCTCTATTAATGAAAACCTTTTCGTTTGATGTCCATGTTTTCAGACTTTTTAAAGAGCTTATTGAGGTCTGCAAAAGCTCCTGCTAAGCCCTATACTGTGAGTTTTCTCTTTTTTTCTTTTTCTTTTTTTTTCTTCTACAGTTCCCTTTTCTCTTGGCTCTTCTTCAGCTATGTATTCCTAGGTGACAAGAATTTTTCAGCTTCATTATAATCATATAGCATCATTATCATATATGCGGTTCATCGTTGACCAAAAAGCCATTATGTGGTGCATGACTGTACATGTGTTGCTAATGTATTTTCCCAGTTTGTGGCTTGTTTGTTCACTTTTAAAGTTATCAATGTTTGGTTTTATGGACAGGACTATTTTTTTGTTATTGTTGACAGTCTTTATCCTGAGGTCATAATGTGTTCTCCTTTTAATCATCTGGCTGAGGTCTGCCATACAGAGTTGAACTGAAGCAATGGTTGAGGATATAGTAGCTGCTGTGTTATTATAGCTTGGGCTGCCATAACAAAACACCACAGACCGTGTGGCTTAAGCAACAGAAGGGTTTTTTTTGTTATTGTTGTTTGTTTGTTTTTGAGATGGAGTTTCTCTCTTGATGCCCAGGCTAGAGTGCAGTGGCATGATCTTGACTCACTGCAACCTCCACCTTCCAGGTTCAAGCAATTCTCCTGCCTCAGCCTCCTGAGTAGCTGAGACTACAGGCACACACCACCACACCTGGCTGATTTTTATATATTTAGCAGAGATGGGGTTTCACCATGTTGGCCAGGCTGGTCTTGAACTCCTGACCTCAGGTGATCCACCCGTCTTGGCCTCCCAGAGTGTTGGGATTACAGGTGTGAGCCACCATGCCTGGCCCAGAAATTTATTTTCTAACACATCTGTAGGCTACAAGTCTCAATTTGAGGTGCTGGCAAATTCAGTTTCTTGTAAGGATTCTCTTCCTTACTTGCAGACAGCCACCTTCTTGCTGTGTCCTTATCTGGCCTCTTCTTAGTGTGCACAGAGGGAGAGTGAACTCTGGGGTTTCTTCCTATTCTTAGAAGGATGTCAGTTTTATAGGATTAAGGCCCCACTCTATGACCTCACTAATCTTTATTACCTTCTTATAGGTCCTATCTCTGAATACAATCACATTGGGAGTTAGGGCTTCAAAATGTGAGTTTGTGGCAGGGGTCGGGGGCGGGAGGGGTGTAAACAATTCAGTCCATAACAGATTCTATCTTTATTTGTTCTTTGAAGAGAATCCTTTTATCACTAAGAATTAAGTTTGTGCTTGATATCTTTTATCAATGCGAGCAAGTTCTCTTTCCTAGTTTATTTTAGGAATAAGTCATGTCTGCATGTTTAATTTTGTCAAATGCTTTTTCTGCATCTATTTAAATGAGTATATGTAAGTTTTCTCTCCTTTAATCTGTGAACATGAAAAATACATTTGTAGATTTTCTAGGGTTAAACTACCCCTGAATTTCTGTTATAAACCAAACTTGGTCAAGATATGTCATTGTTTTTGTGCCCTACTGGATGTGTTGTGTCAATATTTTGTTTAGGAGTTTTTCATTTATGTTTATAAGTGAGATTGGCTTGTAATACTTCTTTCTCATATTGTACTTGTCTTTTTTCATGTTGAGTTTTTACTTACCTGATAGAATACATTAGGGGAGTATGCTCTCTTTTTTTCTTTTCTGGAAGAGGCCTTATGGTACAGTGATAAGGAGCATGAATTCCTAAGGTGCAAGAATGTGTGCTGATGGGTCATATAGCTGTAATTCCAAGGTACGGTGAGAGTAACTTGGGGTGAGGCCAGTGGGCTTATGTTACCCAAACTTAAATTCTTTTACAGAAATACCTGTATGATGATGTCATCAAGTTAAAAGCTAGAAAAAATAATGTGTTCTTAAGCCCTTAAATAGTCAAGTTCTATTCACTGTTGAAGGATACTACTGGCTACGATCCCAATGGCCTAAATTTTCTCAATATTTCCATTTTTATCACGAATGTGGACTATTATAAACCTTAGAAATGTCACTGTAAAAATGTAAACATGATCTAGTATCCATATAAAATGGCTATAGAATGTAAAAATACTTACTCTAATAACTGGATGCCCACAGAATACCCTCACTCCTCAGGAGGCCAGATGGGAAATAAAGGAGAATTTTCAGAAATGCAAATTCAAGAAAAAACCTCACAGATATTTAACTTCACTTGCATGAGATTTCCCTTGTGTTACCCTGTGTTTCTCTGGCTGTCTAAGAGAAACCAAAATTGTGTTTGTTGGCAAGATTGTCCTGAGCTTTAGGACTAAGTAGATGTTGGGGGTAGTATTGTAAGTTGCTTTACTAGTGTTTCCGGGCTTCACTTTCACTGTGTCTCTTGCTCCTTTACTTTAGAGGGTGACAAATGCAACAAGGGGAAACTTTACTCTCTGTTGTCAGGAACAGATGTTGGAGTATTCAGAGCTGTAATTGGCTATGTTTTTTTTTCTCCCCAGATTTCTTCCATCTTATAATTTTGAATGAAGCTCAAAGGGAAGCTGCACTATAAAGCTAAAACTTTGAAACTCAAAGATTCCAAAGGGAGATGTTTCAGACTTGTGTATATTTTTACACTTAAAAACCCCATGCTGGGCATGGTGGCTCACACTTGTAATCCCAGCACTTTGGGAGGCTGAGGCAGGTGGATCACGAGGTCAGGAGTTCGAGACCAGCCTGACCAACATGGTGAAACCCTGTCTCAACTAAAAAATACAAAAATTAGCCAGGCATGGTGGCATGTGCCTGCCTGTAGTCCCAGCTACTCGAGGGCTGAGGCAGAAGAATCACTTGAACCTGGGAGGCAGAGGTTGCAGTGAGCCGAGATCGCTCCACTGCACTCCAACCTGGGCAACAGAGCGAGACTCCATCTCAAAAGAAAAAAAAAAAAAAAAAAAAACCCAAATAACAGGACTCTTGCCATGTTCTCAAACTCAGAGATTCTTTCCTCAGTTGTGCCTAATCTACAAATGAACCCATATAAGGCATTCTTTCTTTCCATTACAGTGTTTTTGATCTCTAACAATTTTTAAATTTTTTCTTAAAATTTCTGTCTCTCTGCCTTCATTACCTAGCTGTTCTTACATGTTGCCTTCTTTTCCATTAGAACTCTTTGCTTATTAATACAGTTGTTTAATTTTTATTTATCTATTTTTTTGAGATGGAGTTTCATTCTTGTTGTCCAAGCTGGAGTGCAATGGTGCTGTCTCAGCTCACTGCAACCTCTGCCTCCCGGGTTCAAGTGATTCTCCTGCCTCAGCCTCCCGAGTAGCTGGGATTACAGGTGCCTGCCACCATGCCCAGCTAATTTTTTTTTTTTTTTTGCATTTTTAGTAGAGACGGGGTTTAACCATGTTGGCCAGGCTAGTCTCAAACTCCTGGCTTCGGGTGATCCACCTGCCTCAGCCTCCCAAAATGCTGGGATTACAGGTGTGAACCACCACACCCAGCCAATCACAGTTGCTTTAAATTCACAGTCTGATAATTCCAATATCCCTGCCACATGTGAGTCTGCTTTAGATGCTTGCTCTCTCTTCAAACTGTGTTTTTTGCCTTTTAGTATGCCTTGTAATTTTTTTTTGAAAGCCAGACATGATGGACTGGGTGAAAGTAGCTCTGGTAAATAGTCCTTTAGTGATGTGGTGATAAGGTGTGGGGAAAAAGGAGGCATTCTGTAGTTCTATGATTGGGTTTCAGTCTTTTAGTGAGCCTTTAACTTTAAACTGTGAACTTCGCATATGTTTCTCATTTCCCCCAGAGCCACCATCTTAGGTGGGCTAGGATGGCTAGAAGGAGCTGGAGTTGGATATATTCCTTCCCCTAGGTGGGTTTCACTCTGATAAAACTCCAGTAGGTTAGGCTGTGATAAAATAGTTTCTCCTGAGGGAAGTTCTTGTTAAGAAGAACAGAATGCTGTGGCATATTTCAAGGTTATCTTTCCCCGCCCCCTATTGGAAGCACAAGGGGATTTTCCCTTGATATTCACTGTAAGAACCTGGTGGAGCTCCAGGAGTGAACACTGACAAAAGTGTGAGGCCTTTCTAAAGTTTTAAACCTCAGTCTTATCTATTCTGAGCCTCTAGCATTTCCTCAATTATAATTCAGGTTTCCCTACCTTGGCACTGGTTCCTGAAGAGGTTTCTGCTCTGTTAAGTTGCAATTCTCTGTACCTGTTACTCTCTCCAAATTTTGAGGAAGTGGTTTGCTCTGGAACTTCTTTTCTCTGATGGATCTAAGAAGAGTTGTTGATTTTTCCATTTGTTCAGTTTTTTTACTTGTTATTAGGATGGAATGGTGACTTCCAAGTTTCTTACATGCTGGACTGAAAACCAGAAGTTAGTTCTTCACAGAGGTCTTTAAAGTAAAGAACCTTAAGGTTAACTCACTCCTAAGTTCTCAAAACACTTTTCAGATTTTAAAAATAGTGTTCTTAGTAGTCTGGTGGAGAGACTCCTTGGTATTTGGAGGCAGAGAGGTAATACAATAGTAATTGTATTTATTAAAATAGATAATGTCAAAGCCAAACCAAATCGAACCATTGACTGCATTTGAGAGAATTAGCCAGAGAACATAAAGCACTATGCATTGTTTGGAAGAAAATTTATGTGTCCAAAATATAAAGTATTATGGATTTGTTGCAGTAAATTTCATCGGTCAGTTTAGGCTAAGTTATGTTGTGGTGACAAACAGCCTTAAGATCTCAATAGCTTGTGACAACCAAGGTGTATTTTTCACTCATGCTCCATATTGATTGCAAGTCAGTGGAGGCTTTGCTCCCTGTCATCTTTATTATGCAACTCAGCTTGAAGAAGTGGGCTCCCCCGAGACATGCCAGTCAAAGGAAAAGAGAAGCTTTTGTTCCAAAGAGGAACACAGCACCTCTACTCACATTTCTTGTCCCAAAGCATGCCATCTGCATTCAATGGAGTGGGGATGAATACACAACAGGAAAGGGAAGTAGAAGTCACATGGCCAAGCATGACATCAGTGTGGTGGAAAGTATAGTCTTCCCACCAAAAGGGGTATCAGATATTTTGAATATTAATACAATTTGCCATGTAGTGTCTACCAAGTTCCTCCCTAGTTTATTGTAAATTGGCTATTTAGAATTTTCTTATCCAAGACTTTCCAGGACTGTGATCACTACTGTGAGAAGTTTTTTTTTTTGTTTTTTTGAGATAGAGTTCCACTCTGTCACCCAGGCTGGGGTGCAGTGGTACTATCTTGGCTCACTGCTACTTCCGCCCCCCAGGTTCAAGCGATTCTCCTGCCTCAGTCTCCCAAGTAGCTGGAATTACAGGCGCCCGCCACTGCGCCTGGCTAATTTCTGTGTTTTTAGTGGAGACGGGGTTTCGCCATGTTGGCCGGGCTGGTCTTGAACTCCTGACCTCAAGTAATCCACCCGCCTTGGCCTCCCAAAGTGCTAGGCTTACAGGCATGAGCCACAGCGCCCAGCCTGTGCAAAGTTTTTATTGGCCACGTCCATACCTACTTTGATGTTGAGTTCCCTTACATTCATTTTTCTAGAGGATAAGGGGACAAAGGAACTTCTCAGATAAATGTTTTTGTGAGGAGCTCTTGGGTCTTTGATGCAATTGAAGACACAGCAGTTACTCTCAAGGTACTCACAGCCTCATTTTCTAAACAATGCCTCTCCAGGAAGTCCTTGGTGTAAGCATATGTTCCTGGAGTCTGCATTGTGAGACAGATGGCAGAAAAATGACTCCTCTTTTATTCCCATTGATTTTGGTTCTTGAGAAACATGTGGTTACCCCTGTTGCTATGAGGTAGTATTATTGTAATAATAAATGTGCTGATAGAATTATGGTCCATTATTTAACCTGTGTGAAGATGGGGATAAAACTGCTAAATGGGCAGGATTAGGAACAAGTTAGGTATAGATAAGCCATATTAAATAAATGTAGAAACAATATAAAGCAGTGAAAGCAAAAACCCTTGTTTAATAACTAGACTACAAGGCATCAAAAGTCAGGTCAACGTATGAAAGAAAAATCTTGCAACTCAAAGGAAAAAAGCTGGCAGCTCACAGGACAAGTCTGGGTCACATTATGTTTTGTTTGAACAGCACCATGTTTTAAATATCAGGAGATGTTACATACAAAAGAATTCAACTTCTGGCTTCTCTTGAAAAATTTGTCATTGTTTACTAATATTCCTAACTGATTTACTTTTCTCTCCCATCCTCCCTCCCTTCCTCCCTCCCTCCCTGCCTCCCTTCCTTCCTTCCTTGCTTTCTTGCTTTCATCTTGCTTTGTTGCCCAGGGTGGAGTTTAGTGGCATGATCCCAGCCTACTGCAACCTCCACCTCCCGCGTTCAAGTGATTCTCCTGCCTCAGCCTCCCGAGTAGCTGGGATTACAGGTGCTTGCCACCACACCTGGATAATTTTTGTATTTTTAGGAGAGATGGGGTTTCACCATATTGGTCAGGCTGGTCTTGAACTCCTGACCTCAAGTGATCTGCCCACCTCAGCCTCCCAAAGTGCTGGGATTACAGGCATGAGCCACTGTGCCCAGCCTACTCTTGTTTCTTTGAGAGGTAGCATGAATCTCCAGTTCTCCACATAACATGTAGGTGGATTAAAAACTTTAATATGAAAAGTAAAACTTTATAGTTTATGGAAGAAAATACAGGATGCTGTCTGAGGACAGTCTAATTACACAAGACTCGAAGTAGTAGATACTATAAATTAAAAATTTATTTTCATCAAAATTAAGAATTCTTATTTAACAAAGTTCATCATAGACAAACAACCTACAGGGAAACAGATTGGAAAAGCTATTTTCAATGTATAAAACCAACAAACTATTTAGAATATTCAGGGAATTCTAGCATACAATTCTAACTTGCAGCAAGAAAAAGTCAGAAAACACAGAATATTAATAAGTAGTTAACAGAAAGGGAAACTTATGTAAGCATTATATCTCTTAAGTGAATGTAATACGAAAAATGAATTTAGAATAAATTAACTCAATTTTCTCAGAATCCGGTTGACAAAAATGAAGTCAGGTAATGTCAAATACTGGCCAAAGATGTGAGGACATGAGAATCCTCATCTATGGCTGGTGGAAGTATAAATAGTCATTACAGTGAGCCATTTTAGCAGTGCAAAGTTAAATTAAGAATACATAGTGTTCAGCCTGCTTCCGGACGGGCGAGGAGACTTGTGGTCTGGTTCTGGGACTTCCCTAATAGCATGGCGCCTAAACGCCAGTCTCCACTCCAGCCTCAAAAGAAGAAACCAAGACCACCTCCTGCTCTGTGACCGGAGGAGACATCGGCCTCTGCAGGCTTGCTGAAGAAGGGAGAAAAAGAACAGCAAGAAGCGATTGAACACATTGATGAAGTACAAAATGAAACAGACAGACTTAATGAACAAGCCAGTGAGGAGATTTTGAAAGTAGAACAGAAATATAACAAACTCCGCCAACCATTTTTTCAGAAGAGGTCAGAATTGATCGCCAAAATCCCAAATTTTTGGGTAACAACATTTGTCAGCCATCCACAAGTGTCTGCACTGCTTGGGGAGGAAGACGAAGAGGCACTGCATTATTTGACCAGAGTTGAAGTGACAGAATTTGAAGATATTAAATCAGGTTACAGAATAGATTTTTATTTTGATGAAAATCCTTACTTTGAAAATAAAGTTCTCTCCAAAGAATTTCTTCTGAATGAGAGTGGTGATCCATCTTCGAAGTCCACCGAAATCAAATGGAAATCTGGAAAGGATTTGACGAAACGTTCAAGTCAAACACAGAATAAAGCCAGCAGGAAGAGGCAGCATGAGGAACCAGAGAGCTTCTTTACCTGGTTTACTGACCATTCTGATGCAGGTGCTGATGAGTTAGGAGAGGTCATCAAAGATGATATCTGGCCAAACCCATTACAGTACTACTTGGTTCCCGATATGGATGATGAAGAAGGAGAAGGAGAAGAAGATGATGATGATGATGAAGAGGAGGAAGGATTAGAAGATATTGATGAATAAGGGGATGAGGATGAAGGTGAAGAAGATGAAGATAATGATGAAGGGGAGGAAGGAGAGGAGGATGAAGGAGAAGATGACTAAATAGAACACTGATGGATTCCAACCTTCCTTTTTTTAAATTTTCTCCAGTTCCTGGGAGCAAGTTGCAGTCTTTTTTTTTTTTTTTTTTTTTTCCCTCTTGTGCTCTGTCACCCTGTTCTTGAGGTCTCTTTTCTCTGCTCCATGGTTCTCAACTTATTTGGGGGGAAATACCTTGAGCAGAATACAATGGGAAAAGAGTCTCTACCCCTTTCTGTTCGAAGTTCATTTTTATCCCTTCCTGTCTGAACAAAAACTGTATGGAATCAACACCACCGAGCTCTGTGGGAAAAAAGAAAAACCTGCTCCCTTCGCTCTGCTAGAAGCTGGAGGGTGCTAGGCCCCTGTGTAGTAGTGCATAGAATTCTAGCTTTCTTCCTCCTTTCTCTGTATATTGGGCTCAGAGAGTACACTGTGTCTCTATGTGAATATGGACAGTTAGCATTTACCAATATGTATCTGTCTACTTTCTCTTGTTTAAAAAAAGAAAAAAAAAACTTAAAAAAATGGGGTTATAGAAGGTCAGCAAAGGGTTGGTTTGAGATGTTTGGGTGGGTTAAGTGGGCATTTTGACAACATGGCTTCTCCTTTGGCATGTTTAATTGTGATATTTGACAGACATCCTTGCAGTTTAAGATGACACTTTTAAAATAAATTGTCTCCTAATGATGACTTGAGCCCTGCCACTCAATGGGAGAATCAGCAGAACCTGTAGGATCTTATTTGGAATTGACATTCTCTATTGTAATTTTGTTCCTGTTTATTTTTAAATTTTCTTTTTGTTTCACTGGAAAGGAAAGATGATGCTCAGTTTTAAACATTAAAAGTGTACAAGTTGCTTTGTTACAATAAAACTAAATGTGTACACACACACAAAAAAAAGAATACATAAATACCATGCCTAGAAATTCTATGCCTGGAGAAATGTCAACATCTGGAGAATCACTCGCATAGAGTTTTACAAAAAGATGTCCTCAAACAGACACATGATAATGTTCATAGCAGTATGACTTGAACTAGCAAAGATCTGAAATTACACAGGTGTCCATCTCTAGAGAAATGTACAAATAAAACATGGTACATATATTTAAAGGAATATTATGCAGCAGACAGATGCTCCATATAAATAAGGTTTATATATTGCAATGTAAATATATGCATCAAAATAAATATGCATGAAAGATGGTTTGAAAATCAAAGTTTAAATATAGTAGAGTGGGTGTCTATACCTGGAAAGAGATTGGGATTGGAAGGAGGAATAAAGAAAATTAACATAAAACAAATTGAAATAGAATACAATAGCCTTGCAGGGGCCACCAATGATCGCATACTGTGAATTCAGGAATATTATACATTCAGTTCTGTAAACCTAAAGTTATAAAAGACTTCAACTAAAAAAAAAAAAAAAAAAGAGCTACTACACTAGTCTCCTGTTACCTGCAGGGGATATGTTCCAAGTCTCCCAGCAGATGTCTGAAACCTTGGATAGTACTAAACCCTGTATATACAGTCATACCTTGCTTTACAATGGGGATACATTCAGAGAAATGCATCATTAAGCAATTGCATCATTGCATGAACATAACAGAGTGTACTTACACAATCCTAGATGTCAGAGCCCACTACACACCTAGGCTATATGGTATAGCCCATAGCTCCTAGATTACAAAACTGTATAGCATGTTACTGTACTGAATACTGTAGGCAATTTTAGCACAATGGTAAGTATTTGTGTATCTAAACATTTCTAAACATAGAAAAGATCCAGTAAAAAATATGGTATATATTCTTATGGGACCAGCATAGTATGTTTGGTCTGTCATTGACTGAAACATCTTTATGGGGTGCATAACTGTACTATGCTTTTTCCTATACATACATACTTATGATAAACTTTAATTTATAAATTAGGCACAGAAAGAGATTAACATCAGTAACTAATAATAAAATGGAACAATTATAACAATATATTGTAATAAAAGTTATGTGAATGTGGTCTGTCTCTCAAAA
The DNA here is from genome assembly GCF_000001405.40 of Homo sapiens. Lineage (NCBI taxonomy): Eukaryota > Metazoa > Chordata > Mammalia > Primates > Hominidae > Homo > Homo sapiens. Next base: position 155,990,184 of record NC_000003.12, read on the forward strand.
TACCTTGTAATGTACTTATCCTTCTTCTTTTTTTTTTTTTTTAGACAGAGTCTTGCTCTGTCACCAGTACAGTGACACAATCTGGGCTCACTACAACCTCTGCCTCCTGGGTTCAAGCGATTCTCCTCTGTCAGCCTCCCCAGTAGCTGGGATTACAGGCACAAGCCACCATGCCTGGCTAATTTTTGTATTTTTAGTAGAGACAGGGTTTTGCCAGGTTGGCCAGGCTGGCCTCAAACTCCGGGCCTCAAGCGATCCACCTGCCTTATCCTCCCAAGGTGTTGGGATTACAGGCATGAGCCACCATGCCTGGCCTTATCCTTCTTATTGTGATGAAGAGGGAACAGAGTGGAATGACATGAGATTTTATCATGGTACTCAGAACGGTATACAATTTAAAACTGTGAATTGTTTATTTCTTGAGTTTTTCATTTAATATTTTCAGACTGTGGCTCACCACAGGTAACTAAAACTAAAGAAAGCAAAATCATAGGTAAGTCAGGGATTACTATATTTCTTTACATTTTGGCCAAAGACAACTCCTCTAGTTATTTTTTTCAAACTTGTGAAGATGGAATAAATCCCATTGTTAGGCCTGATCTGAGCTCTCCAATGCCAAACACTAATCTAGTAGTTGCAGTTTCCTGTTACCCAGGGACATATTTGTGGTCTTCCTATTTTGTTGTTTTCAGTGTGTTAATCATCTCCACTCAAAATCCTCCTGAATGAAACTGTTGGATGACCTACACCACCTTTGCCTAAAAAGTGTGTTTCTGGAAAGCCAGAGGGAAAACTCCTGCAAATGAGCCACCCTAGTGCTGCTGGATTTGAAGAGGCAGATGGTGGTTGGATTTTACAAGGCCCCTTTGTTCTCTTTCTTCATTTTCTGCCTGTTTTTACATGAATTGACTTTGTGCAGATCTAGCCAAGTGTGTGAAGCACCTTCGAGGAGGTGCGTTAATGATAAGCTGAAATCTGGGTCACTAAAGAGTTTTACCGCCTTTCATTTGCAGAGTCTGAGAAGCCCCTTCTGGCCTTTACCATATGAAAGTTTTACAGCAACTGTAATATTTAGAGAAAACACACACAAAGGATGGGAATGGAAGCCTCGGCAGTCTTCTCAGCAGAGGGCCTCCCAGCAGACTGGATTTATTGGACTTTTCATTTTCCCTCACCATTTGGATTTTCAAAGACTTTTTATTAGTTCAGCCTTTAAAGCAGAAAAAATCAGCCAATTTGTTACAAACCACTGCAGCTTCAGTCCCCTGAAGCCAAGAACAACCGCTCAGCTCTTCCAACTTGGCTGCAAAGCAACATCTGTTAAGTCTCCTGTGCTCACCTCCCCAGCCAAAGAGACGTCACACCTGCAGTGCTGGGATTTTGTGAAAAAAATGGAAATAGCGTATTGTATACATCTTTTTTTCCAATATCTTTTGCTTTATGTTAATGCTTCTAGTTCAGGAGTGTCTGAAGTATTTCACAATGCTTAACAGAGCAAGGTTTGTCCCTTAGTTTTGGGTCATTTGTTAATTCTGTAAGTATTTGCTGAGCATATGTGTAAGACACGTGGCTCTAATTCCCACCAGGTAGTTGTTAGGTTGGCCTCTTCCTTTTGTGATGAGATCTTGTGTTTGTATTTTTTCTTTGGACTGCTCTGATCATGGTTCTATCAGATAAACAAATGCTGGAAATTAGTTGCCAGTCTGGTCAATTTGTTAGGTGGCTTTTCAAATTGTTACACAGGGAGTTGATGTTCTTGGAAACAGAAGGAAGAAGTATGGGTGCCTTATGAACCATTAGGTTTCAGTAAATAGCACCTGCTTTTCACACCACGCTGGGGTAAGGCATAGAATGAGGCATAGCATAGATATGGTATAGCATACCTGGTGGTGTAGGTCATCCAGCAGTTATGTGCAGGAGGATTTTGAGTGGAGATGATCAGCACACTGAAAACAACAAAATAGGAAGACCACAAATGTGTCTCTGGGTAATAATATACTATAGTATAGTGGGTGGATCTTAGATTCACCTGAAATCTTAAGCATCAACTGCATTTTCTAGCCTTGGGATCATGGGTGTCTCAAATTTCTGAGCTCGAGTTTACTGAAAGTAATAGGAACGTTTGTGCTTGCAGTTGCTGAAAAAAAATTAAGTGAGCTACTGTAGGTGCTCATTAAATGTTGGCCTTTGCTTATGGCCACCTAAGAGGAAAATAAAGGAAGTAGAAAGCTCAGTTCTAGTATTCAGAAGCTGGCAGTTCAGTTAGGGAGGTGAGACACAGACTCTACATAAAACCACCAGAGTAAATGCCTCTGAGACAAAACTGAAATGGCATGAGTTAACATATTCTGTCCCCTCATCACCGCCAGTTCTGGAAATGAAAGACTGACTTTTCTTTAAAAAATATGTTTATGGGCCAGGCGCAATGGCTTACGCATGTAATCCTAGCACTTTGAGAGGCTGAGGTGGGCAGATCACGAGGTCAAGAGTTCGAGACAAGCCTGGCCAACATGGTGAAACCCCGACTCTACTAAAAATGCAAAAATTAGCCAGGCATGGTGGCGTGTGCCTGTAGTCCCCGCTACTTGGGAGGCTGAGGCCAAGAATCTCTTGAACCCGGGAGGTGGAGGTTTCAGTGAGCCGAGATGGTGCCTGGGTGACAGAGCAAGACTCTATCTCAAAAAAAAAAAAATGTGTTTATGCTTTTTTTTTTTTTTTTTTTTTTTGAGACAGGGTCTCGCTGTCTCACCCAGACTGGAGTGCTGTGGCACAATCATGGCTCACTGCAGCCTCAAACTTGGGGGCTGAAGCAATTCTCCCACCTCAGCCTCTGGAGTTGCTGGGACCACAGGTGCACGCCACCATGCCTGGCTAATTTTTAAAATTTTTTTTGTAGAGATGGGATCTCCCTATGTTTCCCAGGCTGATCTTGAACTCCTGGGCTCAACTGATCCTCCTGCCTCGGCCTCCCAAAAACCTGGGATTACAGGCATGAGCCACTATGCCCAGCTGTGTGTTTACGCTTGATGTCCAGAAAGCTTTTTATAAAGCAAAAACCCTTCTCTTTAGAGGAAATCAAATGCTTGGGTTTTAAATTAGGCTCAAACATACATCCTCACAAATGTGCACACAAATATTATAGTGACTTTAAGGCTCCATTAGGATGTTCAGCTGAGAGTTGTGCAAATGTTTGATCCATCTGGTGACAGCTCATAGAATGTGTTATTTCCAATGTTTGCAAATAACAATCTAAATAGAAATATGCTTGAAGATATTCTGTTAATGTGTATGCACTGAAAAGCAATTTCCTTTCCATATTATATATTAAAAGAATTGAAACCCTCCCTTGTATTTGCAATTGTATAAATGTCTTCATGCTATTTAAGGTGCAGGTCATGGCAGGAGAGCGTGAACGTGTCATTTGATAGTTCTTGGTCAATGCGGGTATAGTCTCTAGCAGTGGTCTTTTTTTGAAGTATTTCAAATTTTCATTGGTTTTATGCCAGCGAGTGGAAAAAGTAAGGGCTTTGCAGCTAGTGAGACTTAGGTTCTAATACATATCCTTTGGAACAAGGTGTTCAAAATTTGCTGGGATAATGATGGTGACATTTGCATAGGAGACATGGAATCTTCTGCTATCAAGGATTAAGACCTTTTCCTTCGCATGTTAACTGCTATTAAAACATCTCTGGGGAGCCGAGCGTGGTGGCTCACGCCTGTAATCCCAGCACTTTGGGAGGCTGAGGCGGGTGGATCACGAGGTCAGGAGATCGAGACCATCCTGGCTAACATGGTGAAATCCCGTCTCTACTAAAAATACAAAAAATTAGCCGGGCGTGGTGGCGGGCGCCTGTAGTCCCAGCTGCTAGGGAGGCTGAGGCAAGAGAATGGCATGAACCCGGAAGGCGGAGCTTGCAGTGAGCCGAGATTGTGCCACTGCACTCCAGCCTGGGTGACAGAGCGACACTCCGTCTCAAAAACAAAGCAAAACAAAACAAAAAAAACTCTGATGATTGAAACTGTTATTAAATGGAAAGCAGTGTAAAAAAGGCCACTTGAGACCTCCCCGGGGGGGATTTACTAGAAAGGCGAACCCCAGTGCCATGCCAGTGCCTCGGATATCTTGGGCGAAGGAGACAGCTTTGGATGCAGCTTGTGTCTGAAGCTGGAATCTGAAAGCTTATTCTTAGGCAGTGAGCTTAGCAATGTTTTGGAGGAAGTCTGAATGACCAACTGGGGTGTCTGTTGACTTTACATCTCACAAAGTTTCTGGTCTCATACATGGGGTAGTGTAGCTGCAGGTTGTTAGGTTAATTAGTTTCTAGGGGCCGTTGTGCTATTCTGAAGCCTCATGAGCTTTATTCCATTTGTGAAATTGGGGGAGGGATGTGGAGGTTGGAGGGTTAAGGGCTGGGAATAAGGTGAATCCTGGTGTGGTGCTAGCTAAAGAGGGGGACTGATGGAGTGTTAAAGGAGTCAGGGATTGGAGATGTCTGATCCCTCGTCTTCTTGGAGAAGCAATTAAATTAATTAATAGCATTGTTGGAACTTGTTCTGTCATGAGTTCTGATTTTCTCTATAGTCTTGAACTCCTGGGCTCAACTGATCCTCCTGCCTCGGCCTCCCAAAGAGCTGGGATTACACTTTCTCCTAGGTTCATACATACATCTCATTAAATGTACATACATCTCATTCATCATCTCATTAAAAATGAGATGATGTATGTATGAACCTAGGAGAAAGAAAAAGGAGTAAGTTATTTGACTAGCCTTCCACTTAATGTGGAACTGCCCGTTGCTCAGGTGTCAGTGGCCACTATTCCTGAACCCATGTGCATTCCAATCGAGCTGCCCCTCTGGGAGCTCCTGCATCACTCAGTGTATTTTTTGAGGAGATAAATGTAAACTTTTGGCCTTTTCATTGATCACTTTCCCTGTGTTAGATTGTTCTCAGGGGTAGAGAATTCAGAACTCTACATGGCGTTGCTCACAACTTTCTGAATGAACTCAGGCAAATCTCAACCTTAAAGAATGTTGAGCACAAAAACATTAATTTTACCTGCTTTAGATGTTTGATGCTAAATTAAAGTGAGAAAATGCATATGAAAGTGCATTGCAATATGACTCTTTATTAGACATGGAAGGACACAGAACATGCAGAGGGAAGCATTTTTAAGCATTACTAGAAGACCAGAATCAAATTTAATATTCCCTTAAAGTAAATAAGTATTTATACATTAAAGCCCACCAATGAAGGACCATCAGGAACACATTTATTGTAGTACGAAGAAATTATACTTATTTTTCTTGCTGTTGCAAGACTGAAAGCACCTTAAATAAATGATGAGGAGTTGGAAGAAGCTTGTCATAGTATGTGAGTGTGTGCTGGATGATTCAAGGGAGGATTGAGGAGGTGGGGAGCAATTCTGAATTGGATGTTTCAGGAAGCAGGAGCAATTTTGTGACTGAATATCGTAATGATTTTTATCTATAAGATAGAAGGACGACAGTGGTTTTCCTTGGTGAGGTAAAGGAGAAGCAGTCACTCATGTTAGACAGAAGAGGGGGCTGTTTTACTATTTTTGTGATTTCAGAGTGGCCTTATCTGTGTCTCATTCCAAATACGGGCTTGGAATGGACTTGTTTAGACATTGTTTCTATTCTGTGATTGTGGTTTATATGCAATTGGAAATATTATGGCCTAGTTGCCAGCAGGTCTGCTTTTCATTTTCTTGCCTGGTTTCAGGTATGAATATTTGCTTTATCCCCTTTTCTGGAAGGCAAAGAAAGAAGTCATATTCTAGAAGGGGGCCAAGCCTGAGCACTAAGATAGAGGGTCTCCACCTGGGCTTTGGAGATTAGTAAAGGATAAGAATTAAGTTACAAGAGCAAAATGGTAAACGAGTAACGGTAAATGCTCAAGGAGTGAAGCATACCAGAGAAGGTGCATGGGAGATGGCCCTGAAGAGGCTGAGTGTAGCTCCTCCTGCAGGTGTGTTTTTACACAGGTACGCATAAGGAGCACATAGGTTCTTATGAGAACCACACAGATACATATAAGGAGCCCACGAGTATGTACAAGGAGCACACAGGTATGAATAAGGAGGCCACAGGCACTTCTAAGGAACACATGGGTACACGTAAGGAGGCCATAAAAGGTGAATAGAATTTTTGTTTTCTGACTTCAAATGTAACAACTAGACTCCCACCTCAATGCCAAAGTTTTAATTTTACCTCCATATTACCTTCCTGTGATTCCTTACTTATAGTTTTTACCTATATATGTAATGTTCATTTTAATCTTTAACATTGGTTACTTTTGGGAAGTGATACCAAAGTGTTTAGGGAGGCGTCATCACTCTGCTTTATATACTTATACATTGTTTAAACTTTATGGGCTAATTTATTTATAATTAAATTAGTACATTAAAAACAAAAAAGAAACAATTTAATAGTGGTGGTGGTGGAGGATCATGTGATTTTTTTTTGGTGATGTTCTCTGAAGGATGATTTTCTAATTAATCTGTTTTTTTTGAAGGGAAATTCAAAATTCCCCCTTATGAAGGGGGTGGTGTAGGTGTCTTGGATCTGTTGAAAAGACAGTTTTGAGGAGAATTATGATTATGATTATGATAAAATTATGATTCTAATACAAGTGTAAAATGAAAAATGTAAATGAATTTTATTTAATTCGTTAATTAATGGGAACCAGTAATATGTACAAACAATCCAGGAGAATTCAAAGATCAGACCCATATATTGGCAATGAGGAATGCTGAAATGAATTTGCTTAATAAATGCAAAACTGGCTTCTTGGAAAAAAATGGATGTCATTTTGCACTTCTCCCTGGCAAAATTCATTTGCAGTCTGTGAACAGGAGTCATTTGCATTGCTGGCAGTGACCTATGTTTACAGAGTTGTCTGGTTGCAAGATGCACCACTGGACAAGACACCCAGTAATCTTATTTGCCCATTTCAAAGTTTTCAACACTTTTTCCTGCCAGCTCAGAATAACATTTGTTAAAATTCAGTCATTCCTCACCGGGCGCAGTGGCTCACGCCTGTAATCCCAGCACTTTGGAAGGCTGAGGTGGGCAGATGTCTTGAGGTCAGGAGTTGAGGCCACCCTGGCCAACATGGCGAAAGCCTGTCTCTACTAAAAATACAAAAATTAGCTGAGTGTGGTGGCAGGCGCCTGTAGTCCCTGCTAGTTGGGAGGTTGAGGTGGGAGAATTGCTTGAACCCAGGAAGCAGAGGCTGTAGCAAGCCAAAATCGCGCCACTGCACTCCAGCCTGGGTGACAGAGTGAGACTTCCTCTCAAAAAAAAAAAAAAAAAAAAAAAATTCAGTCATTCCTGCCTAATACCTGTACTTAAGATTACATACATAAAAAGAGAAAATGGGCCAAGTGCGGTGGCTCACGCCTGTAATCCCAACACTTCGGGAGGCCAAGGTGGGCGGATCATGAGGTCAGGGGTTCAAGACCAGCCTGGCCAACATGGTAAAACCCCATCTCTACTAAAAATACAAAAAATTAGCCAGGCATGGTGGCACGCGCCTGTAGTCCCAGCTACTCGGGAGGCTGAGGCAGGAGAATGGCGTGAACCTGGGAGGTGGAGCTTGCAGTGAGCTGAGATCGCGCCACTGCACTCCAGCCTGGGTGACAATTGAAGACTCCATCTCAAAAAAAAAAAAAAAAAAAAAGAAAAGAAAAGAAAATGGAGAATATTAAATGAAATAATAAATTGATTATTTGTTATAATTTTATTCTGATGTTTATTTCTGTTGATAAGTGACCAATCCAAAATGATTGTAAAAGAAAAATTTCACTGACTTCAAGGATGTTAATGACATAATTATCAGCAAATAGTTTTAAATTTGCTTGTATTTTCTCTTTTTATACTTTAAGTTCTGGGATACATGTGCAGAACGTGCAGGTTTGTTACATAGGTATACACGTGCCATGGTGGTTTGCTGCACCCATCAACCCATCATCTACATTAGGTATTTCTATAATGCTATCCCTTACCTATCCGTTCAATCCCCAATGGGCCCTGGAGTTCCACTCCATGTGTCCATGTGTTCTCATTGTTCAACTCCCATTTATGAATGAGATCGTGCCATGTTTGGTTTTCTGTTCTTGTGTTAGTTTGCTGAGAATGATGGCTTCCAGCTTCATCCATGTCCCTGGAAAGGACATGAACTCATCCTTTTTTATGGCTGCATAGTATTCTATGGTGTAAATGTGCCACATTTTCTTTATCTGGTCTATCATTGATGAGCATTTGGGTTGGTTCTAAGTCTTTGCTATTGTGAACAGTGCTGCAATAAACATACGTGTGCATGTGTCTTTGTAGTGGAATGATTTATAATCCTTTGGGTATATGCTCAGCAATGAGATTGCTGGGCCAAATGGTATTACTGGTTCTACATCCTTGAGGAATTGCCACACTGTCTTCTGCAATGGTTGAACTAATTTACACTCCCACCAACAGTGTAAAGGCATTCCTATTTTTCCACATCCTCTCCAGCATCTGTTGTTTCGTGACTTTTTAATGATCACCATTCTAACTGGCATGAGATGGTATCTCATTGTGGTTTTGATTTGCGTTTCTCTAGTGACCAGTGATGATGAGCTTTTTTTCATATGTTTGCGGGCTGCATAAATGTCTTCTTTTGAGAAGTGTCTGTTCATATCCTTCACCCACTTTTTGATGGGGCTATTTTTTTCTTGTACATTTGTTTAAGTTCCTTGTAGATTCTGGATGTTAGACCTTTGTCAGATGGCAAAAACTTTCTCCCATTCTGTAGGTTGCCTGTTCACTCTGATGATAATTTCTTTTGCTGTGCAGAAGCTCTTTAGTTTAATTAGATCCCATTAGTCAATTTTGGCTTTTGTTTCCATTGCTTTTGGTGTCTTAGTCATGAAGTCTTTGCCCGTGCCTATGTCCTGAATGGTATTGCCTAGATTTTCTTCTAGGGTTTTTATGGTTTTAGGTCATATGTTTAGGTCTTTAATCCATCTTGAGTTAATTTTTGTATAAGGTGTAAGGAAGAGGTCCAGTTTCAGTTTTCTGCATATGGCTAGCCAGTTTTCCAAACACCATTTATTAAATAGACAGTGGTTTCCCCATTGCTTGTTTTTGTCAGGTTTGTCGAAGATCAGATGGTTGTAGATGTGTGGCATTATATCTGAGGCCTCTGTTCTGTTACATTGGTTTATATATCTGTTTTGGTACCAGTACCATGCTGTTTTGGTTATTGTAGGCTTGTAATATAGTTTGAAGTCAGGTAGTGTGATGCCTCCAGCTTTGTTCTTTTGGCTTAGGATTGTCTTGGCTATATGGGCTCTTTTTTGTTTCCATATGAAATTTAAAGTAGTTTTTTTCTAATTCTGTGAAGAAAGTCAATGGTAGCTTGATGAGGATAGCATTGAATCTACAAATTACTTTGGGCAGTATGGCCATTTTCATGATATTGATTCTTCCTATTTATGAGCATGGAATGTTCTTCCATTTGTTTGTGTCCTCCTTTATTTCCTTGAGCAGTGGTTTGTAGTTCTCCTTGAAGAGATCCTTCACATCCCTTGTAAGTTGGATTCCTAGGTATTTTATTCTCTTTGTAGCAACTGTGAATGGGAATTCACTCATGATTTGGCTGTTTGGCTGTTTGTCTATTATTGGTGTATAGGAATGCTTTAATTTTTGCACATTGATTTTGTATCCTGAGACTTTGCTGAAGTTGCTTATCAGCTTAAGGAGATTTTGGGCTGAGATGATGGAGTTTTCTAAATATATGATCATGTCATCTGCAAACAGAGACAACTTCACTTCCTCTCTTCCTATTTGAATACCCTTTATTTCTTTCTCTTGCCTGATTGCCCTGGCCAGAACTTCCAATACTATGTTGAATAGGAGTGGTGAGACAGAGCATCCTTGTCTTGTGCTAGTTTTCAAAGGGAATGCTTCCAGCTTTTGCCCATTCAGTATGATATTGATTGTAGGTTTTCCATAAATAGCTCTTATTATTTTGAGATATGTTCCATCAGTATGTAGTTTATTGAGAGTTTTTAGCATGAAAGGGCTTTGAATTTTATCGAAGGCCTTTTCTGCCTCTGTTGAGATAATCATGTGGTTTTCGTCATTGGTTCTGTTTATGTGATGGATTACATTTATTGATTTGCGTGTGTTGAACCCACCTTACATCCCAGGGATGAAGCCGATTGATCATGGTGGATAAGCTTTTTAATGTGCAGCTGGATTTGGTTTGCTGGTATTTTTTGGAGGATTTTTGCATCGATGTTCATCAGGGATATTGGCCTGAAATTTTCTTTTTTTGTTGTGCCTCTGCCAGGTTTTGGTATCAGGAGATGCTGGCCTCATAAAATGAGTTAGGGAGGAGTCTCTCTTTCTCTATTGTTTGGAATAGTTTCGGAAGGAATGGTACCAGCGCCTCTTTGTACCTCTGGTAGAAATAGGCTGTGAATCTGTCTGGTCCCGCGATTTTTTTGGTTGGTAGGCTATTAATTACTGCCTCAATTTCAGAACTTGTTATTGGTTTATTCAGGGATTCGACTTCTTCTTGGTTTAGTCTTGGGAGGGTGTATGTGCCCAGGAATTTATCCATTTCTTCTAGGTTTTCTAGTTTATTTGTGTAGAGGTGTTTATAGTATTCTCTGACGGTAGTTTGTATTTCTGTGGGATTAGTGGTGATCTCCCCTTTATCCTTTTTTATTGTGTCTATTTGATTCTTCTCTCTTTTCTTCTTTATTAGTCTGGCTAGCAGTCTATCTATTTTGTTAATCTTTTCAAAAAATCAGCTCCTGGATTCATTGATTTTTTGAAGGGTTTTTCATTTCTCTTATCTCCTCCAGTTCTGCTCTGGTCTTAGTTATTAGTTGTCTTCTGCTACATTTTGAATTTGTTTGCTCCTGCTTCTCTAGTTCTTTTAATTGTGATGTTAGGGTGTTGATTTTAGGTCTTTCCTGCTTTCTCCTGTGGGCATTTAGTGCTATAAATTTCCCGCTAAACACTGGTTTAGCTGTGTCCCAGAGATTCTGGTACGTTGTGTCTTTGTTCTCACTGGTTTCAAATAATGTATTTATTTCTACCTTAATTTTATTATTTACCCAGTGGTCATTCAGGAGCAGGTTGTTCAGTTTCCATGTAGTTGTGCAGTTTTGAGTGAGTTTCCTAATCTTGAGTTTTAATTTGATGGCACTGTGGTCTGACAGACTGTTTGTTATGATTTCCATTCTTTTGCATTTGCTGAGGAGTGTTTTACTTCCAATTATATGGTTGATTTTAGAATAAGTGCTATGTGGTGGTGAGAAGAATGTATATTCTGTTGATTTGAGGTAAAGAGTTCGGTAGATGTCCTTTAGGTCTGCTTGGTCCAGAGCTGAGTTCAAGTCCTGAATATACTTGTTGATTTTCTGTCTTCTTGATCTAATATTAACAATGGGATGTTAAAGTCTCCCACTATTATTGTGTGGGAGACTAAGTCTCTTTGTAGGTCTCTAAGAACTTGCTTTATAAATCTAGGTGTTCCTGTATTGGGTGCATATATATTTAGTATAGTTAACCCTTCTTGTTGCATTGATCCCTTTACCATTATGTAATGCCCTTCTTGGTCTTTTTTAATCTTTGCTGGTTTAAATTCTGTTTTATCAGAGACTAGGATTGCAAACCCTGCTTTTTCTTTTCTTTTCTTTTTTTTTTTTTTTTTTGGCTTTCCATTATTTTGGTAAATCTATCTTCCACCATCCCTTTAATTTGAGCCTATGCATGTCTTTGCACGTGAGATGGGTCTTCTGAATACAACACACCAATGGGTCTTGACTCTTTATCCAGTTTGCCACTCTGTGCCTTTTAATTGGGGCATTTAGCCCGTTTACATTTAAGGTTACTATTGTTATGTGTGAGTTTGATCCTGTCATTATGATGCTAGCTGGTTATTTTGGCCATTAGTTGATGCAGTTTCTTCATAGTTTCGATGGTCCTTACATTTTGGTTTGTTTTTGCAGTGGCTGGTACTGGCTTTTCCTTTCCGTATTTAGTGCTTCCTTCAGGAGCTCTTGTAAGTCAGGCCTGGTGGTGACAAAATCCCTCAGCATTTGCTTGTCTGGAAAGGATTGCATTTCTCCTTCGTGTATGAAGCTTAGTTTGGCTGGATATGAGATTCTGGGTTGAAAATTATTTTCTTTAAAATGTTGAATATTGGCCCCCACTCTCTTCTGGTGTGTAGGGTTTCTGCAGAGCAATCTACTGTTAGTCTGATGAGCTTCCCTTTGTGGGTAACTCAACCATTCTCTCTGGCTGCCCTTAACATTTTTTCCTTCATTTCAACCTTGGTGAATCTGACGATTATGTGTCTTGGAGTGCCTCTTTGCAAGGAGTATCTTAGTGGTGTTCTCTGTATTTCCTGAATTTGAATGTTGGCCTGTCTCGCTAGGTTGAGGAAGTTCTCCTGGATAACATCCTGAAGTGTGTTTTCCAACTTGGTTCCATTCTCCCCATCACTGTCAGGTACACCAGTCAAACGTAGGTTTGGTCTTTTCACATCGTCCCGTATTTCTTGGAATCTGTGTTCATTCCTTTTCATCCTTCTTTCTCTAATCTTGTCTTCACGCTTTATTTCATTGATTTGATATTGAATCTCTGATATCCTTTCTTCCACTTGATTGATTCAACTATTGATACTTGTATATTCTTCACGAAGTTCTTGTGCTGTGTTTTTCAGCTCCATCAGGTCATTTATTTTCTTCTCTAAACTGGTTATTCTAGTTAGCAATTCCTCTAACCTTTTTTCAAGGTTCTTAGCTTCTTTGCAATGGGTTAGAATATGTTCCTTTAGCTTGGAGGAGTTTGTTATTACCCATCTTCTGAAGCCTACTTCTGTCAATTCTTCAAACTCATTCTCCGTGCAGTGTTGTCCCCTTCCTGGTAAGGAGTTGTGATTTTTTTTTGAGGAGAAGAGGCATTCTGGTTTTTGGAATTTTCAGCCTTTTTGCACTGGTTTTTCCTCATCTTCATAGATTTATCTACCTTTGGTTTTTGATGTTTGTGACCTTTGGATGGGGTTTTTGTGTGGATGTCTTTTTTGTTGATGTTGATGCTATTGCTTTCTGTTTGTTAGTTTTCCTTCTAACAGTCAGGACCCTCTGCTGGAGGTCTGCTGGAGTTTGCTGGGGTTCCACTCCAGACACTCTTTGCCTGGGTCTCACCTGTGGAGGCTGCAGAACAGCAAAGATTGCTGCCTGCTCCTTCCTCTGGAAGCTTCATCCCAGGGAGGCACCCACCAGATGCCAGTGGCAGCTCTGCTGTATAAGGTGTCTGTCGACCCCTGCTGGGAGGTGTCTCCCAGCAGGAGGCATGGGGGTCAGGGACCCACTTGAGGAGGCAGTCTGTCCTTTAGCAGAGCTGTCCTTTAGCAGCTGCTTGATCCACTGCTCTCTTTAGCGCCGGCAGGCAGGAACGTTTAAGTCTGCTGAAGCTGCACCCACAGCTGCCCCTTCCCTCAGGTGCTCTGTTCCAGGGAGATGGGAGTTTTATCTATAAGCCCCTGACTGGGGCTGCTAACTTTTTTTCAGAGATGCTCTGCCAGAGAAGAGGAATCTAGAGAGGCAGTCTGGCTAGAGCGGCTTTGCTGAGCTGTGGTGGGCTCTGCCCAGTTCTAACTTCCCAGTGGCCTTGTTTACACTGTGAGGGGAAAACTGCCTACTCAAGCCTCAGTAATGGTGGACGCCCCTCCCCGCACCAAGCTCAGCCATCTAGGTCGACTTCACAATACTGTGCTGGCAGCGAGAATTTCAAGCCAGTGGATCTTAGCTTGCTGGGATCTATGGGGGTGGGATCTGCTGAGCTAGACCACTTAGCTCCCTGGCTTTAGCCCCCTTTCCAGGGGAGTGAATGGTTCTTTCTCCCTGGCATTCCAGGTGCAACAAGGGTATGAAAAAAACTTCTGCAGCTCACTTGGTGTCTGCCTAAATGGCTGCCCAGTTTTGTGCTTGAAACCCAGGGCCCTGTTGGTGTAGGCACCTGAGGGAATCTCCTGGTTTGAGGGTTGCAAACACCGTGGGAAAAGTGTAGTATCTGGACCAGAATGCACTATTCCTCACAGCACAGTCCCTCATGGCTTCCCTTGGCTAGAGGAGGGAGTTCCCCAACCCCTTGCGCTTCCTGGGTGAGGCGATGCCCCACCCTGCTTCAGCTTGCCCTCCATGGGCTGTACCCACTGTCTAACCAGTCCCAATGAGATGAGCTGGGTACCCCAGTTGGAAATGCAGAAATCACCCACCTTCTGCATTGATCTCGCTGGGAGCCGCAGACTGGAGCTGTTCCTATTCGGCCATCTTGCCAGCCACCCTAAATTTGCTTATGTTTTCTTTCTTTTCTTCTCATTTCCTTTCCTTTCTTTTCTTTCCTTCTCACTTCCTTTCCTTTCTTTCCTTTTTTTCTCTTTTCTTTTCTTTTCTTTCTTTTCTTTTTGAGACAGAATCTCACTCTGTCACCCAGACTGGAGTGCAGTGGTGTGATCTTGGCTTACTGCAACCTCTGCCTCCTGGATTCAAGCGATTCTTCTGCCTCAGCCTCCCAAGTAGGTGGGACTACAGGCACGCACCACCATGCCCATCTAATTTTTGTATTTTTAGTAGAGATGAGGTTTTACCATATTGACCAGGCTGGTGTCAAACTCCTGACCTTGTGATCTGCCTACCTCAGCCTCCCAAAGTGCTGGGATTACAGGTGTGAGCCACCACACCCAGCCCTATTTGCTTGTATTTTCTATTTTATTTTTTGGGATAGGCAGAGAATATCTATTATGATAAACAGGATAATATACAAAAAAACTGCTCAACTTCTTTTTAATGATGACTTCCTCCTTTATTGAATTGGGCATGTTTTTCAGGGAAAAGTGGATTTACTACCCATTAAAATAAATGAACATTCTTATCTCACCTTATTCACTTAACCAGAAGAATTTCATTCCTTTCCTAGATCTGAAGATTATCCACATATATTTGCTTGGGTCTTTTTTAAGTTAGCGCACACACACGCATACACAAACCATTCTCCTAATGGAAGAAACTGTAGAATTTTTTATCCAGTTGCAACCCGAGGGGTAAGCTGTGGGGTGGGAAGTGGAGCTGTTGAGGAGAGGTGAGTAGGGAGGGAGTCATAAAATAACACTTGTACCCAGCTGATCACTTTGAAAAAAATATCAAGAGATCCGATTTGTCACCTTTGCTTTTCCTGTTCCTTCCTTGTTATTTATTTGCTATTTTTTTATGTCACTGCAAGGCATGCATATTGGGTGCTCTAATGTTTGTGTCTATAGTAAAAAATTAATGAAATCTTATTTGGAAAAGAAAAATTATAAATTTGGGAAAGGGATGAGAGAAAATGGGTAGAAGAGAGATTTCATAATTTCTTCAGAGAGGAGCACTAGCCACTCTTCCCCCACTCCAAACCAAACCAAATAAATGTATTACCAAAGCACATTGCAGAAAGAAATCTCTGCATTCCCCCTGATTATGGAAATTTGAAATAAAGTATAAAAGACATATTTGAGTTAGTATCAGTTAGATTCTTCCCTTTGTTTATTCGCTGCACGGAGACAGTACCCCTATGTCCCAGCATTGGGTGGTGGGGTGGGGGCAGGGAGGAGCAGTAAAGTGTTTTTTTTCAAGTCCTGTCTTTGAAAGCATTTGCTTAGCTTTGAAAGAGTCCAAAGTTTCAGAAAGCTTTTGTTTGTTAGATGGGATTTTGTTCCCACTTCCTCAAATGTAGATTTTGCTAAACCAAAACAGGCAGTGTTAATTCTGAAGACAGAGACCCTCCAGGGAATAGCTCTGCCTCTGGATCTAAATGCTATGAAGTCTCACTAATTTGAGCTCCACACATTCTTAATTGCATAGAGACTAGTCTGACGTTTGCTCTGCAAACTCTTCTTTCGTAGAAGGTGAAGATTAACACTATAGATAAGACTCTGGTAATATCTGGGGTGGTAGTGCCTTATATTTATAAAAGCAACTATATTCCAAGCATCTTAGAAGTATCATTTAGATATTTAGTTAAATTAAACACATATGTATTATTTAGACCGACAGGCTCTGAGAGGAAAAGGGAAATTTTTGCATTCTGGTGTGGATCATTGGAGTTGCAAATCCGGCTTATTTTGAATATCTCTCTCAACGGTAGTTTAAATGAATGAACCAATGAAGAAAGGAATATTGCAGCACAATTTGAATTCCTATATGTATCTCACTAAATTTAATAAAATTTCTTTTATGACCAAAATCTCTCCATAATGGTAGTTTCTAAAGAGTTATAGTTGTTTCAAGGTATAGTTGTGTGATAGCATTTTGTTTTTCAGCAAGCGTTTATTGAGAGGACAGGACTATAAACCAGGTAAGTGTTTTAGCTTGTTTTGCTGAACTGTGTTTGAACAACCAGATAAATTACTTTAACCAGGTTTCAAAGTGCTTCTGATTCATTCAGAAGTGACTATTAAGCCACAGTAATCAGCTGTTACTAAACACGTGACAGTTGTATATAGAAAACTACGTACTGACAATGGCACTTACTGAAGTATTAAAAGAGACATTTTCAATGTTAATAAGACATTTAGTATTAAATAGACCATTTAAAATGTGGAAATAGCTTTTTAGATATATTTTCTGGTTGATTTGAAGAGATTGTGGGCCAAGTGCGGTGGCTTATGCCTATAATCCCAGCATTTTGGGAGGCCGAGGTGGGTGGATCACCTGAGGTGAGGTCAGGAGTTCAAGATCAGCCTGGCCAACCTAGCAAAACCCTGCCTCTACTAAAAATACAAAAATTAGCCAGGTATGGTGGCTTGCACCTGTAGTCTCATCTACTTGGGAGGCTGAGGCAGGAGAATTGCTTGAACCTGGGAGGCGGAGGCTGCAATGAGCTGAGATTGTGCCACTGCACTTCAGCCTGAGCGACAGAGTGAGATTCGATTTCAAAAAAAAAAAAAAAAGGGAGAGATTGTGTATATGTGTGTATGTGACAGACCCTAAATTTTCTCCTAACATTTGATTAAGTTGATTTAACTATGCCCTTTTTCAGAAAGGAAGAATCCACTCTCCAGGGTCTTAATGAAGCCTGCCCAGTGCAACATTGCCATCCAGTGTTAGGCATCTCAGCAATGATCTTCTGCAAGGGGATCTAAAAAGCTGGAGGCAGAATTTTGTGGTTTTGTAACAAAATAAAATAATAGGCATCCTTTCTTTGTTTAGTGCTCTTTTTTTGCACATGAAATTTAATAATTTAAATGAATGACTACCTTAGTAGCTAAGGGACAAAGAAACACCACTAATTTCTAATGTTAGCTAGGCACTTCATTGTATACTAGCAACTATGTTGAGTGCTACACCTGCTTTATCTTATTTAAGCATCATAACAAGCTCACTGTTATCTATTTTTTTTCACATAAGAGGATACTCAAGTGTACAATAGTTAAGTGACATATCTAAGGCTGGACAGTTAGTGAGTGGTAGAGCCATGCTTCAAACCCTAGAGAGAGAGCCTAACACTTAATTACTGCTATTATTAGAAACTGATATTCTTGAAATAATTACTAATATATTTGCCCCTTGGTAATTAAAAACAAGAAAACTTCTGTAGTCCTTCTAGCATAAGGGCCAGATTATGAAGGCTTTAGTGCTAAGGAAGGGAAAAGATATCTACATGGAGCAAAGACACTCATGGAGTTGGTAAGAAAGAGGCTATTACATAGGAAAGTTGCTTACAGAAGGAAAGGGAAAGTAAACAGAAAGTCCTGGTGCTGGGAAAAGGGGGGAAGTTGAGAAAGGGAGGAGGGCCAGGTAAGAATTTCCTAGTTCTCCATGTCCTTAGGGTTGAGCATGTGGCAAGTGTGGTTAAACATCCAAACAGGTTTGGGGCTGTCAGAGACTCTCCACGCTGGAGAGATTGCAACAAGTTGAGGGAAGCCATAGGTTTTTTGTGGCACCTTATTGAACATGGTGCCATCCTATGGGCTCGGTTCAGAAGTGATGTTGGAGAGAGGTGTTTCCGTAGATGGGCCTAAACTAGTTCCCCTATTCCCCATGGCCTGAACCATGGTGCAGTGGAGACTCACAGGTACTTGCAGGCTGTGTGTGATTAGAAAGGAACATGGAAACTGAGAGGACTGGTAGGCTAGAAGAAGCCTGCAGTCATGGAAAAAGGAGGTCACAGAGTGAAGGGGCCTTGTACGTGAAGTCATGACTAGAGATCTACAATCTTTTTTTTGGGGGGGGGTTTCTATTATTTTACTTTTTTATGAAGGTAAATTATTTTAATTTTATAAAAGTAAATTATTTTAATTTTAATTTATTATTATTATACTGTAAGTTCTGGGGTATGTGTGCACAACATGTGGTTTGTTACATAGGTATACATGTGCCATGTTGGTTTGCTGCACCCATCAACTCGTCATTTACATTAGGTATTTCTCCTAATGCTATCCCTTCCCCAGCCCCCTACCCCCTGACAGGCCCTGGTGTGGGATGTTCCCCTCCTTGTGTCCATGTGTTCTCATTGTTCAACTCTCACTTATGAGTGGATAGGAGTGGCGAGAGAGGGGATGCTTGTCTTCGGTGCTCTATACATTCAGAGAAACTTCTCTAGTAACAAACTGTAGAAATGATCCCTGAAAGTATAGTCTAGATATCTACAATCTTGTCAATGTCTATCAACATGGTAGCTGTGACAATGACCAAACGAATTGAGGCCGGCAAGGACACAGAATGTGGCACATGGACCAGAGGCTCTTCCCCACATTGTAGTAAGCTTTCCATGGGACTCAGAGGAAGGGAGAATTGGACGGGGAAGTTCCTTAAGAGGAGAGAAACCACTGTTATGAAGAGTATAAATCTGAATTACATTGACTCTTTATCTGAAGACAGTATTTAGAAAGAGATGCTGTTACCCTTCTTTAGCAGAATCAAGTGTTCCTCCTTGATATGGTTTGGCTCTGTGTCCCCACTCAAATCTCATCTCCAACTATGCCCCACGTGTCAAGGGAGGTAGGTGATTGGATCATGGGGGCGGTTTCCCGTATGCTGTTCTCATGATAGTGAGTAGGAGCTCTCATGAGATCTGATGGTTTTATAAGTGGCAGTTTCCCCTGTTCTTCTCTCTTCTGCCATCTTGTGAAGAAGGTGCTTGCTTCCCCTTAGCATTCCCCCATGGTTGTGTTAGTAAGTTTCCTGAGGCCTCCACAGCCATGTGGAACTGTGAGTCAATTAAGCCTCTTTACTTTATAAATTACCCAGTCTCAGGTATTTCTTTATAGCAGTGTGAAAACAGACGAATACACTCCCCAACACCATTTCAACTGTACCTTGATGATCATCAGCAGGACTGTAGTCAGAGCCAGCTGCAGCAAGATGGGGACAATTGTAGAAAATAAAGTTGCATTTAGTGCACTTTGGAATTATTACAAATTCTTATTCTGCCACATCATAATAGTGTTTAACACAAATATTGTAAGTCACTTCTGGCAAGTTGAGCAGTAACCTACCTTTTTTTTTTTTGAGACAGAGTTTCACTCTGTTGCCCATGCTGGAGTGCAATGGCACGATCTCAGCTCATGCAACCTCTGCCTCCTGGATTCAAGTTGTGAGCAACCCATCACACCCAACCTGGTTTTCTTAACGCATTAAAAAAAGATCTGAGAGGCTATAAGTGGATAGGACAATCAGTATTCTTTATGCTATTCTTTTTATTTGTTTATTTCATCTTCAGTGAGCCAAAGGCTTCATTGTTTTTATAATAATAAAGGAGAAAGATCAATAAAAGAAACTTAAGCTTCTTTTTATTTGTTTATTTCATCTTCAGTGAGCCAAAGGCTTCATTGTTTTTATAATAATAAAGGAGAAAGATCAATAAAAGAAACTTAAGCAATGAAAGGAACGATAAGAAAATACAAGGAAAGGATCTGGAGTTTTTAAGAGCCTGAGTGGATTCTATGATTTCTTAATTTCTAATTTATATGCATCCAGCTTCTCCTGTACTATTTGTTCCACAATGTTTTTGAGAACATTTCCATCTTGTAAATTGGTTGAAAATGAGTATTTCTAATCACTGGTTCCCATTTTTATAGCTTTTGTATGTACTATAAATACTATATAATAACCTCTACTACTATATTTATGTGCCATAAGACAAAGTTCTTGCCTAGAAATGATCACTTAGATGGTGAGAATCAGTAAAACTAAGTAAAATAATTGGAAAATGAGGCAATCTGCAATAAAATGTTGAGTTACACATCTTGGATTTTAAGGGAATGATATGTGGTGGTTCATAAAACCATAAACATAGCTTTCCATGTGCTTAGATTATTTATCCACATCAGCATCTCCAACTGTGAGTTCAAAATATACCAATTAACAATAACATTAGTAGCAATGATAACAGTACTATTAGAATAAAAGTATCTTATATTCCACAGTATAAGTGTCTCATTGTTCAGCAACCCTTACAAAAACCATGTGCAGTAAAAATACTTCACTATTATTTATACTTTACACATGAAGAAGCTGGAGCTCAGAAAAGTTTAGCAATATGATCAAGGTCACAAAGCTCCTTAGTGACTTAGATGACTTTTCTATTTAGTGACCTGCCCATGGGAGGTACAGATATCCGAGATCCCCATCTATCTCTAAGAATCAAAGATAAAGAGAATCACCAGTAGCTCCCCTACTCCACTGGGGATTTCCAGTGAAGAGGAAAATGTGGCAAGAAATTTCTGAGTGACACCTGCTCAAAGCTCAAGGAAATTTCTTGCTGAGTTCATTGCTGTGATGCCTGACACTGGATGGCAGTGTTGCACTGGGCAGAATTCACTAAGTGCCTAAGGGTCACGCAGGTCCATTTGTTTTTTGTTTTGTTTTGCTTTTAATTGTATATATTTAAGGTGCACAATTTTTTTTTATATCAGTCCATTTGTTTTTAGAAGTAGGTTACTGTTGGCCGGGTGCTGTGGCTCATGCCTGTAATCCCAGCACTTTGGGAAGCCAAGCCAGGAGGATCGCTTGAGGTCAAGAGTTCGAGACCAGCCTGGCCAACATGGTGAAACCCTGTCTCTAATAAAAATACAAAAATTAGTTGGGCGTGGTGGCACATGCCTGTAATTCCAGCTACTCAGGAGGCTGAGGCACGAGAATCACTTGAACCCGAGAGATGGAGGTTGCAGTGAGCCTAGATTGCGGCACTGCATTCCAGCCTGGGTGATGAAGAAAACCAAACCACACCTATTAGTCTGAAACTTATCAGAATCTATATAACCAGTTTCTTCCTGTGGGCATATAGGTTGTTTCCTGCTGGCATGTTATTGGATATCCAAGTTGATCCCCACTAGCCCCTTTTGTTGGATGTTAGGTTATTTACAACTCATTACTATTGTATTACCTTTAGCTGCTGTAACAGATTACCACAAATTTATTGGCTTAAAGCAACACAAATTTATTCTTTTACAGCTCTGGAGATCAGTTTCTGAAATCAGTTTCATTCGGCTAAAGTCAAGATGTCAGTAAAACTAGTTTCATATGGAGGCTATGAGGGGAGAATCCAACTACGTGCCTTTTCCAGTTTGGAGAGGCTGCCAACATCCCAGACTCTGCTTTCCTCACATTTTCTTCTCTTCTCTGTAGTATCTCTCTCTGTTTCCCTTCTATAAGGACACTTGTGATTTCATCTTCGAGCCCACTTGTATAATCCTGGTTAATCTCCTCATTTTAAAGTCTTTAACTTAATTACATCTGTAGATTTTCTTTTTGCCACAGAATATAACATATTCCCAGGTTTCAGAGATGAAGACATGGACACCTTGAGGGGCCATTATTCAAACTGCAACAACCATTATAAACAGGTCCAATAGGTATGAACAGGTACAACCGATTGGAGGAAAATACTAGAAAAAAAGGAAGGAAAATATTTTCTCCAAATCCTGAACATTTTGTAAAGAGTTATAAAAATGTTTAAAGACACAAGAATAGTTGTAAAACTGCCCAAATTTCTAATACTGCCTAAAATAGGGACTAGTGATATTCATTTCAATCAAGACATTTCAACCAATTTGAAGTCTTGAACGATGTTTTCCATCAAATAAACTAAAGTCCACCATGAAAGAATAAAGGCAGGCAAATCATGTAGGCCATGGGGAGCTGCATATCTCAGGATGTGAGTCTCAGAGAAAGTGAAAAGGGACCTGAGACATGAAGGAAAAGAAGTGAATCAGGGATGGGGCACAAGGGAGAAAGCCCCTGACACAGAGAATGTGCAGTGTATGGGGGTGAGGACAGACCTGGAGATAAAAGAGAGCATCACATATTTAAAGAACCAAAGGCAGGTTTATGGCGGATAGTGTATTTTGTGGTGGCAATGGGAGGGGGTGCTGCCAAAGAGGCAACTGGTTACTTAACTAGGGGCTGGATCAAGATGGACCTTGTAAGACCTATTGTGGGTGGATTTGACCTAAGGCAGTTGAAGAGCCTTTGCAAATGATCTGAGTCTTCTGATACATAAACTTAATATTAAGATGGCAACACTTCCAAAACTTGTGTTGATCAACTTGTGTAGATCAACTTGTGTTGATCTACAGATTCAACACGATCTCTGTCAGACTCCTAAGCTGGCTGAGGATTTCCAGAAATTGACAAGCTGATCCTGAAATGCACATGGAAATGGAAAAGACCTGGAATTGTTTAAACACTTTTGAAAAAGAATAAAATTGGAGGACTTACATTTCCTGATTTCAAAAATCACAACAAAACTACAGTAATGGAGGCAGCACAACACTGGCAAAAGGATAGACATATAGACCAGTGGAATAGAATTGAGATTATAAATCCTTACATTGGAAGTCAATTTATTTTTGTCAGGGATGCCACAATAATTCAATTCAATGTTGAAAATAATAGTTTTTCCAACCAATGGTGCAGAGACAGTTGGTTATTTATCAGAAAAGGAAAAAAAGGGAAAAAAGAAGTTAGGCTTTACCTTATGTCACACACAAAAATTAACTCAAAATAGATCATAATCCTAGATGTGAGAATTACAATTTGAAAACATCTAGAAGAAAGCATATAGCGGCCGGGCGCAGTGGCTCACGCCTGTAATCCCAGCACTTTGGGAGGCCGAGGTGGGCGGATCACGAGGTCAGGAGATCGAGACCATCCTGGGTAACATAGTGAAACCCTGTCTCTACTAAAAAAAAAAAAAACAACAACAACAAAAAAACAAAAATTAGCTGGGTGTGGTGGCACATGCCTGTAATCCCAGCTACTCGGGAGGCTGAGGCAGGAGAATCGCTTGAACCCAGGAGGCGGAGGTTGCAGTGAGCTGAGATTGTGTTACTGCACTCCAGCCTGGCAACAAACCTAGACTCCATCTCAAAAAAAAAAAAAAAAATCAGAAAGCATATAGCTTTCTCGGAGTCATTAGCTGTAAGGGAGGTGCCAATCAAGACCACAATGAGATACCACTTTATAAGCACTAGAAGGGTTATAATAAAACAGGAGAATAACAAGTGGTGGTAAGGATGTAGAGAAATTGGAACCCTCATACGTTACTAATGGGAATGTAAAATAGTGGAGCCACTTTAGGAAACACTTTGGCAGTTTCTCAAAATGTTAAACATAGAGTTACCATGTGACTTACCAATTTTACTCCTGAATGTGGGAGAATATATGTTTATATGAAAATCAAAATGTTGAAAACATATGTTTACACAAATACATGTATAAGAATGTTCATAGCAACATTGTTCATAACAGCCAAAGAGTGAAAACAATCCAAATCTTCATTAACAGATAAATGGATAAATAAAATCTGGTGTATCCATACAATGGAATATTATTTGGCAATAAAAAGAAATCAATAAAAAGGAAGAAGGCACCGATACGTAGTAAAACATGAACAAACTGAAAATGCCATGTTAAATGAGATAAGCCAGTATAATGACCACATATTTTATAATTTCATTTATATAAATGTCCAGAATAGGAAATCTTTACCAACAGAAAAGTAGATTAGTGGTTATCTAGGGCTCGGGGTGGTAGTGGACAGAAAGGGGAATGATTCTCTATTCCAAAATTAGTCCATGGTGATAGTTGCAACTCTTTAAGTATACTAAAACCCATTAAATTGTACTTTTCAATTGGGTAAATTTTATGGTGTATAAATTATATCTCAATAAAGATTTTTTAAAATGAAGTACTAATATATACTACAACATGAATAAACTTTAAACTATTATGCTGTATCAATAAACCAGACACAAAACTCCCATATATTGTGTAATTCCATTTAAATAAAATGTCCAGAATGGACAAAACTACCAAGACAGAAAGTAGAGTAAGTGGTTTCCTAAGGCTTGGAGTGAGGGACGAATGGGACATAATTTTCCTTTTCATGATGATGAAAGTGTTCTAAAATTAGATTGCGGCGATGATTGCATAACTCTGTAAATATACTAAAACAATATTGAATTGCGCATCCTAAATGGGTCTGGTGTGTGGTATGTAAATTATATCTCAATAAACTGTAAAAAATGTAAAAAGTGGTCTGGAGATTGATGTGGTCACTTCCTTTCAGTGTTGGAATAGATTAAAAGGGAAGATTGGAGGCAGGCAGGCATACTTAATTTTTTAAGTGAGAATTACAGCTGGCCAGTTTTCTTTATTTCAAATTTTTTAAACAATAGATGTTTATTCTCTACAAGGCTGTGATTATAACAGTTTTCCAGCTTTAGTCAATTGCTTACCATCTTCACTATTTTTGTTGCAGCCGCAGCACACTATAGCTCTGTAACATGTGATGCTTCCAAGGAGAAAGAGGATGCTGTAGGTTCTGTATGGTAAGAGTTGCTGTTTTTGAGTCAGCTGATATTGAGGTAGGAGATTAATCAGGCTGTCAAATTGTTTT
Source organism: Homo sapiens (assembly GCF_000001405.40). NCBI lineage: Eukaryota > Metazoa > Chordata > Mammalia > Primates > Hominidae > Homo > Homo sapiens. Next base: position 156,015,143 of record NC_000003.12, read on the forward strand.
CCTGAAAATAGATGCAGCAGACGAGGTAGTAACCTGTGGCTTTCTCAATTCAGCAAGGTAGCTGTTTAAAGATTTTTATGCCTGCAGTGTCTGAGTGTCTTTCTCCTTTGCTATAATTGAGGGCTTTCTCTGTTTAGACACACAGGGGCTCTTCTGTAACAAGTGACTAGTACTGATGTGTTAAAAAATCCAAAAGCCTACTTTTTACACACCCCGAGGCCTCTCATGAATAACTTGAATATCATAATAACAACGCACTTATGAAAGTTGATTTATTTTTAGTCTTTTTTTCTTCTCGCAATAAAGATACAGGCAAGCCATAATGTCATAATGTCACAAAATTCATATTATAGGTAAACATTTTTTAACTGTTGGAGACATACATCTAAAAAACCACAGTTGACTCTTGAACAACATGGGGGTTGGGGTGTTGACCCCCTCCCCTGTGCAGTTGGGAATTTGTGTATAACTTTTGACTCCCCCAAAACTTAACTACTAATAGCCTACTGTTGACTGGAAGCCTAACCGATAACATGAACACTCAATGAACACATATTTAGTATACATATTAGATAGTGTATTCTTACAATAAAGTAAGCTAGAGAAAAGAAAATGTTACTAAGAAAATCATAAGGAAGAAAAAATATGTTTACTATGTATTAAGTTGAAGTGAATCATTATAAAGGTCTTCATCCTTGTCATTGTCACACTGAGTAGGCTGAGGAGGAGGAGGAAGAGGAGGTCTTGCTGTCTTGGGGTGACAGAGGCAGAAGAAAATCCACGTGAAAGTGGATCCATGCAGTTCAAACCCATGTTGTTTAAGGGTCAGCTGTAATATACATTTTGCCAAGTAAAAACAGCAATTTAAATACATGTAACTAGGTGTTATGTTCATTTCTTGACTGGGTAGGATGGCTCTGCATAGGAAATAAAACAAAGTAGACTAGTGTGTTTGTTCATCTGCTGGTATGGCATGAGCATTACCTAGGATTCCAAGTAACATAGAGAAATATAAAAGTCAAATGACATCTGACAAACTGTGCCTGACCAAATGACTGTGACCCAGCTGTAGGTGCACTGGGATGGCTGTAATGCCCCAGTTTCTCAGAAGCACTCAGCAGTGTCTATCTGCAGTAGATTTGGGGCTTGAGCTTTTCCTGGAAACCGTATAACAGCCTTTAAATATTCTTAGCCTTCGTTAATAATATGGATCCAGAGTCTTTAGGAGCTCAGGTGTTTTCTTTTGCTTGAAGGTGAAGACAAGTCTGGACAGAATGTGTTATTGTTCCTGGAAGGAAGCCTAACTTTCACCAGGGTCCTTGGAGAGCCACAAGGATCAAACATGTCTGGGGGAGTGAGGTGAAAACATACAGCTCGTAGTCTCAGGCCTAGTCTTGGAGTGGACACATGGGATTAAACGCCCATGGCCTTTTGCACCGACATTCACCTGGTGTTTTTTGCCTTGATCAGGGGTCCTTGAAGTCAGAGTCATGTGAAAATGGTAATTAGGTTCAAAGTATTATTGAGAAAACCATTTCACCTTGACAGTCAATGAAACAATTTGCTGCTGCTTGCTCTGGCAGCACACTATTAAGCTATCATTGAATCTGAGCCCTGGAATTGCTCACTCAGAACCATAACATTGCTGACTCTGTTAGGACCCTTAAGAAAAAAAGCTGTTTAGTCTGAAGCTCCCTACTTGGTGATGAGGGGCCCGAGGTCCAAGAGATGGAGAGAGGATCACACAGTGAAAAGGCCACACCTCTAATTCCTGCTCTTGGACTTGGCCATGTCCTTTCTGTCTACCCCTAGGCCTCTGAAAGGATATGAGCTTTGGTGTCTGCACTTTAACATATGCTGCATCTGTGAGCTCATGATTCTTCATTTGTAAAGTGAACAAAACAAAACCAGCCACAGAGTGTGACGAGGTGTGAATTATCCATCACCGTGCATGCAATAAAGACCTTCTGCCTAAGAGCATGCGTGTTATTTTTCCTATGCTTTGTCTCATCTCTGATGAGTCCTACTACATTTGGAAGATGTAATCACCATGGCCCTGGTAAAATATACTATCATCCCGGGAATTACAAAAGCACTGGACACCAGATGCTGCTGCCCAAATCAGAAACCTCATCAACACTGAATTTAGTTCCTGACCTACAGGAATAATAAAGTATGTGAAAACAATTTGTAAAATGTAAAATGCAGTAAAAATGCTAGCTTTTTGTTCTTATTAATATAACATAAAATCATCTATTTTAATGATTTTTTTATAGGCCTGAGCACAGTTTTTCTTTTTTTACTAGAGGATTAAGACAAATCAGCTTTGGTGATAAACATGCCTTTGTGCAAGGGTAGCCCTTGACAACAAGAGAGAATTGCTCAGAAACAGCTGCCTTCTGGTAAGAAAGAGAGATCACAAATGAGGGAGGAATAGTTCCAAATAGGTCTGAGAAAAGCCATGGACTAAACCCTTACAGCTCAAGAGAGGGATTCTCAGGCTGTTAAGGAGGTGTAGTCTATCACCCAGAGTGTCCTTTTATTTGGATGTAACCAAATTCTGAAGAGGTTCCTCTGGGAATCAGTCTTTCCTTTAAGACTTGTCAGCATCATTTTGAAAGCCTGAGGGTGGAACCTGTGGAGCATCCACACTTTAGAAAACTGAGACTTGTGAGACATTTGACAGACTGTGATGTCACTCAGTCAGGGCCCAGGGCTATGTCATCTGCTAGCTCACTTGTGAAGGCAGATGGCTATGGGAAGACTGAAGCATGGGCCTAGGATTTCACCAGCAAGTAGTAATGGGAGACCCTTTTTTGGGATTTCCCAGGTCAGGTGGAGATTACACTTAGACAACAAATAGGAAATCCTTCAGTGAGGATAAGGTGAAGGAGATGACCTTCCTGTGGAAGGGGAGGTGGGTCCCAGCTGACTGGTAATGTTAATAATATCAGCGTGGTGAATATGTGGGGAGTATAATTGTGTTGTAGAACAGATGGGGAATGTAGAAAAGTGTAAAGATGAAAAATTAAAATCACATAATATAGCACTGAAAAGCACTGCATGACTGTCATTTTGAACTGGAAACGAACACAGAAACATGAAAATGATTGGTTTGTTAAGGCAGTGGGAAAGGTAATTTTTTTCCTTTCTTTTGACATCTGGTTTGCAATGGTTTCTTTTAGTTCTTTTAATGGAAACATATAGGTGAAAGACAGCTATAAAATATTGCTAAATTTTAGAAATGTAGAATGCCATTTTGTTTGTTGCTTTTAAAATTGGTTATCCTCACTTAAAGCATATTGTGAACTTTTCCCTAATGCATAAACATTTGTCCAAAATATGATTTAAATGGCTCCTTTGCATTACATCACGTGAATAAATCATAATTGATTTAAAAATTCCCCATTGTGTACATTTAGTTTGCTGCCTTTTTACTATTATAAATCAAACTGTAGTCGATATCCTTATACATCATGTTTGTGTGGATCTTAATTGCTTCCTTGAGATAAATACTTTGAAGTAAAATCACATGATCAAAGGGTATACAGATTTTTCATATATTGGTGGATTGTGTTCTGAAAATATTTCTGTGAATTTATACTCTGAGGGGAAATGTTTGAGAGGCGCAAAGAGCAAGACGAGGGACCAGGAATCCATGGTGAGTTGACCTGGAGAAAGACTGGGGGACACCTCTAGGAGAGGCCTGGCAAGAAAGGGAGGAGAAGGAGCTCTCAGGAAGAAACCCAGGGACATAAGCCTCACCAGTGACAAACACAGCAATGTGAGCTGAGGGCAACACTTCGCCTTAAAGTGTAGATTAAAGAAAATGATGCATACAAAAAATGTTCATTGACCTCTTACGGGCTTTACAAAAGTTTCTAAGGTAGTTTATTATCCCCTAGTCACAGAGGCAGGAAGGGAGGCACAGAAATTAAGTAAGTTTCCTACCACCACGCTAATGAAAGTGGCAGAACACAGACAAAAAATGATGTATGCCATTCCAAATCTCATGGTTTTCCACTCAACTTTTTCTATACTCTGAAGGAGAGAGGTTGGCCTGATGTCACCTTTTTTATACTCTGTGATGAAGCAGGATGCCCTTCCTCACCTTTGGGGCAAGAGAAGCTCCCACAAGAGAGGCCGAAGTGAGAATGATTGAAGCTGACATATGTTAAACAAGAAAGGAACAATTTCTAGAAAATGAAATGACTCTTTTAAATGCAAAACCCACTATTATATTATTATATATTATTTCTAGGTATAAAAGAGGCTTTTATGAGTCTCTTTTCAAAAGGATTGCTTAGCTCCTAGTCCAGATCCATAAATTGCAAGCGAGTGCGAGGTTCTCTGACTGATTGAGACATGACAATTATATAGCAAATAGCAGCAAGCGGAGTCCCCTGGGATGAGGCACAGTCACTGTAAAGCTCTATCAAGGTGCCTCATTAAAACTTGTATAATTTCAACACTGGTCACTTCCCCCAAACTCACCTTATTAAAATGGTCGCCAGAGGAAATGCTTGGTTCTAGAATTTCTTGCATTTTTATGGGCTGAATTGGGCTCTGAAGCCAAAGAAGAGAAAGAAGAAGAACGGACCTGCCGGTTGCTGGGCAAGTGTGTAGATGCCGAAAACCATTCCCTTGTTATTGGAGGACTGTTTCCTATTGACTCCAGGACCATCCCAGCAAATGAGTCTATTTTGGAGCCAGCATCAGCAAAATGTGAAGGGTAAGCCATTCTTTTAGCTTTCTTTTTACATCAGTTGCAGGTGGTGGGTGTAGGGGGTTAGAGTCTGGAACTGGCACCCGTGATACTAGCCTGGACCCCGACCCTATCTCTTTGATGCAGGATAGGTACTTCCTGTTACTAGGCCTCAGTTTCCCTTAGGTGGACATTCTAGGATTATTTAGAAACTGGAAAAGCTTGGTCTCAAGTGGGTCATTTTCCACTTCTGTATCTGAGACAGAAAAAAAAGTGGATTTTATATGATGCAGAACATTGCTCCTCAGAGGGTGGTCTGTGGGCCAGCAGCATCAGTTTCACCCAAGACTGTTAGAAATGTAAAATCTCAGGCTACATTCCCAGACCTGTTGAATCAGGATCTGCATTTGAACAAGACCTCCTGGTGATTCATGTACACATTAAGATCTGAGAAGCCCTAATGCAGAGTTGCAGTGTTGCAGGTTTATTATTCATTGTTATAGACTAAACTCTCATCAAGTGAAAATACACAGTGTGGGAACACTAACTTATTTCTGAGCTACTGTTAATGGCAAGATTCTTTCAGCTGCTGTGAGGGTTCTGCCCTGCACTCCCCTAACTCCAAGTTGTCATGTAAAGAAATGGGATCCATGACTGATAATCAGAATTTGCTAGTAATCCATTATAATAAAGGCAAACATGTGTTAGATCACCCCCCAACTTCAGCTATAAAAAGAACACTAGAAATTAAAAATAAAACATTTATCCACCATTCTATGCGCATAACAAAGCAGATCTTTTCATTTTCCTATATGCTTTCTTAGCCCTTTATAAAAATGCATCCATAATTTGTGCATAGTTGTGACCACAGCACAGACACAATTTTATATTTAGCATTTTATATTGTGTAGGAAGCATTTCTATGATGCTGCGTGGCTATTAAAATTGTAAATGCATATTGTAAAAAAATTTAAATAATTTCTTACACATTAAATCTTTGCTAATTACAGCTACTGTCCTTTGATTATATTTTATGCCCCATATTTGAGATACCATTAGTGGATGGAACAACCATAATGTTGTTGGCAGAAAGGATTGTAATCAGTCTCTACTTATCTTTTTCCTAGATCTTTTAATTCTTTTCTTACTGTGAAGCAAAAAGAAGAAAGATAAGAAAGGCTTTTGTTTACAGCTACATTATGGTAGACTCAGTTCATTATTTATCATAGTTTTTCTCTTCTTCAATCCTTAATAACATAAAATGAAAACGTAAAGTTTGGCAAAATATATGCCCTAATATTTCATAAACAGAATCATTTAATTTGTTGTCTGTTCTGCATTGGAACTTCTGAAGGTTATTTTCCTAGAAGGTTAAATGGAAAAGCCAATATACATGTTTTAAAATTAAACTCCACTCCTCCTCATTAAAAATAATTTGACATATACATTGTGGTTGCAATAGTGATGAGAAGTAACTACATCCCATTTTGAAAATAATTCACTTATCAGGAATATTTTGGGATTTGCATAATCAATACCATCAGGATTTGAGTGGCTACTGCTTGGCTTTACAATATGCATTTTATATATGTGTACATGAAAGAAAATACAATGTGCTTTTAATAAGTTAATAAGTGATATAAGACAAACCTACCCAATACAGGTATGTAAAACAAATAGTAGTTGCAGGAGTTAGGAACTGTGAAAACAGGCAAAGTACCAAATTTCTAAGCTGTGACTTCTTGTTTATTGTCAGGAAGAAGTGGAGAGTAAGATACAAGAGAGCACTAAGAGCACCACAGCCTTTAAGTTGGCTTTTAGTCCTAAAAATTCTACAGTTTATTGGCAAGTGACAGGGGCAGACAGTGACTATTAGTTATTCACCCAAAAGGATGAGTTATTTTTCAGTTGGTCCTTCTTGCTATAAGGGAATGGAAATGTGGGGAAGGTAGACAGAGAGGGGAGGACAGGACATTTTTGAAGAGAATTTAGGGAGAGAGCTTGCCTGATGAACTACCATAGTGGAAGATCAGAAGAGTCAGAGAATAGTACAAGAGGCAGAGGCATTTGGAATGACAAACAAGAAAGTGGTAAGTGCTAAGAGTTGAGAAAGAGAAAGATAAAAATGTATTGTATGGAAACAATAAGATTTACCTTCTTCAGAAAGTTGTAAGGAGTTGGCTCTGTTTTCTCTCATATTTTGAGAGATCACATATAAAGTTTTTCTCTTGAAAATATAACAAGTAAGAAAATGGAAGAAAGCCAGTTTGTCCCATAGGATGGAGGCCAGGAATGGGTACAGCTTCAATATTCACCCAGAAGGGGATATCTGGGAGCAGGAAACAGAAAAGGTCGACACTGAGGCCAGAGAGTCAGCAGGGCCTGTGGAGATGAGGGCCTGAGCTCAGAACCTGCCTCAGAGAGGTATCAGTAAGCTGATTTTAACCTCTTCATAAAATTGTGAGAAAATAAGCAATAGCATTTATTCACTTCATGTATTTGTTATTTGATTTTCTTGACACTCTGGACATTAAGAAAATTTAAAAAAAAATTGGATCTGGGCCTGTTTTTCTGGGATGAAGCTCTTGGGAAGAGAATGTTTCTTCAGTGCTAACTCATTCTTAGGTACAGAAGACATCCCATTTAATCTTAAAAACAGCTGGTTGTAGGGACATGGATGAAGCTGGAAACCATCATTCTCAGCAAACTATCGCAAGGACAAAAAACCAAACACCGCATGTTCTCACTCATAGGTGGGAATTGAACAATGAGAACACTTGGACACAGGAAGGGGAACATCACACACCGGGGCCTGTTTTGGGGTCGGGGAAGGGGGGAGGGATAGCATTAGGAGATATATCTAATGCAAATGATGAGTTAATGGGTGCAGCACACCAACATGGCACATGTATACATCTGTAACAAATCTGCATGTTGTGCACATGTACCCTAGAACTTAAAGTATAATAAAAAAAGTATATATATATATATATATATATATATAAACAGCTGGTTGAAGATGTTATGTCCACATTTCAGATGAGGAAACTAAGGCTCAAGAAAGTTAAATGGCTTACACAGGTCACATGGAAAGCATAGGGCAGAGTTGTGGGTTTATTTCAGGCTCTCAGAATCAGCCAAGTGTTTTGCATGTCCACCTTAAGAATATTTTCCAAATGGATAAATGCTCCTTGAAAAAAGGATTCTGGGTTCGGATAAAATTGGGTAACTACCAAGACATCATAAAACATTTAGGATACGACAAGCATTGTGAATGTCTAAGAAAGGGCTAAGCATGCAGCACTTTCCAAATTTATTTGATATCATAACTCTTCATTTGGGGAACTCTGCACTGCCTCACATTGCCTCACGTGTAGAAAGTTGGTTTAGTTGGTGCATGTGCAAGTGCAATGAGCTGTACAGAGGAGGTAGGTAGTAGAAGCAGTAAAGCAAGTTGTCTCTACAATAGACAGGAGTTCTGGGGTATATCAGAGCTCTTTGGGACACAAAGAGCACCTGCCATCAGGATTCCATCACAATAGAAGAGAAGGAGTGGAAGATGAGTTAGTGGTTGGGGTCTGCAGGGCAGATTTCACAAAAGGATGAACTAAGCTGAGTGGTCTCCCATTTCTAAAATTTCTATTTCTTTCCATTTCTAAAATAGCTTCTATTTCTTTGCTGAGACTTGTATTTTTACATTTGCTTTAAGAGGGTTTTCCCTTACCTTATGGAACAGTGTTGTAATAGCTGCTTCAAAATCTACGTCTGATCATTTGGCAGCCCAGTCATCTCAGGGTTGGTGTCTACTGATTGCCTCTTCTCTTAAAAGTGGTTGCATGTGGTCCGGGCAATCTAAAAAGCCAGTTCCTGGTTCTCAATGTGGATCCGTTTTGCAAGGGTGCAAGGCATTGTGTGTATTCTGCTTGTCTCCAAGCTTGATTTGTCTGAAACCCAAATTGCTCATCTTTGTGTTATAAGACTCAAATGTTCTTCAGCATTTTAATGAATCCATCCTAAATATATGTTATGAATATCAGAAACATTTCATGTCTTAAAAGTTTTTGATATAGTTCTTCAAAATTAGAGCCTATATAATTCATTTTCACGTATAGGAGTCAACTGTTTCCTCCCATCTCTACCTCAGTGTTTTCTGAGCCTCTCTACTCCTCCACGAGACGCAACTTCTCCAGTGGGAGAGTTCTCACAGGAGGCCTGGCCTACAAGGTACTTAGCAGCCAGGCTGAGCCTAAGCTGGATAATTTGACTTTGGCATTGTTAACCTTCACCTATAACTGATATAGAAATTCAAGTTGGAGTTTGGAGAAATTTCATTCTGAAACCCACAATTTTAACAATAGGCTAATTTTGGCCAGCCATCAGTTAAAGTATGGCCAGACTTTAACTATGACTTTAACTGATCTTAAATATGGCCAGAGAGGAAGATTTGCTATTATTTGGAAAACGTTGCTTAGAAAAGAGAAAGGCAGCAAAATGGAAGGAGGAAGGGAGTATTTTAATTTTGTTTTCATTAATCTAAACAAAGGTAGGACATAGAGAAATTTCCTGAGGAAAAAATGTATGCATTGTATAATAATACTGTGAATATCATAATGGAAATCAATGAATCGAAGAAAAATCACCCCAAATTCCACCTTTCCAGTAATTATCTTGTGCTCATTTAAAAAAATTTCCCTGTTAATCCTTATCCAAATGTTAGTATAATTTATACATGTAGTTTTAATTATAGTATGGAAACAACTTTGCATACTGCACGTTTCACAATATTATACGTATACTGCCATGTAATTTCTCTAATAGTTTTAAAATAATGAAAAACGTTTCCATCATGTAAGTTCTTTCCAGTTTTTCAATATTATAAATAATTCTGTAATGAACAATTGGGGCATATTGCTTTTTCCTTTGGGAAAAACAGTTTGTTCAAATAAATTTTCATGGATGGAGGAATTACAGCCAGTGCATATTTTTCTAGTTCTTGAAATGTATTGCTATTCTAGTTTAAAAATGATATTGCTATATTTATTTCAAAAATGTATATTGCCATTAGTGTAAATTTGGAAACTAAGTATCTTAGGATGATAAAGCCCTTCATGTTCTGGCACCTTCTGGTTTTCCAGTTTCCCCTTTCATTGTGCCACAGCCACTCCCACCCTGTCTCTTCCAAACATACTGGTCTTTGCATTCCTTGAATGTGACATGTTCTCTTGTTGTAACGCCGTCGGGCATGCTGTTTGCAGCACTCTTCCCCTGTTCTTCTGTCGTCCTTTAAGCCTCAGCTTGGCTGTTAATTCCTTCAGAGCTGGGTGCCCCTTCTTTGTATTTCATAGCTCCCAGGCTTAACCCATCACTGTTTTTATCATTTTGTGCTGAAACTGCTTGGCTACTTTTCTATTTCTTTGCTTAGACAATGCTGTGTTTATCTTGTTCCCGACTGTATTTACAGTGTCTATCACCAGAGGAACTCAATAACTACATATTAAATGAAAAACGAAACAAAACTAAAAACCCAATTAAAGAAACATGGAGAAAAATTCCACCCTGCCAACAGGGCTATTTGCTATCACATATTAAATTTAAAAAGTACTTATTGAATAGAAGACATAGAGTTAGATACTATAGCCACAGAAGATTGTAAGGAAAGAAGGTCTTGGGGAAATTGCTCTCAAATAGGTTAAGATTTGGTTAACACTGGGAAGATAGAGTTTGCAATTAAATGTTAAATGTTTTTCTTAATGGAGAAGGAATTAAAAAGTAAATGTGGTGATGGACTGCAAGAGAAATACATTCCCCTTTTAGTGGCTAGGAAATGGAAAGGGGGAGGTATTTTATTTATGGTTATATCTAGGAGTGGTAGGAAAAAGACATCTTCAATTAAAAACCTCTTAACGTTAACAATGAAATTACGGATAGAAAAATTATTGTAATTGGAGTCATAGTATATATAAATTTTATGTACTGCTTTTAGGTGCTCCTAGCATAAGTATTTCCTTGTATTTACATAACTTTTATAATTATAATTAATGTCCAGAAAAAAGCAAAAGAAGGTAAGTAGGAGAGAGAGGAGACTCATACGACACCAGGGACTTCCAATTAATGGGGAAAATGTATTGAGGGATTATTGGAGGCCCTGTTTGGTGGATAGAATTATGAATATAAGAATATTTTTGTGAAAAGATATAGGAGTTTAAAGAGATTATAGCATATGAAAGATATACAGAGTGAGAAAACATCCAAAAATTGTACTTTTCAGCCCAAATCAATCAACAATGAATATGATTCATACTTGAATCTTTCAAGTTTGTAATATCATTTAAGAAAAACTAACATACTCAGAAAAGTGAGGTGCCCGCTGATGTTCTGGCAAAATGCTTTAAAAGCTGCTTTTCCCCTCAAAGATCCACCTAATCACCTACAAAGTCTATTTCTTTTTCAGGTTTAACTTTCAGAGATTCCGCTGGATGAAAGCCATGATCCACATGATCAAGGAGATTAATAAGAGGAAGGATATTTTGCCCAACATCACTCTGGGCTATCAGATCTTTGATACCTGTTTTACCATCTCCAAATCAGTGGAAGCAGTCTTGGTATTTCTTACAGGGCAGGAAGAAAACAGGCCCAATTTTAGAAACAGCACTGGAGCATTTCCGGCAGGAATTGTTGGAGCAGGTGGATCATTCTTATCAGTTCCTGCTTCAAGAATTCTAGGGTTATATTATTTGCCTCAGGTATCTCCGATTATTGTGCTGGGTACTAACTTAAAAAACAACAACAACACAAACCATGCTTGTGGAAACTGCAGCAGATAGCAAGGTGCTCAGGTGAGGTTGAGTTAAGTTGCAGAGACAAACAGGGATGGTGGTGATGCTGCTGTCCCTAATTACTATGTTCAGTCAGGCCTTAGCAAGTGTGAATTGATGTCTACTTAGAGGCGACTTGAGACTCTTCTACGTCCCTTGGCATGCTACTTTAATTTTTGGCTTGAGATTGTGACCCAGTGATTTGTTTTTTGACAACTCACTAGTCATAATACTCTATAGCACTGTGTGGAGCACAGTGTAGGTGATCAATAAATATGTGTTGGTTGGTCAATTGATGGTATAAGAAACTCACTTTGTTTCTTGCCTATATTAATGCTTATTATTCATGACCGTTTTGATTCATGCACTAACATGCTGAAGCGGGCCTGGGAATTATGCAAGATGGCTAGGGTTTTGAGGATGCTAACTTTACAGGTTATTTTAAATTCGGAGACAATGACACATTTCAACATAAGAAGAGATTATTTTAGGAAAAATTGATTATTAAGGAAATATAAATATAGCTCTATCATTGTTTCTAAGGATGGATCATTATAGTATCAGTTGTCATGACTTATTAATGTGAATGATGATAAGCTTATTTGTGTTGCTGAAGTAATGAAAATTTGAAATAATTGTATAAAGTAGCATTTCCAGAGTATTTCTTATAAAACTGCATATACGGATGTAGAGGGAAGAGGAAAGTACTGAGAAAAAGAACCAAGAAGAGAGGTTGGGTGACACAACTGACACCTTAGGTGTGGGCTTCGTGCAGCTCAAACTGCTGCTGCTGTGAGCTCTGTCTTCCAGGTACTGGCTGGAAACCTCTAGATAGATTTTCTCATTAAACGCTTGTAGTAAATATCCAACAAAGGTAAAAGAAATCTGTATGATGAACATTTTCACATTTGTTATCTCATTGAATACATTGAGCAATCTTAAAATGTAGATTTCATTACCCTGATTTCACTTATAGGGAATCTGAAGTTCAGAAGGTTTAAGTAACTTCTCTAAGATCTCACAGTGATAAAATATATATCCAGAATTAGATATCAGGTGTCTCTGCTTCTTAAATAAGATTATTTCCTACATAGGGCTTCCAATGTTGCTGCTTGCATGGTTCCAAAGAAGAATGTAAACTTTAGCCTTTGGAGTGAAAATAGGACATGGGGTAGAAGAAACAGGAAACAAGAATATTCTGGCACTCATGAAGAAATTGACAATCTTGAGCTATGGAATTATAATATGGGCGATCCTATTGAAGGTGGTGTGTTAATGTTATATCATGAGATGGGAATGTGATGGGATAGGGAAAAATGTGTCCATATGTTCTTAACTGTAGGGTCATTGAGGTTGAGGGTAAGCTACAGTGGAAATGCATATAAAGTGGTGAGGAATTCATGATCATTTGACCTCTATTCTTAAATTCCCACTATTGGAAAATACATACAGAGATCACTGGCAAAATGGGAAAAAGTGTCTCTTCATTTATCTAGACAAATGCCTATAAAATTAGGGCTTCCATCTCTGTTGGATGACAGGGCTTAGATGCGAGGCTAAAGTGGTGCTTTCTACCACCTTTCTCAAGTTAAGTCTTGGGATCTACATACTCATAAGTTTTTCTCCTGGCAGAGAAAAACAAGGAAAGAAAAGTGGTGATAGGAGGGAGGGAAGGGAGGTGGAAGACGAGGGGTGGGGGGAGAGAGAGAGAGAGAGAGAGATAAGAATTGGGCTTGCCAAATGGATTGTGGGTCTACTCACTCCATCATCCATGTGGATGAGAAGTAAAATCTAAGGAAGAGCCTGGATGGCTTGATTCACTCCCCTTGTCTGTGGGGTGCATAGAGAAAAAAGCAAATGGCCTCCTTTTCACTGCTGTGATCCCACTTGTGAAAAGTAGGGCATTGAATGTTGTATTAATAATCAGCTCCTCCGATTTCCTTGGGGTATGAGGAAGTGGATTTGAAAGAGTCCATAGGGAGGCCCAAAGTGTTCCCTCCAACACTCTACCCTCCCATCCACTGAGCAAGGAAAGGACCAGAAATCCTTTTGTCTAAAGAAAGATGTGAAAATAAAGGGAGAAGAACTGTTAAGTTCCCTCCCTCCCCAATAAAAATATTCTGAAAATGTGTAATTTGAGATTTGGCTATTGCTTTCTAATAGCTGCATGAATATTTTCAATAGTAGGTGGGCTATACCTCTACCTGCGTGATTCTTAGTGACAAATACCAGTTTCCATCTTATCTTCGTGTAATAGCCAGCGATAAGATCCAGTCGAAGGCTGTGGTAAAACGTATCCAACACTTTCACTTTCTCACTCTGTCGCCCAGGCTGGAGTGCAGTGGCGCCATCCTGGCTCATGGCAACCTCTGCCTCCCAGGTTCAAACAATCCTCCTACCTCAGCCTCCTGAGTAGCTGGGATTACAGGTGTGTGCCACCATGCCAGACTAATTTTTGTATTTTTAGTAGAGACAGGGTTTTGCCATGTTGCCCAGGCTGGTCTCGAATTCCTGGCCTCAAATTATCTGACTGCTTCGGCCTCCCAAAGTGCTGGGATTACAGGTGTGAGCCACTGTGCCTGGCCCAGTACTATAGAGCTTTGGATAATCCAGTTCCATATTTACTTCCGGATGAACTGTAGAGTTACAGTAAATCGATAGGGTAGTGAAAAAGAATTGGCAATTTCATCTTCCATGTGACTCTCAGAATGGAAGAACCAGGAAAAGTGAGAGAGATGAAAGTGACGTCAGCATAGCCAGAGAATGCTTTTTGTTTGCTGACACAGGACTTTCTTTTGGAGGAAAGGGTGTCTTTTTTCATCCTGTTTATTTTTCACGTATCTTCCCTCTTGAGCTCAGATCTGAGATCCCCAAACAGTCTTCCAAATCATGCTGGGAAAGCATCTAAAAATAAGTGAAAAAAAGCCTCAAGATTTCTGAGTTCCTATGCTGTACCAGACACCTATGAGATCTTTGTCTGTCAGACTATTCCTCTCTGCTTTCTATGTGTAGCAATAAACATCTATAGACTTATACATGCTCACAAAAGAATATAGATATGCACACATACACAGTAGTTTATTGGTCTATCTTTAAGCAGCATTTGAATATATTTTGGGTAGATGTAAAAATAGCCACTTGTCAGTGTTTACCACTGTAGGGGCCAGAGCTCTCTGCAGCATTTTATGCCTTTGATCTAGAACCTGCTCTGCCCAATACAGTAGTGCTTAACCACAGATAGGTTGTTTTTTGTTTGTTTGTTTTTGTTTTTTTTAGACGGAGTCTCGCTCTGTTGCCATGCTGGAGTATAGTGGTGAGATCTCGGCTCACTGCCACCTCTGCCTCCTGGGTTCAAGCAATTCTCCTGCCTCAGCCCCCCTAGTAGCTGGGACTACAGGCGCACACCACCACGCTCAGCTAATTTTTGTATTTTTAGTAGAGACGGGTTTTCACCATGTTAGCCAGGATGGTCTTGATCTCTCAATCTCGTGATCCACCCGCCTCGGCCTCCCAAAGTGCTGGGATTACAGGTGTGAACCACCACGCCCGGCCACAGACAGCTTTAAAATGCAAATTAATTAAAATAAAATAAAAGGAAAATTCAGCTCTTAGTCACATTAACTACATTTCAAGTGTTCAATATCCACATGTAGCTAGGAGCTACCATATAGAACAACAGAGATATGTAACACTTCTGTCATTGCAGAAAGGACAGAGCTGCCCTAAGTCTAGGCTATAAGCCATCTTATGTGGCCCAGAGCTCTCTCAGAATGGTGAGCTACTTGATGAATGGGCTTGAGACTTCACTTTTGTATTCTTTTTGGTAGGTATATAGTAGGTCCCCAATATACCGTTTTACATGAAAAGGAAGATGTTATTCTTTGCATATACATGGTTCAAAGAATGCTTGCTCTACTGAAAATTGACAGAAAAATAGTAAAATCTAATAGTAGATTTTTCTTTTAATAATCTTCATTAGGGTATAGTAATTTATTTTTCTTATCTTTTACTATAAAATTGGGATTGTTTGTATAATGAAATTGCTTCAAATGTAATTCAATACAAATTTACTAAGCATCTACTATAAATCCAACTCTGGGTTAAACATTGCAAAAATAAGGCCACTGCCCCTAATTAACTGAGCAAATATTTGTTGAGAACAGTAGCATATGTGCATAGGAACTGCGGATACGTCAGTGTGCAAAACAGAACAAATCCCAGCCTAATGGGATTAACATTTCAATGGAAGGAAGTAGGCAACAAACAAGACAAATAGAGACATTATACTGTATCTTAAAGGATGTTAATGTCAGGGAGAAACAAATAGCAGGACTGAGATAGGGAGTGCTGTGGGAGTGTTGCACTGAAATTCCATATAGCGTAGTCAGGGAAGGCCTCGCTAGAGTGACATTTGAACAGAAATTCAAATGAAAGTGTGTTCATGCATTATCTAGGGGAAGAATATTTCCAGCACAGGGAACAGCACCTTCTAAACCCTGAGGCGCGTGTGGCTGGCACTTTGGAGGAACAGAAAAGAAGTCAATGTGGCTGGAAAGAGTGAAAGAGAGGGAGAGCAGGAAAGGAGGTGAGAGAGGTTAGAGAGGGACAGATCATGCAGGGCCCTGTTGGCTTTTGAAGGACTTTGGTTTTCACACTGAGTGAGAAGGGAAACCCTGAAAATCTTGACAGAGGAGGGCCATGATCTGACTCAGGTATCATTGTTTGCCATACTGCAAATCAGTGGAAGGAGTGGGGTGGAGGGGCAAGAACAGAACCAAGGAGACTGTTAAAAGACCATAAAATCATCCAAAATAATGAAGGTAGCTTGGCCCAGGATAGATGTGATGGAGGTGGCAAAAAGTCATTAGATTCTGGATATCTTATGGATATCTTATAGGTAGAAGACATCAAATCTGCTGACGGATTGGACCTGGAAGTGTTACATGAAACAATTAGAGGACAATACAAATAATGATTTAAGTCATAATGGTAAACTGAGTCTGGTGGTTGGTGAGAAGGTGGACTTGAGTGGAAGAGAGGGTCCATACAGGCAAGTAATATCAGGTTGGAGATGATGGATAGGAATGGTGGTGTTGATGACAGAAATGAGGAATAGGGTTTATGGGATAGTTTTGTACGTGTTGAACTTGAGGTGATGGTGGAATCTTAATGTAGGAACATATGGGAAGTTTAGAATATGGAATTAAATAGAGATCAGGTGGGAAAGGTTGGTGTTAGAGATCAAAATTTGGGAGTACTTCTATAGAGATACTGGTTGAAGACAAGAGAATGAAGGACCTGCTTTACAGTAAGAGAGAAAACCAGAGGACCAAGGACCAAACCCAGGACCCAAGGGAAGCCAAGGTAGCTTGCGTTTCAAAGAGGGGCTGATCAAAAGTGTCAAGTATTGAAGAAAGCTGAAGGAAAATGTGGCCAGAGGAAAATCTCTCAGACATGGCAAGAAGAGTTTTAGTGAGGTGAGTGAGTTGGCAGCTAGATCACAGAGGTTGAGAAGGGAAGGAATACTGAGAAATGGAACAAAAAGGTATCAGCTCATTGTTAATGATACTAATGGGCCAGGTGCCGTGGCTCGCGCCTGTAATCCCAGCACTTTGGGAGGCCGAGGCAGGTGGATCACAAGGTCAGAAATTCGAGACCATCTTGGCTAACACGGTGAAACCCCGTTTCTACTAAAAATACAAAAAATTAGCTGGGTGTGGTGGTGGGCACCTGTAGTCCCAGCTACTCGGGAGGCTGAGGCAGGAGAATGGCATGAACCCGGGAGGCGGAGCTTGCAGTGAGCCGAGATGGTGCCACTGCACTCCAGCCTGGGCAACAGAGGAAAAAAAAATGATAATAGTAATCATAAGGTAATATCGAGAGTTCTTTCCAGAAGACTGGATCAGAGCAAGGAATTCTAGTTCATTCTGTGATGATTTTATTGTTCATCTTTCAGAATTTGAGAATGCCTTGCTATCACTCCTTCCTGTAATAGCTACTCCTTAAGGTGCATTTAAAATATGATTTTACAGATACATATGTATAAAACATATAAGAAGCTTATCTATTGTGTATACATACTTCTGTAATGTTATGTACCATAACCTAGCTCAGAGATTGGTAATATTTTCTATGTTATTTAATTCAGATTTACTCTGGAAAACTCAACATATGAAAATTCTGATTTCTAAAATAAATATAAGTGTAATCATGCATCTTCCAAAATGATTCTTTGCTTAATGGAAAAGCATTTTGTTTCTTAAACAGGAAACTCCCTAATGGATTAAGAAACAAACTATTTACAAACCTTGCATTTATTCTGGGTTTCAAGGTACACATCCATGTAGAATGTAAAAGGAGGCCTGTGTTTACTACTGAGATTTTGAAATTCGTTTAGCAAGAAAATATTTCAATGCTATGCCTTGTCTGCTTTTCCTTTTGCCCTCCCCATTTTTCTGATAAATCAGATCTTTCACTGTTCTTTTCTACTGACCCTTCATGACACAGCTTTGATTTTAAGACTACTTTGGGATGACCTTGCAGAGGGAAAATATTTTTTAGGCTTTCAAGATGATTCTTGGAATCATAGGTCCTTCACAAGCAGGAACAGACCTGTCAAATGATCTCATCCCCAGAGTCCTGTAGGCATGGAGCCTGGTCTGGATCCCCAAGGTTAGAAAGAAGAGGCTTAGAATTAGCTTTGCATTTCTAGACTTAACACCGAGACTCTCCTTTAGCAAAATTCTTCTCTACGTTCTCCATGTTGTTATTTTCTTTGTTCATTATCTTCACTCAGGCATCCTGGGTTTCCCAGGAAATCGCAAAGCTTCCATGGAAATTCAAATGGAAACTTTCTCAGCCTCATGAGTACTAGAGACAAAGGGCTTTGTTAATACATCATGTTTGTCTTTGCTAGCTTCCCCATTCAGTGTGTACTGATGTGTGTCCTCCTGGGACTCGGAAGGGGATTCGTTCAGAGGGAACCAATATGCTGCTTTGACTCCATCCCATGTGCTGATGGACACGTGTCACGGAAACCAGGTTGAGATGGTAATTTCTTCATTGATATGAGGATGCTATTAGATCAAACATGTTTTTGCAAAGAAGGCCTAAGGAGCCTTCTTTATAAATAGGTATGAATAACTTATAACAAAAATAATTAAAATCCATCAAATTATTGGATGTTTTGTGCACTGTGAAAAAAACATAGTATTGTGTTTCAGTTCTAAAGCTGCTACAGTTGGGAAAATACCTACAACCTTGAAGTTAATAGAGGAAAATGCAAAATAAAATATATGAAATGTGAAATATGAGTAGGATTCATAAAAAATATTTAAAATTATTTGTTTCTGAAATAAATTAAATGCTAGTTATATTCATAATTGGAAGACAGGGGACTTATAGTACTATGTTTTATTGAATTAGCTCTAATTTGGAGTTATAAGATCTAAAATTTCATCTCTAAAGGCAATTGGCTTAAGGTCATAAGTACTCAAAGTTTGTAAGACATATGATTTCTGTAACTACTGCTCTATGAATTCTTCACTATGGCCTGCCAAATTGCTGCTCTTTATGACCAGAATTTTAATTGGGTTTAGTGTGCTCGGTCTTGTGAAACATGTTGGAGCAGGTTTATTTTTATCTCTACCTTCTGTTAAAGATAACACAAAGTGTACTTGTCTTTTGTCAAATGGCCCTCAATAGCAATTCTTTTCTTTTTTTTTTTTTTTTTGAGACGGAGTCTCGCTCTGTCGCCCAGGCGGGACTGCGGACTGCAGTGGCGCAATCTCGGCTCACTGCAAGCTCCGCTTCCCGGGTTCACGCCATTCTCCTGCCTCAGCCTCCCGAGTAGCTGGGACTACAGGCGCCCGCCACCGCGCCCGGCTAATTTTTTTTGTATTTTTAGTAGAGACGGGGTTTCACCTTGTTAGCCAGGATGGTCTCGATCTCCTGACCTCATGATCCACCCGCCTCGGCCTCCCAAAGCAATTCTTTATAAAAGAATTTTGAGGGCCAGGCGCAGTGGCTCACGCCTGTAATCCCAGCACTTTAGGAGGCCGAGGAGGGCGGACACGAGGTCAGGAGATTGAGACCATCCTGGCTAACACGGTGAAACCCCGTTCTCTACTAAAAAAATACAAAAAATTACCGGGCGCGGTGGCAGGCGCCTGTGTCCCAGCTACTCGGGAGGCTGAGGCAGAAGAATGGTGTGAACTCGAGAGGCGGAGCTTGCATTGAGCTGAGATGGCGCCACTGCACTCCAGCTTGAGCGACAGAGCGAGACTCCGTCTCGGGAAAAAAAAAAAAAAATTGAGAATGTATCATTTTCCCAAAATGGAAAACAAGAACTATGTAACCTGAACAACTCCTTGGACCCTACACAGCCCAGTCTCTGCATAGAGTTACATCCAGGGAAGTCCAGTACAGCAGTTAAAAGTGATTAAACAGGAATTGCAATCTTTCCTGCATCTTTCAAAGAACATTAAAGAGATCAATTTCACAGTCTACTATAAACTCATATCAAATAGCCTTTTCTTATGTTCTGACATTCTCCCTTAGAGCCTCCACCCAGCTAAATGCTCTAAACCTTCTCAGTAAGCACCATGTAGGTTCTTTTCCTTCTCCTTCCCCTTACCCATCTTCTTCTCTTTCTCCTTTTGTCTTTCTCCTCCTCCTCCTTCTCCCCCTCCTCCTCTTCTTCCCTTCCTCCTTTTTCCTCCTCCTCTCCCTCCTCCCCTTCCTCCTCCCTCCTCCTCCTCCTTCTTCTTCTTCTTCTTCTTCCTCTCCTTCTTGTCTTCCTCCTCCTCCTTCTTCTTCCTTCTTCTCTTTCTTCTTCTCCTCCTGCTCTTTCTTCTTCTTCCTCGTTCTCCTCCTCCTTCCTCTTCCTCCCCCTCCTTCTTCTTCTCTTTCTTCCTCCTTCCTCCTCCTCCTCCCCCCTCCTGCTTCCTCCTCCTCCTCCTTCTTCTTATTCTTCCTTCTTCTCTTTCTTCTTCTCCTCCTCCTTCTTCTGCTTCTTCCTTGTTTTCTTCTTCTTCCTCCTCCTCTTTCTCCCCCTCCTCCTCCACTGATGCCCCTTCCCTTC
Source organism: Homo sapiens (assembly GCF_000001405.40). Lineage (NCBI taxonomy): Eukaryota > Metazoa > Chordata > Mammalia > Primates > Hominidae > Homo > Homo sapiens. Next base: position 156,035,745 of record NC_000003.12, read on the forward strand.
CCTTCCCTTCCCTTCCCTTCCCTTCCCTCCCCTCCCCTCCCCTCCCCTCCCCTTCCCTTCCCTCTGAGTCGGAGTCTTGCACTGTCGCCCAGGCTGGAGTGCAGTGGCACCATCTTGGCTCACTGCAAACTCAGCCTCCTGGGCTCAAGTAATCCTCCCACCTCAGCCTCCCAAGTAACTGGGACTACAGGCACACACTATCACTCCCGGCTGATTTTTTGTATTATTTGGCAGAGACAAGGTTTTGCCATGTTGCCCAGGCTGGTCTCGAACTCCTGGGCTCAAGTGATCCACCCACCTCAGCCTCCCAAAGTGCTGGGATTACAGGCCTGGGCCACTGTACCCAGCCTTGTTTTCCTTCTTATCCTCAGTTACTCTCTACCTATTCCTTCAAATCTGCATCTGGGGGGTGAAGAAGGGAAAAGCTCTGAGTAAGCAAAGACAAAATTCTCTTTCATAAGGGTGATATTGAATGAAAGACAGAAAACATTTGTATTTTAATCAACCTTATTCCTGTTACAATTCTCTCAATTGTTTTGCCTCAGTAGCTTTAATTTTTTTTTTTTTTACTTTTTTTTTCATTTGTGGATTGTTTTTGGGTTTACGAGGATACATACCACTCTTCTCAATTAGCTAACTGGAGTAGTAAGAAAGAAGCTTGTTACTGGAAAAGGCCAATGCAGAAAAGCCTGAAACTGAGAAGCGAGACTGACTTTCCAAAACTGAAAATAATTCTCAATCTGTAACATTATCTGTACACTCTAAGGTCATTTTATCACTATTTCTTTTGAGATATTATATATTCTATACAAAGGGATTTTCAACAAGTCCCCACTCTAGAACTATGAGGGCTCTGGGATATTCACAGTGGAAGGGGACAATTGGATTTCTTTACAGTCAATTCTCTGTTCTTCGTTCAATAGGTGAAAGGGAGTGTGAACAATGTGGTGAAGACTATTGGTCAAATGCACAAAAGAGCGAGTGTGTGCTGAAAGAGGTGGAATACCTTGCTTATGATGAGGCCCTGGGATTCACACTTGTCATTCTTTCTGTCTTTGGGGCATTTGTGGTCTTGGCAGTCACAGCTGTGTATGTGATACACAGGCACACTCCCCTGGTGAACGCCAGTGACTGGCAGCTGGGCTTTCTCATTCAGGTTTCTCTGATCATCATGCTGCTGTCGTCCATGCTTTTCATTGACAAGCCACACAACTGGTCCTGCATGGCTGGCCAGGTCACTCTGGCACTGGGCTTTTCTCTTTGCCTGTCTTGCCTTCTTGGAAAGACTAGTTCACTGTTTTTAGCCTACAGAATTTCCAAATCCAAAACTCAACTTACATCCATGCACCCCCTTTATCGGAAAATCATTGTGCTAATCTCTGTTCTAGCGGAGATTGGCATATGTACAGCCTACTTGATATTGGAACCTCCCATGGTATACAAGAACATGGAATCTCAAAATACAAAGATCATTCTGGGATGCAATGAAATTTCCATAGAGTTTTTGTACTCGATGTTTGGAATTGATGCCTTCTTAGCCTTGCTATGCTTTCTTACAACTTTTGTGGCTCGCCAGTTACCAGATAATTACTATGAAGGAAAATGCATCACCTTTGGGATGCTTGTCTTTTTCATCATTTGGATGTCTTTTGTCCCTGTTTATTTGAGCACCAAAGGCAAGTTCAAAATGGCTGTGGAAATATTTGCAATCTTGGCATCCAGCCATGGCTTGTTGGGTTGTATATTTGCTCCTAAGTGCCTCATTATTTTGCTGAGGCCAGAGAGGAACACCAGTGAAATTGTTTGTGGAAGAGTCTCCACCACAGATAATTGCATCCAACTGACCTCAGCTTTTGTGAGCAGTGAGCTTAACAATACCACAGTGTCAACTGTTCTGGATGACAGAGTTTTGATTTACATGTGTCCTTTGAAGCTGCAATGATGATGTGGTTCAACATTCCCTTTCAGGATGCTCCTACAGCAGCTGCCTAATACTCTCAGGTAACATTGAGGATTTGGGTTCTGGTGGTGTAGTCTTAGCATGGTATATCAAATCTTGTACTGTAAGATAGCATTTAGCATGAATCAGAATACCTTTTACTATTGAAATTAAAAACTATTTTATTCAAGCATTTCAAAATACTTTGGTGTAAGGACTGTGTAGTAGAGGATATGGTAGGAGCCAGTTATCTAAAATGATAGATAAGGCTGGGTGTGGTGGCTCACGCCTGTAATCCCACCACTTTGGGACACCAAGGTGGATGAATCACTTGAGGTCAGGAGTTCAAGGCCAGCCTGGGCAACATGGTGAAACCCTGTCTCTACTAAAAATACAAAAATTAGCAAGGAGTGGCAGTGCATCCCTGTAGTCCCAGATACTTAGGAGGCTGAGGTGAGAGGATCACTTAAACCTGGGAGGTGGAAGTTGCAGTGAGCCGAGATCGCACCACTGCACTCCAGCCTGGGTGACAGAGAGAGACACCATCTCAATTAAAAAAAAAAAAGACAAAAAATTTAGCTCGTGAATGTTCTCGTTCTTATATCATGGATGTCTGATCTAGAAATTTACCTAAAACAAAATCACTTAGTGGGGACCAAGAGAGACATTTTGTTCTACATTCTGTTAATGTATCTCTGAAATACACAGCTTTTCTCTGATTGAGGTAAGAATTATAGCCCATGGAGCAGGGGGTTTGGAAGATAATTCATGTTTCAAAGGACTCTGTGACATACAGAGAATATTGAAGGAATTGTGATGTCAACAAAACTCAGTTTTTTTCTTGAACACATATGGAAGTAAAGTTTCTCCCAGAGAGAAGGCAAGTCTACAAATCTATCTGCTACAGATTTTCCTGGGGGAGAATATGTGGTAAAGTACCTGAGTTTTAAAACATCCTTCTGCTTGAAAAAGAAAAACAAAGGGAATTAAGAGTTGGCAAAGCAATTATTAAGTAGATTATACAGCGAAGACATGAATAGCAAAAAAACAGATGTTTACCTAGAGCAGTATTACAATGCAAGATTCTTTTAGGATAAATTGAGTGATAGATACTTGCCCTCTGATTATGTAGAGTTACCTGGAATTTAATTTCCATGTGAAAATGTTATAAAATATTTTCAGTCTTTTTCTAGATATGAAACTTTGAAAATGACCTATATACATTTATGTGTATATGAACATGTGTGGAAAAATAAAATTTATAGAAATGCCGATAAATAAAAAATGCATGTGTATATTTAACTCTAGAAGTCTGACAGGATCAGAAAGAACTCTCTCTTCAAGATAACTTGATGCTTGTGAATTTCAGTTAAGAAAGCTGGGCAGAGATTCCTGGAGGCTCATGGGAGCAGAAAGTGAAAGTGTGATGACTAGTTTAGCAGGACAAGTCTGTTGGGAACTTATTTACTGATTTTTTTTAAAAGAATGATCATTCTAGACCAGGCAAAGGGAATGAGCTTCCTATAATTTAAATAGTGAGTTTACCTCAAGGTTCAGCAAAGCTTAAAATGATCCCTTTATTGAAGAGCCAGTGGTAGTCCCAGGAATTTCTGGGCAAGCATCTATTCACACATCCATCTCCCAGCACTTCTACAGCCCTTAGAATTGTTAGAGGAGAGCCTATATCACAGCATGAAGAATGGGGAAACTGCTTTCTTTGGCCCTTCATTTGATCCAAGGAGGAACACTGGAAAAGAAAGAATGCTTTGTCAAAGTATGGAGCAATAGGAAAATGAGAATCCGTGAGTTAATATCTTATTCAGGTATACATTCAGCTTGAGTATTCTCAATGATTTACCTTGAGATTATTAACAAAAGCTAAAAGATGGCTCATGTCTAGTGACTTTGTTTACTTTTATCTTCAAAATATTTTAATATCAGGGTAATCCTCTTCTTTTTTGAGTTGTTGATTATTGAACATATAGTCTCTAAAAAGATAATTCCAGAAGTCCATTTGGGTAATATCAAAGACTCCATTATCTCCTTTCATTTAGCATGGCTTAGTAATACTGTCTTGTCAGACTTGTGTTCTTTGGATTTTTTTTTTTTTTTGATCAGCAATAGGTTTGGGAAATTAGAGAAAATAAATGTCATTGAAAACAAAATATCAACTGAACTTGCATGTTTAACGTTAATATTTACTTATACAACTTTACAATTTTAAGATACAATTTTCATCAAAATAGCTTGAAGTTATCACTTGTTGATTTGGTACTCATGTATTGTTACAGAAACTGGCTTATGGCAGTTAAAATGAATAATATATGATTGTCAAAGGATGATGGTCTAATTTGTAGTATTGTTTTATTCTTTGTACTTAATTACTTATTAAAATATTTCCCATAAATGGAAAAATATTTTCTCTTTGGATGAATGCATCATGTAAAAGTCATTTCTAGTGAACAAACAATGACTCTCTATTGGCACATGTTGCTTTGTAAGAGAATCTCATTTAGAAGTTGCTAGTGACACTCCCTGCTGTGGATGAGCACTTGCTGGTAACTACATACTGGGCCTTGGGGAGCAGCTCAGAATTAGTTTCAGGTGTTGCATCAAAATTATGTAGTTGCTGGCTTGGGGAGTAGTATAAAGATTAACTGCTTGAAAAAAAAAAGGATACTTTATTCAGGGCTGACATACACACATGCAGGATTGAGCTCTTTTGGTAAACGAGATGTTTACCAGGGCTGCTCAAACCCACCCCATGAGATTAATTCTTTGCATTAAGGCAAAGATATTTCCTGATAGAAAGTGAATATACTTTCAAAAAGGATAAGATATTCCCACTGCCAGGTTAATATCCTTAAAACTCTGCTCTGATCTCATCTCTTCCCTGCTCATCAAATCCCAGTGGTTTTCCACTATCTACAGCATGAGTTTAGCTGTCATAGTCTGACATTCAAAACTCTCAAAACACTTTTCCATTTTCTATGTTCAACAGTTGTCACCTGCCACCTTCCTGCCCATATCCTTTTAACACAATTCAACAGCACTCCTGCAATTTCTGAAACTCACCTCTTATTTTTTAGATTTCACACTAGTCACATCGTTCCCTTTATCCTCGAATGCTCTAATAGCACTTCATCCCTTCCTGCCTCTCTCCCTCCCTCATTCCTTTCCCTCTCTGCTTTCTCCCTTCCCTCCTTAAGGGCTTGATGTACACCAGACTCAAAGTTAGACATAGAAGATACACAAAGATGAGACATTGTTCCCCATCTCCAGGTGCTTGCCATCTTTTGGGGTGATAGGCAATAAACCAATTACACTATGATGTGATAAAGCTGTGATTGTGGCAGCATAGAGGAAAGGCAGGGCGAGTTAAGATCAAGGAAGGCTTCCTGGGTGAGGTGTCACTTGAACAAATTCCAGAAGGACAAGAAAGAACTAGCCATATTGAGAGGTGACAGCATGCTGGCAGCCCTGCAGCCCTCGCTCGCTCTCGGTGCCTCCTCGGCCTTGGCGCCCACTCTGGCCGTGCTTGAGGAGCCCTTCAGCCCACCGCTGCACTGTGGGAGTCCCTTTCTGGGCTGGCCAAGGCCGGAGCCTGCTCCCACAGCTTGTGGGGAGGTGTGGAGGGAGAGGCGCGGGCGGGAACCGGGGCCGCGCGCGGAGCTTGTGGGCCAGCGCGAGTTCCGGGTGGGCGTGGGCTCGGCGGGCCCGGCACTCGGAGCGGCCAGCCGGCCTGCAAGCCCCGGGGCAGTGAGGGGCTTAGCACCTGGGCCAGCAGCTGCTGTGCTTGATTTCTCGCTGGGCCTTAGCTGCCTCCCTGCGGGGCAGGGCTGGGGACCTGCAGCCCACCATGCCTGAGCCTCCCCAACCCCACTGTGGGCTCCTGCGTGGCCCGAGCCTCCCCGACAAGTGCTGCCCCCTGCTCCACGGCGCCCAGTCCCATCGACCACCCAAGGGCTGAGGAGTGCCGGCGCACAGCAGGCAGCTCCACCTGCGGCCCCGGTGGGAGATCCACTGAGTGAAGCCAGCTGGGCGCCTGAGTCTGGTGGGGACTTGGAGAACCTTTATGTCTAGCTAAGGGATTGTAAATACAACAATCGGCACTCTGTGTCTAGCTCAAGGTTTGTGAATGCACCAATCAGCACCCTGTGTCTAGCTCAGGGTTTGTGAATGCACCAACTGACACTCTGTATCTAGCTACTCTGGTGGGGACTTGGAGAACCTTTGTGTCCACACTCTGTATCTAGCTAATCTATTGGGGATGTGGAGAACTTTTGTGTCTAGCTCAGGGATTGTAAGCGCACCAATCAGCACCCTGTCAAAACGGACCAATCAGCTCTGTGTGAAACAGACCAATCGGCTTTCTGTAAAATGGACCAATCAGCAGGATGTGGGTGGGGCCAGGTAAGAGAATAAAAGCAGGCTGCCTGAGCTAGCAGCGGCAATGTGTTGGGGTCGCTTTCTACACCGTGGACACTTTGCTCATTTGCTCTTTGCAATGAATCTTGCTACTGCTCACTCTTTGGGTCAACACTGCCTTTTTGAGCTATAACAGCGACTGCAAAGATCTGCAGCTTCACTCCTGAAGCTAGCGAGACCGCAAACCTACCGGGAGGAACGAACAACTCCAGACGTGCTGCCTTAAGAGCCCGTAACACTCACCGCTAAGGTCTGCAGCTTCACTCCTGAGCCAGCGAGACCACAAACCCACCAGAAGGAATAAACTCTGAACACATCCGAATGTCAGGAGAAACAAACTCCAGACACGCCGCCTTTAAGAACTGTAACACTCACTGCGAGGGTCCGCGGCTTCATTCTTGAAGTCAGTGAGACCAAGAACCCACCAATTCGGGACACAATATGAAAGGAAGACTAACGTTTGCACTCCACCTAACCTACTACTTGGAGCATGGTAAGTGTCAGCTTCCCATCCTCTTCTGTTTGTTTTGGGATTGTTTTTGTTTGTTTTTTGTTTCCCGCTTCCTTTTTTAAAAAATGAAGCATTGTAGGACTTTATCTGTGACTCTTTCATGTCACTGACCATTTTCTGCCGCATACTAGGCTTATTTACTTTCCTCTCCTGGGTCTACCTCTACATTATAAATTATTTCACGAAGGGAACTTGAAATCTATTTAGGTATGCATCTATCTGTCATCTATCCATCTTTCTTTGTGGCCTTTACATATAGAATATAACTTGCACTTAATTGGCACCTAATCTTTTTATATGAAATTTTTTTAAACTTTTAGGTTCAGGGGCATGCGTGCAGGTTTGTTACATAGGTAAACTCATGTTGCAGGGGCTTGTTGTACAGATTGTTTCATCACCCAGGTACTAAGCCTAGTACACAATAGTTACTTTTTCTGCTCTTCTCCCTCCTTTCACCCTCCACCTTCAAGGAGGCCCCAGTGTCTGTTGTTCCCTTATTTTTGTCCATGAGTTCTCATCATTTAGCTCCCACTTGTAAGTAAGAGCATGCAGTATTTGGTTTTCTGTTCCTGTGTTAATTTGCTAAGGTTAATGGTCTCCAACTCCATCCATGTTCCTGCAAAAGACATGATGTAGTCCTTTTTTATGGCCACGTAGTAGTCAGTGGTATATATGTACCACATTTTCTTTATCCAGTCTATCATTGATGGGCATTTAGGTTGATTCCATGTCTTTGCTGTTGTGAGTAGTGATGCAGTAAACATACGCATGCACGTGTCTTTGTTATGGAATGATTTATATTCCTGTGGGTATATACCCAGTAATGGGATTGCTGAGTTGAATGGTAGTCCTCTTTTTAGCTCTTCAAGGAATTGCTACACTGCTTTCTGCAATACTTAAACTAACTTATATTCCCACCAACAGTATATAAGTGTTTCCTTTTCTCTGCAACTTTGCCAGCATCTGTTATTTTATTTTATTAAATTTTAAGTTCAGGGGTACATGTGTAGGTTTGTTATATAGGTAAACTTGTGTCATGGGGGTTTGTTGCACAGATTATTTTGTCACCCAGGTATTAAGCCTAGTACCCATTAGTTATTTTTCCTGATCCTCTCACTCCTCCTACCCTTCACTCTCCAACAGGCCCTAGTGTGTGTTGTTCCGCTCTATATGTCCATGTATTCTCATCATTTATTCCCACTTATAAGCGAGAACATATATTACTTGGTTTTCTGTTCTTGTTTCAGTTTGCTGAGGATAATGGCCTCCAGCTCCATTCATGTTCCTGCAAAAGACATGATCTTGTTCTTTTTTAGGTCTGCATACTATTCCACAGTGTGTATGTACCACTTTTTTTTTTTTTTCTTTTCCCCGGGTCACAGAACCAATTCATTCACCCGGCGGCACCACTGCTGTCATTTCAGCTTCTGGCCACTGGGAGGCGCTGCTCGAAAGGGTTTGCCCTGAGACTCCGAGAAGAAGCTGCGGGAAGGACAGCAGGGGTCCTGGGGTTTTAGTCTCTGGCCCAGGATTTATGTGTCCATAACCAAAGGAAGCACAGTCTGCACCCAGCTCTCATCCCATCGGAGCTGCTGCGACTCCCGCAGGTTCTTCCGGAACTGGTTTAGCTTGCCCTCAGGATCAGGAAAGTTTGAGAAAAGCATCTGCAGCTGAGCTGCCAGTTCCTCTGAGTCCTCAAAGACCAAGCTGTTTTCTTCATGTTTCACCAGCTCATGTAAACACTTGAAGTTCACAGCACACACAGGCAAACAGCACCCGAACATGTCCACCACCTTCATGGGCAGGTCCAGGCCACTGGAGGACGTGTGCAGACAGACACCCAGGTCCACCGACCCTAGAAGCAGGGGGTAGTCCTCGGCCTCCAGCCAGGGGGTGCAGACCTGGATGTGCTGGAAATGCTTCTGGTGGATGAGGTGGCTGTAATACTCCCTCAGAGGCCATTTGCCTGTTATCACACAGACGAGAGAAGGAAGGTTGTGTTCGTCAAGAGTCAGTTGCTCAAACTTTTCTAAAGCTGCCAGCAGGATGGAGAAGTCTTCGTCCTCTCAAGTGTTCCATGGGTCGTGCAGACCTGTCCAGCCTGTGCTGCTGACCAGCAGGGCTGGCCGCTCATGGAGACGCATCACCAGCCCGCTCCCAGCATCCCGCTTCATGAAGGCCGACCGCTCCTGGCTGGGTCCTCAGGTTCTGAGCGGGCCCTGAACGGAGAGTGCGTGCTGCCCAGCTTCATGAAGAGTCGGTGCTGCAGGTCCAGAGGTGTCTCTTGAAAGAAAGATGCCGGCTTGTCATAGATGGTCACAGCCTCAGGATAGCTGGGTTCTTGGCCATTCTTGCAGTGGTTTTCAAGGGTGAAAAAAGGAGTTTCAGCAAGACAGCTAACGTCTGGAGGAGTGAGCCAGGAAGTGTCTGTAGGCTTCCTCTAGAGAGCACTCTGGGCTGGTGGGCGTGAGGACTCCAGTTTTCATGTGCGTCCGTGTGAAGAGACCACCAAACAGGCTTTGTGTGAGCAATAAAGCTGTTTCTTTCACATGGGTGCAGGCCGGCTGAGTCAGATTTAAAATTGGTGAGATGTTCCTTGGGCTGGTGGGTCTGAGGACCTGAGGTTGTAAGTGGATCATTTTCATGGAGCAAAGAACAGGAGGACATGGGATTGATCTCCCAAGGGAGGTCCCCTGATCCAAGTCATGGCACCAAATTTCATGCATGTCTGTGTGAAGAGACCACCAAACAGGCTTTGTATGAGCAACATGGCCGTTTATTTCACCTGGGTGCAGGCGGGCTGAGTCTGAAAAGAGAGTCAGCCTGTACCACTTTTTTTTAATCCAATCTATCATTGATGGACTTTTAGGTTAATTCCATGTCTTTGCTATTGTAAATAGTGTGTAATTAACACATGAATACATGTGTCTTTATAATAGAACAACTTATTTTCCTTTGGGTATATACCCAGTAATGGGATTGCTGGGTCAAATAGCATTTCTATTTTTAGGTCTTTGAGGATTTGCCACAGTGTCTTCCACAATGGCTGAACTAATTTACACTCCCACCAACAGTGTATAAACATTCCTTTTTCTCTAAACCTCTCCAGCATCTCTTATTTTTTGACTTTTAAATAGTAGCTATTCTGATTGGTGTGAGATGGTATCCCATTGTGGTTTTGACTTGCATTTTTCTAATCAGTGATGTTGAGTTTTCTTTCACGTTTGTTGGCTGCATGTAGCTTCTTTTGAAAAATGTCTGTTCATGTACTTTCCCCACTTTTTAATGGGGTTGTTTGTCTTTTTCTTGTAAATTTGTTTAAGTTCCTTATAGATGCTTAATAATAGACCTTTGTGAAATGCATAGTTTGCAAAAATGTTCTCACATTCTGTAGGTTGTCTGCTTACTCTGTTGACAGTTTCCTTTGCTGTGAAGAAGCTCTGTGGTTTAATTAGATCCCATTTGTCAATTTTTACTTTTGTTACAATTGCTTTAGGCATCTTCATAATGAAATCTTTGCCTATGCCTATGTCCTGAGTGGTATTGCCTAGATTGTCTTCTAGGGTTTTTACAGTTTTGGGTTTTACATTTAAGTCTTTAATCCATCTCGGGTTAATTTTTATTTATGGTATAAGGAAGGGATCCCGTTTCAATCTTATGCATATGGCTAGCCAGTTAATCCCAGCACCATTTATTGAATAGGGAATCCTTCCCCCATTGCTTGTTTTTGTCTGGTTTGTTGAAGATCAGATAGTTGTAGGTGTGCAGCCTTATTTCTGGGTTCTCTATTCTGTTCCATTGGTCTATGTATCTGTTTTTGTACCAATTCCATGCTATTTTGATTACTGTAGCCCTGTTGTGGCATAGTTTCAAGTCAGGTAGTGTGATGCCTCCACCTTTGTTCTTTTTGTTTAGGATTGCCTTGGTTATTTGGGCTCTTTTTTTGGTTCCATATGATTTTTTTTTTTTTTTTTTTTTTTTGAGACGGAGTCTCACTCTGTTGCCCTAGCTGGAGTGCAGTGGTGTGATCTCAGCTCACCGCCGTCTCAGCTCACTGCAACCTCCGCCTCTTGGGTTCAAGTGATTCTCCTGCCTCAGCCTCCCAAGTAGCTGGAATTACAGTCGCCCACTACCACACTCAGCTAATTTTTGTATTTTAGTAGAGACAGGGTTTCATCATGTTGGCCAAGCTGGTCTCTAACTTCTGACCTCAAGTGATCCTTCTGCCTCGGCCTCCCAAAGTGCTGTGATCACAGGCATGAGCCACCGTGCCCAGCCCCATATGAATTTTAAAAGTTTTTTCCAGTCCTGTGAAGAATCCCAGTGGTAGTTTAATAGAAATAGCAGTGAATCTATAAATTGCTTTGTGCAGTATGGCCATTTTTATATTGATTCTTTCTATTCATGAGTATGAAATGCTTTTCCATTTGTTTGTGTTAATCTCTAATTTATTTGAGAATGTTTTGGAGTTCTCCTTGTAGAGATCTTTTCCCGCCCTAGTTAGCTGTATTCCTAGGTATTTTATTCTTTTTGTGGCAGCTGTGAATGGGATTGTGTCCCTAATTTGGCTCCCGGCTTGACTGTTGTTGGTGTATAGGAATGCTAGTAATTTTTACACATTGATTTTGTATTCTGAGACTTCGCTGAAGTTGTCTATCAGCTTAAGAGGCTTTGGGTGAGACTACAGGGTTTTCTAGACATAGGATCATGTCATCTGCAAACAGGGATAGTTTGACTTCCTCTCTTCCTACCTGGATGCCTTTATTTTATTTTCTTCCCTGATTGCCCTGGACAGAACTTCCAATATTATGTTGAATAGGAGGACATCCTTACCTTGTGCGAGTTCTCAAGGGGAATGGTTCTAGCTTTTGCCCATTCAGTGTGATGTTGGCTGTGGGTTTGTCATAGATGGCTCTTATTATTTTGAGGTATGCTCCTTCAGTACTTATTTTACAGAGAGTTTTAAACATGAAGCCATGTTGAATTTTACCAAAAGCCTTTTTTTTGCATTTATTGGGATAATCATGTGGTTTTTGTCTTCAGTTCTGTTTATGTGATGAATCATATTTATTGATTTGTGTTTGTTGAACTAACCTTGCATCTCAGGGTTAAAGCCTACTTGATCATGGTGGATAAGCTTTTTCATGTGCTGCTAATTTCAGTTTGCCAGTATTTTGTTGAGGATTTTTGCATCAGTGTTCACCAAGGATTTGGGGTTAAAGTTTTCTTTTTCTTTTTTGTATCTCTGCCAGGTTTTGGTTTCAGGATGAGGATTTGTTAATTTTTTGACTTTTTTTTTTTTTTTTTTTTTTTTTGAGACAGTCTCACTCTGTCGCCCAGGCTGGAGTGCAATGACGTGATCTCAGGTCACTGCAATCTCTGCCTCCCGGGTTCAAGCCATTCTCCTGCCTCAGCCTCCTGAGTAGCTGGGACTACAGGCGCCCACTACCACATCCGGCTAATTTTTGTATTTTTAGTAGAGATGGGGTTTCACCACGTTGGTCAGGCGGGTCTCGAACTCCTGGCTTCAGGTGATCCACCCATCTCAGCCTCCCAAAGTGCTGGGATTACAGGCGTAAGCCACCATGCCTGGCCTTTTTTTAATGATAGCCATTCTGACTGGTGTGAGATTGTAACTCATTGTGGTTTCGATTTGCATTTCTGTAATGATCAGTGATGTTGAACTTGTTTTCATATGCTTGTTGGCCACATGTATGTCTTCTTTTGAAAAGTGTCTGTTAGGCGGGGTGTGATGGCTCACGCCTGTAATCCCAGCAGTTTGGGAGGCCGAGGCGAGTGGATTTCCTGAGGTCAGGAGTTCGAGACCAGCCTGGCAACATGGTGAAACCCTGTCTCTACTAAATATACAAAAATTAGCTGGGAATGGTGGTGGGCACCTGTAATCCCAGCTACTTGGGAGGCTGAGACAGAAGAATCGCTTGAACCTGGGAGGTGGAGGTTGCAGTGAGCCAAGACCATGCCATTGCACTCCAGCCTGGGCAAGAAGAGCGAAACTCCATCTCAAAAAATAATAAATAAATAAATAAATAAATAAATAAATAAATAAAAGTGTCTATTCATGTCACCTGCCCACTTTTTAATGGGGTTGTTTTTGTTTTTTTTTCTTGTAAATTTGTTTCAGTTCCTTGTAAGATGCTGGATATTAGACCTTTGTTGGATGCATAGTTTGCAAAACTTTTCTCTCATTCTGCAGGTTTTCTGTTTATTCTATTGATAGTTTCGTTTGCTGTGCAGAAGCTCTTTAGTTTAATTAAATCTCATTTGTCAATTTTTCCTTTTGCTGCAATTGCTTTTGGCATCTTTGTCATAAAATTTTTGTCCGTTCCTATGTTCAAAATGGTGTTGCCTAGGTGGTACCCAATCTTTTTAATAGATGATGAATAAAGTTATAAAAATAGCTAACCACTCATGTAGCAAGGCATAGGGACAATGTGTCAACATAAGATGAGGAAGAAAGGCTTCGGGTCTGGAGCACAGCAGGGATGGAGGAAGGTGTAAAGAACCTGTTTTCAAGATAGTAGGGGCTAGCTTCAGAGTAACAGGCATTTCCATTGAGGAAAGAGGATGGAGAGTGGACTAAAAAGAAGGAGGCCAGTTGAAATGGAAGAGTGAAGTCTTGAAAAGTTTTTCCATCATATTCATTTAATTATTTTCCCATAATATTTTCTACTCCTTATGTTTGCATTTTTGAATAAAAAAGACTTTTCTCATTCCCCCTACTCCGATCTCCCACACACAGTGCCCTCACTTTTGAGCTGCCATTGTAAACAGCAGCTCTTTCAAATATCTACAGGCAGAATAAGTAGCTACAATTTCAAAGTAGAATTATTAACAATTTATCTAAACAATCTTGCTAAAATTCACATATTTACGTTTTTAGGGGATTATTATTTATTTCCCCTGATAGTTTTTGGAAAACCAATTTGGATACAAAAAGGATAATGCGAAAATCTAAATAGACCAGTTATATTTAAGGCAGGTTAACTTTTGGAACAAACAATCTCTAAGTCTTAGAGGCTTAGCAGGTAACACTTTACACACACTAAGACTAATGCTGGTGTTACTGGTCAGGCTACTTTCCTTGACAGCCCTCCTCTAGGCAGTGACTCAGGGAGTCTGTTGGATGTTGTCTATTCGCCCCTTCTCTGCCTTCCCCTCTCTGTTCTATCACCTCTATGGACTGCATCACATAAACTCCTTTGCCTGTAGCTTCCAGTGGGTTTTGCCAAAGGGAGGCACTAATAGGAGACTGGAGGTGAGAGAAGAGACCCACTCAGGTCTTTGTTGTTTCACTCATGGCTCATTTCTCTATCTGTGGCCACTCTCCCATGGCTACAGCTCTTACTAGGTGACATGTATGTGAATCCCTCCCCTTCTCCTTCCAGACTTGGGTGTGATAACACCTTCCTACTGTTCCTGGCCCTGGGTTTTTCACCATCCTCTGTTAAATCCTGTCACTTTGCCCACTCATTTCAATAGTTCCTTCTTTAAACTGTCTTATTTTTTGGGTGCCCCAGCTATTTACTGCTGGCGTCCTAACTCATAGAGTGATCCAAATTATTTTCGTTTTATGATACTGCTGTCCTTGATGCAAGCCATACATAGTTCCTGCTAAAGGGGAAGAGGACCCGTGAGGTCGTCTGAAATGAAAGTGTGAAGTCTTGGGGAAGAGAACATGAGCATGTAAGATACTCAGCCACCAAGGCCCATAAAGTGACACAGATCATTTTTGTTCACATTCTATTGGCCAGAAGTCATCACATGGCCCCTTTTTAAGGCAAGAGAGCTGGTAAATGTGGCCCCTGGTTAAGAAGCCATATTCATCAACAATTCCATATTATGAAAAGGGAACATGAATCTTCAGTGATCAGTTAGCCATCCAGAGAATAAAATCAAATAGCCTAAAATAGACAGCGGTATTCATAGAAAGTTTTAAATAATGTACATAAAAAATAAGGACATGTGACAATTGAAGACATAGGGAGATATGTGGAAGATTTTGGAAAGATGGCAGCAGTCATACAGTCGTTGAACCTACCAGAACACCACTCCCCAATAGAGTAACCAGAATAGCAAGGCCAAAACCCCATGAAAGGTATTTACATCATGACTAGGTGATACGATATCCCCATGTACACCTACATGCTACCAGGTAGGAGCAAAAGCTACAAGATCTGTGTAGTATCAGAAATGATGTGGGAGGAAGTAGAAAGAAGTTAGAGGTACTCCTGATACTGTGAGAGCTTGGAAAACCCCACAGCTGCCATCAGGCAATCACTGGAAGCTCAGCAGGCCATTCTGAGCTCAGCAGCAGAAAACTGCTGAAAGAATAGGAAATAGGGTAAGGCTAAATAAAAATGCAATGTCAATTGTCACTTTAAAAAGTTACTTGTGGTATTCACTGAAGAAGAACATGTGTGTATATTCACTTCCTTGGAGTGAATTTGCTGAGTCATGGGGTATATCTGTCTATCTACCCCATGACTCAGCCAATTCACTCCAAGGAATATACCTAACTAAATATACCTAACTAAACTATGCCTGTATGTGTACCAAAAAGATGAATACTAGAAGATTTGCAGCAGCATTAAACTACTCAGATGTCCATCAACAGTAGAATGGATCGATAAACTGACATATACTCACTCAATGCAATAGTGTACAGCAATAAGAATGAATGGGCTGCTTTGTAGAGAAAAGAGTATGGGGTGGTAAGATTGGAAGCCGGGAAGTGATTTGGAAATTGGTAGTGATTACTGTCATCTAGGTAATAGCTCATGATGGCTTGGCTGGGAACAGAGCTCTCAACAATTTGGGGTGAGTTTAACCGTCACATCAGATTTGCTGGCATCCTTTAGACATCTGACACTTGCACATTTGAAGCACATGTTCAAATAAAAGGGTACACATTAGAAAGCTACAAATTTAAAAACCTAACATCACTTCCCAAAATAATCCTATCGAGAGATGACAATGTGTTAGCAGCCCTCGCTCACTCTCAGTGCCTCCTTGGCCTTGGCGTCTGCTCTGGCCACACTTGAGGAGCCCTTCAGCCTGCCAGTGCACTGTGGGAGCCCCTCTCTGGGCTGGTGGAGGCTGGAGCCAGCTCCCTTGGCTTGCGGGGAGGTGTGGAGGGAGAGGCGCTGGTGGGAACTGGGGCTGCGGGCAGTGCTCGCAGGCCAGCACGAGTTCCGGGTGGGCGCAGGCTCAGTGGGCCCCACAGTCAGAGCGGCCGGCCCCTGGGCAGTGAGGGGCTTAGCACCTGGGCCAGCAGCTGCAGAGGGTGCGCCGGGTCCCCCAGCACTGCCAGCCCGCCGGCACTGTGCTTGAATTCTCACTGGGCCTCAGCTGCCTCCCCACGGGGCAGGGCTTGGTTCCTGTACCCCACCATGTTGTCCCCTCTGCCTAGCTCCTCTGCACCACCTCCCCTGCCCCCTCTCTCCCCCACTTCCCTCTTCCCCTCTCCCCACCCCCCACTCCTGCTCTCCCCCCTCCCCCTGCCCCCCACAACCTCCCCCTCCCCCTCCCCCTTTTTCTTTCTCTCCCCCCCGCCACCCCACCCTCCTCCCCCGCCACCCCACCTCCTCCCCTGCCACCCCACCCCCACCCTCCCCTCCATGGGCTCCCACACAGCTCGAGCCTACCTGACCAGCGCCGCCCTCTGCTCCACGGCGCCTGGTCCCATCTACCACCCAAGGGCTGAGGTGTGCAGGTGCGTGGTGTGGGACTGGTGGGCAGCTCCATCCATGGCCCAGGCACTGGATCCACTAGGCAAAGCCAGCTGGGCTCCTGAGTCGGGTGGGGTCTTGGAGAACTTTTATGTCTAGCTGGAGGATTGTATATGCACCAATCAGCACTCTGTGTCTAGCTCGGGGTTTGTGGATGCACCAATCAGCACTTTGTGTCTAGCTCAAGGTTTGTAAATGCACCAATCAGCACCCTGTGTCTAACTCAAGGTTTGTAAATGCACCAATCAGTGCTCTGCATTTAGCTAACCTAGTGGGGACTTGGACAACTTTTGTGTCTAGTTAAAGGATTGTAAATGCACCAATCAGTACTCTGTGTCTAGCTCAAGGTTTGTAAATGCATCAATCAGTGCTCTGTGTCTAGTTAATCTAGTGGGGACTTGGAGAACTTTTATGTCTAGCTAGAGGATTGTAAACACACCAATCAGCACCCTGTCAAAACAGACCAATCAGCTCTCTGTAAAACGGACCAATCAGCAGGATGTGGGTGGGGTCAGATAAGGGAATAAAAGCAGGCTGCCCCAGCCTGCAGCAGAAACCCATTCGGGTTCCTTTCCATGCCATGGAAGCTTTGTTCTTTCGCCCTTTGCAGTAAATCTTGCTGCTGTTCACTCTTTGGGTCTGCACCCACCTTTAAGAGCTGTAACACTTACCGCGAAGGTCTGCACGTTCACTCCTGAAGCCAGCAAGACCACGAACCCACCGGAAGGAACGAATAACTCCAGACGCGCAGCCTTTAAGAGCTGTAACACTTACCGCGAAGGTCTGTGGCTTCACTCCTGAAGTCAGCAAGACCATGAACCTACTAGAAGGAAGAAACTCCGGACACATCTGAACATTTGAAGGAACAAACTCTGGACACGCCATCTTTAAGAACTGTAACACTCACTGTGAGGGTCCACGGCTTCACTCTTGAAGTCAGTGAGACCACAAACTTATCAAAAGGAAGAAACTCTGGACGCATCTGAACATCTGAAGGAACAAACTCCGGACACATCTGAACATCTGAGGGAACAAACTCCGGACACACCATCTTTAAGAACTGTAACACTCATGCGAGGGTCCGCGGCTTCATTCTTGAAGTCAGCGAGACCAAGAACCCACCAATTCCGGACACACTATTACATTGTACTAGCTTCTACTGCCCTTTGTATTTCTGATTAATAAGGAAATCCTTTAACTTGATAAAGCCACCTGGGTAGAAAATGATTTTGTCAGTGATTGCCTGAGCTTGCTAGTAGTTGAAAAACATAAATAAAACTTTCTTGCTTCTTCTTTCCCATTTAAGTTTAGAGTGAGTAAACAAACCTTTTTCCTTTCTGTCTTTATTTTGTTTAGTAGTGCTTTTACAAGTGCTGTTGGAGAAGACAGCCATATTCTAGGAGGTGTCAAGAGAATAAAAATGGATATGGGATGCAAATGCTGTTTCTGTTCTTTAAAAAGCAACTAGCTAACCCAGAAACCATTGCTTGGTACACATGTGTGTGAAACAGACACAATCTCTTTGGGTCATTTATTGATATGGTGAGATGCAAAGCAAAGAAATTAGAGTTATCGCTTAACCAGCACCTGGCCTTTTCTTCCTCCCTAAATCAACCTTGATTTCTAATTTTTATCTAACTTTATCTTTGAAGTTTCTCTTCATGATGCTCCCATTTTTGGGGTGGAGTATATTGATTTATAGGTCAAGCACATGAGTTTCTTAAGGCAAAGCACAAATTACTTACTACTTGATTGTTGTTTTGTTGTTGTTTTTGTCTTTGCCTTACTAACTTCAGTTTAAAAGTAAATCTTTCCACAGTGTAAAGTAGACTGACAGACTGGCCAGCATCCTCAGTGATGGTCTTGATTGGGAAGACAAACGCAAGGTGATTTAGTGTCGTAGTCTCAGAACTGGTTGGAGAAGGTAGAGCAAAATGGCTAATAACAATGATTTTAGAAAAACAATGGCTTGGTGCTGATTGTGTACTTTCTTGCTGTGTAATCTCAGGTCAATTACTTTACCTCTCTAAGCACTAAGCCTGGCACATAGTAAACATTCAACAACTGTTAGCTAGTTACACTAGTTGTAACAAAGAGAATTTAACTATTAGCTATTAGTATTGTTATTAGTAGTTGCACCTATGTGTATTTATCCCAGCCCCATGGATTGAGCATTTTATTTTATTATTTGAGACAAAGTTTCACTTTGTTGCCCAGGCTGGAGTGCAGTGGCACGATCTCGGCTCCCTGCAACCTCTGCCTCCTTGGTTCAAGCAATTCTCGTGCCTCAGCCTCCTGAGCAGCTGGGATTACAGGTGCCTGCCACCAGGCCTGGCTGATTTTTTATATTTTAGTAGATACAGGGTTTCACCATGTTGCCCAGGCTGGTCTCGAACTCCTGAGCTCGGGGAATCCACCCAGCTCGGCTTCCCAAAGTGCTAGGATTACAGGCGTGAGCCGCCGTGGAACTGGGCATTTTAAACCCCAGTGGGACAATGAGCCCTTCTTTATTTCCTATGAGTGTTAGTGGCACTTTTGGACCATATAGTTCCAGAAATCAGAAACCTGGGAACCATCGTTAACAATTCTTTTTCCTTCCACTGTCACCTCCATTCTCCTTCCAAACTCCACATGTGGCACATGCACAACAGCCAGCGAATTATCTGCTAATTGCTGTCAATTCCAGCTTTGATTTGGCTCCCAGACTAGCTTTTTCCTCTTTATTCACCCCACCCATCAGCAACCTTGGCCCCAGCATTGTTGTTTCTCTTATCTTGGTTCTCTCTCTCTCTCTCTCTCTTTGTTTTGTTTTTAGAAACAAAGTCTCACTCTGTCACCCAGGCTGGAGTGCAGTGGCACAATCATAGCTCATTGCAGCCTTGAACTCCTGGGCTGCAGTGAGCTATGATTGTGCCACTAAGATGGGAGGGCTCAAGTGATCCTCCTACCTCAGCCTCCTGAGTAGCTGGGACTACAGGCAATTGCCATTGTTCCTGGCTTACCCTGGTACTCTCTGTAACACTCATCTCTCTCTATTAGATATACACATTTTAGGCCGGGTGAGGTGGCTCACGCCTGTAATCCCAGCACTTTGGGAGGCTGAGGAAGGTGGGTCACGAAGTCAGGAGATCGAGACCATCCTGGCTAACATGCTGAAACCCCATCTCTACTAAACAAAATACAAAAAGTTAGCCAGATGTGGTGGCGGGCGCCTGTAGTCCCAGCTACTTGGGAGGCTGAGCAGGAAAATGGCATGAACCCGGGAGGCGGAGGTTGCAGTAAGCCGAGATCGTGCCACTGCACTCCAGCCTGGGTGACAGAGTGAGACTCCGTCTCAAAAAAAAAAAAAAAAAAAAAAAAGATATATACATTTTTTTTTCTCTACTGTTTACTGCTGTATTCCCAGTACCTAGAATGGTGCCTGGAGAATGTTAAATGCACTTAAATATTACCTGTTGAATGAAGGAATGAATGTAGAGAGGAAAGGAATGAAAGAATAAATGCCAAGGCTACTCCCCTCTTTTAGGCCAATATCACATGCATTTGGATTTCTGCAGTCATCTCCTAAGGGTCTACCTGTCTCCAGGCTTGCTTTCTACCTTTTATTTTTTGCACTGTAGCCAGAGTTGTCTTTCTAAGAGGCATATCTAATTTTGCTACTTCCTGGCTAAATTCCCTAGCAGCCTTTGACCACTCTGCCCTTGTTCCTTATTTATCTTTCTTTCCTGGCACTCTTCTCTGACCTTTTGTGGCTTCCCTTCCCTCCAGCTACATTATTTACCATTCCCTGAACTCATCTCCTTTGAGAAAAGGTGGCTTCTTCTTCCTGGAATATTCCTCCTTTCCCTGTGCCTCTTTGGTCAGCTACCTTCCTCCAGCCATTAAAGACTCAAGGAACATATCACTTCTCTGTGGAAGCTTTCTGATCAACCTCTGTTGACTAAGTTGGCATTAGGCACCTTTCTTGGTGTTACCGTAGCACTCTGGCTCCATTGATGACAGCATTTACCATTTTGTGTTGTAGTGGCCTTTGGAAGGGAGCACCTTGAGCTCAGTGTGCTCTATATTGTACGTCTCTGCATTTCTTATTCCTCGCGGAAAGACTGACATGTGATAAGTGCTTAACCAATGCTTTCTGAATGTCACTATACCATATCAGGTGACTGCTGAACTGGGAGGTCAGTGTTTTGGGTCAGTGTAATCAAGATACAGATGGAACTGTACACGATTAGTTTTTGTTCATTTTTAAAGTTTCTAGGCAGTACTGGCATGGAGTTGTATATTAGTCCGAGGTGGTGGTTTTATTGAAGCTTTTTCAAATATGGCCATGCTGTCTAATAAATGCCATATAAAGGCTACTTTAAACACCATTACAGAATCTGAGATAACTTGCTTCTAGAGAAACAGTCTTTAGCCTGTGGACAGAGCCACCATAAGCCACAGCTCCCCACCATGGTCAACACAGCATGCTGCTGGCTTAGAGCTTTCCATCCACTGGTGCAGGTCATGACAGGTAAAGCTGACTTAATGTAACCACCAAGAGCCAAATGCCTTGCCTAACCACCACAGCACAAGGTTCATGGACACATTTCCTGGCCCTATTGAATGCCTCTCTGCCTAAATATTTTGCTCTCCCCCAATTCCATGCCTTTGCTCAATTTTTGGTGTGGAATTTTCAATTCCAAACCCATGAAATGTTGCAGTCATTGAGAATGCACCAAACAAATTATATCCTTCTTTTCCTCCTGGGTGTATAACAAAATAGAACAAAAGTCAAAGATTATCAAATGGGAGGCCAAAACGCCATCTTTATTGTGATAAACACTGAGTTGAAGCTGTAGCTTATTGTGAGAATCAAGTGGGTTTCCTGAATCTGATCCCAAGAATGAAGTAGCCTCACCCAGTCAGAGGTGATGCAGGACTCGGCAGGTCTCCTCATAATGAAGATGGGACGTCAGAAAGCAAGGGAACGCTCCCATACCCTGTGGGCAGCTCACGTCTGAAGAAAATGCTGGACAAGGTGTCTGGCTCAGCTGTGTCACTCCACTTCCCCTTAGGCGTTGGTAAAGCAGTGGAGGCAGGCCAAGGTTGTTACCCTACTTGAGCTCCCTCACTATGGAAGGAGTGAAGAGTGGGAAGAAGTGTTCCCACCCTGCACCACACACATAATAAGGGCTGAAATCACTTTTATGACTTAATCAATAAAACATAGATTAGGAGGTGCTACTGTCCCACAATAGGATTTGCTCCTTTGAGTTCCTATACTTGCCTGCTGTACTGGAACACATATGGATGATAATTTTTCACTAGTAAAGAGAAGACTGGGTGAATCATTTATGGATGGCTTATAATGAACTCTAATGATGGTCACATAAAATGTCTGCTGTATTTCTTGCCTGTATTGTAATGCTACCCATCGCATTACAAATTGAAGAAATAGCCATTAAATTGACTCAATTTATTTTCAAACTGTAATCCCTTTCAGACTTCTAAGTTAAAGTCCAGTAATGGATACATTACTTTGACCTTAAGGCATTAATGTTGCATTTTAAAAGCTGGCTAATATGGGTCCATGTGATGTCTGTCAGATTTAGAAGGTTGATCACTTAATAATGTCATGGTCCCTATCACTATACAGTATCAAATGTTCTGCTGAACTGGAGGCTGGTGTTTTGGGTCAGTGTAACCAAGATACAGAGAGAAGTGATGAGGATAGCTGACCTTTCAGAAAGTCTTAGGATCTGTGATGTAAAACTGTGCCAGCTTACAGGTTTACTTACCCACGGCTCCCAAAGAAAGTACAGGGGTAGTGAAAAAGAGGGAAACACCATGCCTCTCTATTTGCCTATTTATGGCTGGTGGCCATTTCCACAGCAGAGTGGCATATAAAATCTAAGGTTGGGCCAGGTGACTCCTGAGGTCCATTTTGGCTGTTAATGGCAAGCGTTAGGAGGATTCCACTGTTGAGTTTAAAAAGCCACCAAGTCCTTGCTCTGTGCTTGATGTGACCCAGTGGTGAAGTCTATTGCCTACCTAAGGAAGGAGAACGGGGAAAGGAAAATGGAGAGATGAGAGGGTGTGGAAGAATGAGGAAATGGCCTCATCTTGAGGAGTTCACATCTAAGCTAAGGAAACAGACAGATGCACACAGTCATTTGAAGAAGACCAAATGTTTGGTCAGTAAAAGAGACAGTTTAAGGACATATAAAATACCTTGGTCACAGCACTTACCATCTCTGAGACTTCTTTCTGTATCTCTACATCCTCATTTGCTATCAATACCTATCTTATGGAATTAAGAAAGGGTTATATGACATGATGCTTACAAGTTTCTTACTGCAGTGGCTGGCCCATAATAATACCTTTATGAATGCTGGGTTTCAAAAATAATACTACCAGACTTGCATCCTTACATTGCTGTCAAACAGTGTGCCTGGATCATGTTTTCCTTGGTCCTTGAAGAAAAGTTTTATTGCGTTGACATTTAATGTTACAAGCATTTTGTACAGAGTTGGCATGAGAGACATTTACTTTCCCCAAAAACAGGGTTTTGCATTCTTCTATAAACACCTGAGCGATAAATTCTTCCAACTCTAGAAGTCAAAGGGAAGAGGATATGAAAAGGAAACTCACAAAAGAAAAAATACAAACAGCTAGTGAATACAGGAAAAAAGTAAAGATAACATTAGTGAATAAAAACTGAAACATCAATGAGACATGATTTTCACGGATCCTATTGTAAAGATTGAAATAGTAATTCTCAGTATAAAAGGGAGAAATGGGCCTTCTTATATTGGTTTAGGTAAAAATTGGTTCAAACTTTCTGGAAAAAAAACTTGATGATATGTATCAAGTAGTCTAAGGTTTTTCTTGGTTCTAATCCAACAATTTCACCAATAGAAATTTATCCTTTCCCTGAGCTTAGGAGTTCGAGACCAGCCTGGGCAACATGGTGAAACCCCATCTCTACTAAAATACAAAAGAAAATTAGCTAGACGTGGTGGCGTGTGCCTGTAGTCCCAGCTACTCAGGAGGCTGAGGCAGGAGAATTGTTTGAACCTGGGAGGAGGAGGTTGTGGTGAGCCGAGATCGTGCCACTGCACTCCAGCCTGGGCAACAGAGAAAGACTCCATCTCTTCAAAACAAAACAAAACAAAAAACAAGTCGTGTGTGTGAAAAAAACCTGTCTTCAGCATTGTTCTTATTTGCTGTTTCCTCCCCCAAACATGTTTAAATCTCAAAGATAGGATGTTCGTTAAATAAATTATGGTATGCAAATACAGTGAAATACTATACGTGTATTTTAAGAACTATTCAATGGTGAAATGCTTTCTTGATATGTTACATGAAAAAGATCGAGGGGTAATTGAGATTTCATTAACAGTCTGTACTGGAAAATGACACTCATAATTAAGATTCCAATTATGTGGAAAAATGTTCATAATATGTCATGTAGTTACGAAAATGGGTTACACAATCACAGGACAATTGTAATTTTACATAAAAGTATATTTTCTATGATACTGGAACTATACACATCAGATGTGAAAAATGATTACTTTTGGAAGCTGGCATTATGTATGATTTAAATTTCATTATTTGTGTTTTTCTGTATTTACTGATTTCTCTTTTAAAATATGGTTTTAATTACACAAGTAATAACACATATTCTCTGTAATAAAATATTGAAACAAAACAGAAGTACATACTAAAAAGTGAAAGTCTGTCTTCCGTTGCACTTCCCCTAAGTTCCCCAAACACTGATGCCCTCTTTAGAGAAATGACTATAGTTTTGAGGTATGTTTCCAGAACCCTTTCTAGGGAGTTCAGGAGCTTCAAGCTGCTGAACACTCTCAGCCATTTATCCTGGGCTCTTTTGCATGTAGCACTCTACTGAATGCCGGGCTCCTCTGAGAGGCTGTCAGTGTCCTCTGGCTACACTCAGGGAATAGGGACTCCCTGGGAGTTCTTCTGACCCTCTCTACCCTTCTTTCCCCTCCATTTTAATGACCCTGAGAACATCTAATTGTGTGCCTGTTTCTTCTCTGTTTCTCTCCTCCTCTCAGTCAGCCATACTCCTCCTTTTGAATTCTCTTTACCTTTGGATTTTGAAAATGTTATGCTTAACTTGCTGAGCCTTGGTTTCTAAGGAATTTTTAGGATAATAGAATTCATTCTCAATAAATCTTGGCTTTCAAGACTTTTTTCCCTCCCTCCCTCCCTCCCTTTCTCCCTCCTTCCTTCCCTCCCTGCCTCTCTCTGCCTTCCTGCTTCCTCTCTTTCTGCCATAGACTAAAACATCTTTATGTATAAGTCCTCTGCCTAACACTGACTCCTTTCATTTTGTATTTTCACTAAAACAACTTTCAGCCTCTAGCTGAATTGGGAGAAGGTCAAATATAAGGAGGGCAAAAGACAGAAGGATACAGTAACATATTTCTAAAAATTTCTTATCAAACTATAGATTTAAAAAAGTTACACTGTACATGCAGAGTTTTTAGGTCAGATTTATTGAGGTCTGATTTATGGTTAGTAAAATTTACCCCTTTTAGGTGTATAGTTGATGATCCTGGTCAAATACATACAGCTCTGTAATCAAGACTACAACCAAGATATAGAACGTTTCATCACCCAAACCCTTCCTTAGTGCCACTTTGTAGTGTCTCTTCCCCTAACCCTTGTCTCTGGCAACCATTGATGTGATCTAGTTTCACTTCTAGAATGTTACATAAGTTACAGTGTGTAATTTTTTGAATCTGGCTTCTTTCACTTAGCACAATGCTTTTGAGATATATCCACATTGTGTATCAGTAGTTCAATCTATCACCAAGTAGTATATTTTATGAACATACAACAATTTGTTTATCCATTTACCAGCTGATGGACATTTGGGTTGTTTTTAGTTTTTGGCAATTATAGATAAAGCTACTATAAACATTCATGTATAGTCGTTTTTGTTTTTGTTTTTGTTTTTGAGACAAGGACTCACTTTGTTGCCCAGGCGGAAAGGCAGTGGCAGGATCATAGCTCAATGCAGCTTCAAACTCCTGGGCTCAAGTGATCATCCTGCCTCAGCCTTCTGAGTAGCTGGGACTACAGGTGAGAGACAACATACCAGGCTCAACATTTACATATATTCTTTCTCCAGACACATATTTTCATTTCTCTTAAGTAAATATCTAGAAGTGGGATTGCTGGCTAGTATAAGTGTATGATTCAGTTAAAAATATACTAAATTTTTTTTTCCATAGTGGTTGTACCATTTTGCATTACCACTAGCAATATGAGAGTTTCAGTTACTCCACATTTGAACTAGCCCTTGGTATTGTCAGTTTTTTCTTTCATTTTTCCTTTAAAAAAAAAAAATCCTAGCTTTTCTACTAAGTGTGTAGTGGTATCTCATGGCAGTATTAATTTGTACTTCTCTTATTTTTTATGATATTGAGCATCGTGTTGTGTATTTATCTGTCATTGGTATCTTTTCTTGGTGAAGTGTCTGTTTAAATCAATGCCCACTTTAAAAATTTTGTTTGTTTCTTATAATTGAATTTTAAAAGTTTTAAAAATATATTTTAGATACAAGTCCTTTATGTGTTTTGTGAATATTTTCTTCCATTCAGTAGCTTGTCTTTCACTTTTTTGGCAATGCTTTCCAAAGAGCAGTAGTCCTTAATATTAATGAAGTCCAATTTAGTAAAATTTTTTCGTTTATAGCTCATGCTTTTTGTATCATATCTAAGAAAGCTTTGCCTTGCCCGTGGTTGTGAGCAATTTTTTCTCTTCTTCTCTTCTCTTCTTCTGGTTTCTCCTAGAAGCTTTATAGTTTTAGATTTTGCACTTAGGTGTATGACCATATTGAGTTAATTTTTGTATCTATGTGGTAAAGTTTATGTTCAAGTTTTTGCATATAGAGGATCAATCGTTCAAGCACTATTTATTGAAGAGACAGTCTTTTCTCTATTGTATTACCTTGGGCCTTTGTCAAAATTTGATTGACATGTAGGTTAATTTCCAGACTCTTTATTCTGTTCTGTTAATCTACATGCCCTTGTGCCAATACCACATTCTCTTGATTATTATAGCATTATAAGATGTCTTGAAATCAGGTGGTGAGAGTCCTCAAACTTTCTTTCTCCAAAAATTGTATTCTAAGTCCTTTGCTTTTCTCTACAAATTTTAGTCATCTAGTCAATTTCTACCAAAAAAGGGCTGAAATTTTTATTGGGATTGCATTAAATTGATAAATCACATTGAAGAGAATTGATCTTTTAACAGTATATTGGGTTATCCTACCTATGAGCACATACCTTCATCCATTTATTTAGGTGTTCTTCAATTTTTTTCATCATTGTTTTGTGATTTTTAGCATTCAAAGAGTGCACATATTTTAAGTTTATCCCTAAGTATTTTATGATTTTTAATGCTATTATAGATGGCATTTTATTTAAAATTTAAGTTTCCAAATTTTTATGGCTAATTTATAGAAACAAAATTGATTTGTGTTCTGACTTGTATTTTTCAGCTTTGCTAAACTTATAATTCTATTAGAATTTTTTAAAAAATTATACTTTAAGTCCTGGGATACATGTACAGAACATGTAGGCTTGTTACATACATGTGCCATGGTGGTTTGCTGCACCCCTCAACCCGTCATCTACATTAGGTGTTTCTCCTAATGCTATCACTCCCCTTGCCCTCCACCCCCGACAGGCCCTGGTGTGTGATGTTCCCCTCCCTGTGCACATATGTTTTCATTGTTCAACTCCCACTTATGAATGAGAATATGCGGTGTTTGGTTTTCTGTTCCTGTGTTAGTTTGCTGGGAATGATGGTTTCCAGCTTCATCCACGTCCCTGCAAATGACATGAACTTATTCCTTTTTATGGCTGCACAGTATTCCATGGTATGTATGTGCCACGTTTTCTTTATCCAGTCTAACATTGATGGGCATTTTGGTTGGTTCCAAGTCTTTGCTATTGTGAATAGTGCCACAATAAGCACATGTGTTCATGTGTCTTTATAGTAGAATGATTTATAATCCTTTGGGGGTATATACCAGTAATGGGATGGCTGTGTCAAATGGTATTTCTAGTTCTAGATCCTTGGGGAATCGCCACACTGTCTTCCATAATGGTTGAACTAATTTACACTCCCAACCAACAGTGTAAAAGCATTCCTATCTCTCCATATCCTCTACAGCATCTGTTGTTTCCTGACTTTTTAATGATCATCATTTTAACTGGCGTGAGATGGTATCTCATTGTGGTTTTGATTTGCATTTCTCTAATAACCAGTGATGATGAGCTTTTTTTTCACATTTGTTAGCCACGTAAATGTCTTCTTTTGAAAAGTACCTGTTCATTGGGAGGCTGAGGTAGGCAGATCATGAGGTCCGGAGATTGAGACCATCTTGGCTAACAGGGTGAAACCCCATCTCTACTAAAAATACAAAACAAATTAGCCAGGCGTGGTGGCAGGCACCTGTAGTCCCAGCTACTTGGGAGGCTGAGGCAGGAGAATGGCGTGAACCTGGGAGGTGGAGCTTGCAGTGAGCCAAGCCGAGATCGTGTCACTGTACTCCAGCCTGGGCGACAGAGCAAGACTCCGTCTCAAAAAAAAAATAATAATAAATAAATAAAGTATCTGTTCATATCCTTCGCCTGCTTTTAGATGGGGTTGTTTGTTTTTTTTCTTGTAAATTTGTTTAAGTTCCTTGTAGATTCTGGATGTTAGACCTTTGTCAGATGGATAGATTCCAAAAATTTTCTACCATTCTGTAGGTTGCCTGTTCACTCTGATTATAGTTTCTTTTGCTGTGCAGAAGCTCTTTAGTTTAATTAGATCTCATTGTCAATTTTGGCTTTTGTTGCCATTGCTTTTGGTGTTTTAGTCATGAAATCTTTGCCCATGCCTATGTCCTGAATGGTATTGCCTAGGTTTTCTTCTAGGGTTTTTATGGTCTTAGGTCATACATTTAAATCTTTAATCCATCTTGAGTTAATTTTTGTGTAAGTTGTAAAGAAAAGGTCTAGTTTAAATTTTTTCTGCATATGGCTAGCCAGTTTTCCCAATACCGTTTCTTAAATAGGGAATCCTTTCCCCAATGCTTGCTTTTGTCAGGTTTGTCAAAGATCAGATGGTTGTAGATGTATAATGTTATTTCCGAGGCCTCTGTTCTGTTCCATTGGTCTATATATCCGTTTTGGTACCAGTACCATGCTGTTTTGGTTACTGTAGCCTTGTAGTACAGTTTGAAGTCAGGTAGCATGATGCCTCAGGGTTTGTTCTTTTTGCTTAGGATTGTCTTGGCTATATGGGCTCTTTTTGTTTTCATGTGAAATTTAAAGTAGTTTTTCCTAATTCTGTGAAGAAAGTCAATGGTAGATTGATGGGAATAGCATCGAATCTATAAATTATTTTGGGCAGTATGGCCATTTTGACGATATTGACTTTTCCTATCCATGAGCATGGAATGTTTTCTCATTTGTTTTTGTCCTCTCTTATTTCCTTGAGCAGTGGTTTGTAGTTCTCCTTGAAGAGGGCCTTCACGTCCCTTGTAAGTTGGATTCCTAGGTATTTTATTCTCTTTGTAGCAATTGTGAATTGGGAGTTCATTCATGATTTGGCTCTCTGTTTGTCTGTTATTGGTGTATAGGAGTGCTTGTGATGTTCGCACATTGATTTTGTATCCAGAGACTTTGCTGAAGTTGCTTATCAGCTTAAGGAGATTTTGGGCTGAGACGATGGAGTTTTCTAAATTACAATCATGTCATCTGCAGACAGAGACAATTTCACTGCCTCTCTTCCTATTTGAATACCCTTTATTTCTTTCTCTTGCCTGATTGCCCTGGCCAGAACTTCCAATACTATGTTGAATAGGAGTGGTGAGAGAGGGCAGCTTGGCTTGTGCCAGTTTTCAAAGGGAATGCTCCCAGTTTTTGCCCATTCAGTATGATATTGGCAGTGGGTTTGTCATAAATAGCTCTTACTATTTTGAGATATGTTCCATCAATAATTATTTTATTGAGAGTTTTTAGCATAAAGGGTGTGGAATTTTATCAAAGGCCTTTTCTGCATCTATTGGGATAATCATGTGGTTTTTGTCATTGGTTCTGTTTATGTAATAGATTATGTTTATTGATTTGCATATGTTGGACCAGCCTTGCATCCCAGGGATGAAGCCAACTTGATCGTGGTGAATAAGCTTTTTAATGTGCTGCTGGATTCTGTTTGCCAGTATTTTATTGAGGATTTTCACATTGATGTTCATCAGGGATATTGGCCTGAAATTTTCTTTTTGTGTCTCTGCCAGGTTTTGGTATCAGGATGATGCTGGCCTCATAAAGTGAGTTAGGGAGAATTCCCTCTTTTTCTATTGTTTGGAATAGTTTCAGAAGGAGTGGTACCAGCTCCTCTTTGTACCTCTGGTAGAATTCAGATGTGAATCTTTCTGGGCCTGGGCTTTTTTCGGTTGGTAGGCTATTAATTACTGCCTCAATTTCAGAAATTGTTATTTGTCTATTCAGGGGTCCAACTTCTTCCTGGTTTAGTCTTGGGAGGGTGTA
Organism: Homo sapiens; assembly: GCF_000001405.40. Lineage (NCBI taxonomy): Eukaryota > Metazoa > Chordata > Mammalia > Primates > Hominidae > Homo > Homo sapiens. Next base: position 156,065,937 of record NC_000003.12, read on the forward strand.
TGTGTCCAGGAATTTATCCATTTCTTCTAAATTTTCTAGTTTATTTGCATAGAGGTGTTTATAGTGTTCTCTGATGGTAGTTTGTATTTCTGTGGAATCAGTGGTGATATCCCCTCTATCATTTTTTATTGTGTCTATTTGATTCTTCTCTCTTTCCTTTATTAGTCTGGCTAGTGGTGTATCTATTTTGTTAATCTTTAAAAAAAACAGCTCCTGGATTTATGGATTTTTGAAGGGTTTTTCATGCCTCTATCTCCTCCAGTTCTGCTCTAATCTTAGTTACTTCTTGTCTTCTGCTAGCTTTAGAACTTGTTTGCTCTTGTTTCTCTATTTCTTATAATTGTGGATGTTAGGGTGTTGATTTTAGATCTTTCCCACTTTCTCCTGTGGAGATTTGGTGCTATATATTTTCTTCTAAACACTGGTTTAGCTGTGTCCCAGACATTCTGGTATGTTGTGTCTTTGCTCTTACTGGCTTCAAAGAACTTATTTATTTCTGCTTTAATTTTGTTATTTACTCAGTAGTCATTCAGGAGCAGGTTGTTCAGTTTCCATGTAGTTGTGCGGTTTGAGTGAGTTTCTTAAACCTGAGTTGTAATTTGATTGTACTGTGGTGTGAGAGATTGTTTGTTATGATTTCTGTTCTTTTGCATTTGCTGAGGAGTATTTTACTTCCAATTATGTGGTCAATTTTAGTATAAGTGCTATGTGGTGCTGAGAAGGATGTATATTCTGTTGATTTGAGGTGGAGAGTTCTGTAGATGTCTTTGTTAATTTTCTGTCTTGTTTATCTGTCTAATATTGACAGTGGGGTGTTAAAGTCTCTCACTATTATTGTGTGGGAGTCTAAGTCACACTGTTGGTCTCTAAGAACTTGCTTTATGAATCTGGGTGCTCCTGTATTTGGTGCATATATATTTAGGATAGTTAGCTCTTCTTGTTGCATTGATCCCTTTACCATTATGTAATGCCCTTCTTGGTCTTTTTTGATCTTTGTTGGCTTAAAGTCTGTTTTATCAGAGACTAGGTTTGCAACCACTGCTTTTTTTTTTTTTTTTTTTGCTTTCCATTTGCTTGGTAAATATTCCTCCATTCCTTTATTTTGAGCCTGTGTGTGTCTTTGCATATGAGATGGGTCTCCTGACTACAGCACACCAATGGGTCTTGACTATCCAATTTGCCAGTTGGTGCCTTTTAATTGGAACATTCAGCCCATTTACATTTAAGGTTAATATTGTTATTTGTGAATTTGATCCTGTCATTATGATGTTAGCTAGTTATTTTGCCCTTTAGTTGACGCAGTTTCTTCATAGTATCGATGGTCTTTACATTTTGGTTTGTTCTTGCAGTGTCTGGTACTGGTTTTTCCTTTCCATATTTAGTGGTTCCTTCAGGAGCTCTTGTAAGTCAGGCCTGGTGATGACAAAATCCCTCACCATTTGCTTGTCTGGAAAGGATTTTATTTCTCCTTCGCTTATGAAGCTTAGTTTGGCTGGATATGAAATTCTGGGTTGAAAATTCTTTTCTTTAAGAATGTTGAATATTGGCCTCCACTCTCCTCTGGCTTGTAGGCTTTCTGCCAAGAGATCCACTGTTAGTTTGATGGGCTTCCCTTTGTGGGTAACCTGACCTTTCTCTCTGGCTGCCCTTAACGTTGTTTCCTTCATTTCAACCTCGGTGAATCTGACGATTTTATGTGTCTTGGAGTTGCTCTTCTTGAGGAGTATTTTTGTGGTGTTCTCTGTATTTCCTGAATTTGAATACTGGCCTGTCTTGCTAGGTTGGGGAAGTTCTCCTGGATAATAACCTGAAGTGTGTTTTCCAACTTGGTTCCATTCTCCCCATCACTTTCAGGTACACCAGTCAAACATAGATTTGGTCTTTTCACATTGTCCCATATTTGTTGGAGGCTTTGTTTGTTCCTTTTCATTCTTTTTTTCTCTAATCTTGTCTTCATGCTTTATTTCATTAAGTTGATCTTCAGTCTCTGATATCCTTTCTTCTGCTTATCGATTCAGCTATTGATACTTGTGTATTCTTCACGAAGTTCTTGTGCTATGTTTTTCAGCTCCATCAGGTCATTTATGTTCTTCTCTAAACTGGTTATTCTAGTTAGCAATTCTTCTAACCCTTTACCAAGGTTCTTAGCTTCCTTGCATTGGGTTAGAACATGCTCCTTTAGCTCGGAGGAGTTTGTTATTACCCACCTTCTGAAGCCTACTTCTGTCAATTCATCAAACTCATTGTCTGTCCAGCTTTGTTCCCTTGCTGGCAAGGAGTCGTGATCCTTTGGAGGAGAAGAAGCATTCTGGTTTTTGAAATTTTCAGCCTTTTTGCACTGGTTTTCCTCATCTTTGTGATTTATCTACCTTTAGTCTTTGCTGTTGGTGAACTTCAGATGGAGTTTTTGCATTGTCATCCTTTTTGTTGATGTTGATGTTATTGTTTTCTTCTTGTCAGTTTTCCTTCTAACAGTCAGGCCCTTCTTCTGCAGGTCTGCTAAAGTTTGCTGGGGTTCCACTCCAGACCCTGTTTGCCTGGGTATCACCAGCGGAGGCTGCAGAACAGCAAAGATTGCTGCCTGCTCCTTCCTCTGGAAGCTTCGTCCCAGAGGGGCACCCGCCAGATGCCAGCTGAAGCTCTCCTGTATGAGGTGTCTGTCGACCCCTGCTGGGAGGTATCTCTTTCTCAGGAGGCATGGGGGTCAGGGACCCATTTGAGGAGGCAATCTGTCCCTTAGCAGAGCTCGAGCGCTGTGCTGGGAGATCCACTGCTCTCTCCAGTGGCAGGCAGAATTGTTTGAGTCTACTGAAACTGCACCCACAGCCGCCCCTTTCCCCCAGGTGCTCTGTCCCAGGGAGATGGAGTTTTATCTATAAGCCCCTGACTGGGGCTGCTGCCTTTCTTTCAGAGATGCCCTGCCCAGAGAGGAGGAATATAGAGAGGCAGTCTGGCTACAGTGGCTTTGTGGCACTGCCATTTGTTCTGCCCAGTCCAAACTTCCTGGCAGCTTTGTTTACACTGTGAAGGGAAAACCACCTACTCAAGCCTCATTAATGCTGGACACTTCTCCCCACACCAAGCTCGAGCATCCCAGGTCCACTTCAGACTACTGTGCTGGCAGCGAGTATTTCAAGCCAATGGATCTTATATGGGGGTGGGATCTGCTGAGCAAGGCCACTTGGCTCCCTGGCTTCAGCCCCGTTTCCAGGGGGAGTGAATGGTTCTGCCTCGCTGGGGTTCCAGGGGCCATTGAGGTGAAAAAACAAACAAGCAAACAAACAAACAAACAAAAACTCCCACAGCTAGCTCAGTGTCTTCCTAAACTGCCATCCAGTTTTGTGCTTGAAACCCAGGGCCCTTGTGGTGTAGTCATCTGAGGGAATCTGGTCTGTAGGCTGTGAATACTGTGGGAAAAGCATAGCATCTGGGCCGGAGTGCACCATCCCTCATGGCGTGGTCCCTCACGGCTTCCCTTGGCTAGGTGGGTGAGTTTCCCAACCCCTTGTGCTTCCTTCCTGGGTGAGGTGATGCCCTATCCTGCTTCAACTCGCCCTCCGTGGGCTGCACCCACTGTGTAACTAGTCCCCGTGAGATGAACTGGGTCCCTCAGTTGGCAATGCAGAAATAACATGCCTCCTTCCTTGGTTTTGCTGGGAGCTGCAGACCGGAGCTGTTCCTTTTCGGTCATCTTGCCCGGAAAATCTCTTATCAGAAATTTTGTAGGTTGTTTGGGACTTTCTTTGTAGACAGTCATTCTTTATTTCTAATCTTTTATTTTATCTTTTTGCTGTTTCTTACTGATGAAGCCCTTTAATACAATATATAATAAATATACAATAAGAGTAGTAAGAGCAGACATCCTCAATATGACTATTATTACTCTTTTAAATTATTGTCACTTTATTTATTTATTTATTTATTTATTTATTTATTTATTGAGACAGGGTCTTGCTCTGTCAGCCAGGCTGTAGTGCAGTGGCATGATCATGGCTCACTGCAGCCTTGACTTCCTGGGCTCAAGAGATCCTCCCACTTCAACCTCCTGCGTAGCTGGGACCACAGGCAAGCACCACCATGGCTGGCTAATTTTTTATTGTTTGTAGAGATAGGGTCTCCTTATGTTGCCCAGGCTGGTCTTAAACTCCTGGTTTCAAGTGATCCTTCTGCTTTAGCCTTCCCAAATGCTGGGATTACAGGCATGAACCATGACGACGCCCAGCTATTGTCACTTTAGTGGATGAAAATGGTGAATTATTGTTAGCATTTGAATATTCCTGGTTACTAGTGAAGTTGAATATATGTATTAACCATGGTAATGCACTGCATAATGATGTTTTGGTCAAGGATGAACTGTATATTAGACAGTAGCCCTGTAAGATTATAATGGATCTGAAAAGTTCCTTTTACCTAGTGACATAATGTCTTAGTGCAACACATTATCTTTTCTATGTTTAGATACACAAATACTTACCATTATGTTATAATTGCCTACAATATTCAGTATAGTAATATGCTTTCCAGATTTGTAGCCTAGGAGCAATAGGCTATGCCCTACAGCCTAAGTGTACAGTAGGCAATACCATCTAGGTTTGTGTAAGTATACTCTGTGAGATTCACACAATAACAAAATTGCCTAATGACACATTTCTTACAATGTACCCCTGTTGTTAATGTTACTGAATATCAGTGGTTTGGTCTAGGTCCTGCTGCTGGCTGCACAGCAAGCCAATGACTGAGACAAGTATTGCCAAGGAAGAAGGCTTTATTGGGTGCTGCAGTCGAGGAGATGGGAGATCAGTCTCAAATCCATCTCCCTGACCGACTAAAATTAGGGCTTTATATAGCAGGGAAGAAATATAACAATGTATTGGAAAACAGGAACTAGAGAAGTGTAAGGAAACAAAATGAGGGGTCTGGCATCTCATTGGATGCAGTGATCTGGTGAGTTTCAGTTCTTTGATACTTTTTGAGAAGCCTGGGGGGTCCTTTCTTGAGGAAGGAACTCAGATAAAACAAACGTAAGCTTTAAGACCAGAGGGTCAGTTTCTATGTTTATCCAAAATAACTGTCTGTGTGAGGGGTCTCCAACTCCCACACTGTGGACCAGTACCAGCCATTGGCCTGTTAGGAACCAGGCTGCACAGTAGGAGGTGAGCAGAAGGCAAGCCAGTATTACTGCCTGAGCTCCACCTCCTGTCCTGTCAACAGTGGCATTAGATTCTCATAGGAGAGAATCTAGCAAACCCTATTGTGAACTGCACATGCTAGGGGTCTAGGTTGCTTAATCCTTATGAGAATCTAAAAATACATTTAATGTGCTTGAGTCATCCTAAAACCATCCCTCCACCTCCACCCCAACCCCTTCAACCCCCCTTCCTGTCTGTGGAAAGATTGTCTTCCACAAAATCAGTCCCTGGTGCTAAAAAGGTTGGGGACTGCTGGTCTATGGTACTATTGAGGTTGTTTTCATTAAGCGATAAATGACTATATTTGTATTTTTTGATAATTACCTCCATATATCCTTTGTAAATTTTTACATTGGTTATTTAGTTGCTCTTATTTGATTTGTAAGTAATCTCTAGGTAATGAAGTTATTAATCTTGTGTATGTTGCAACTATTTTCTCCCAGTATGTTACTCATCTTAATTTAATATGGTGGGCTTCAGGGTATAGAAATTTTAAATATTGTAGAGTCACGTGTGTCAGGTTTTTTTTCTTTTATGATTTCTGGGTCTGTAGCTCACTTAAGAGGGCCTTTTTCACTCCAAGGCAATACAAATATTATATTTTTTCTTTTATATTTTTGCTTTTCAACATTTAGTTTTTTAATCCATCTGGAATTGCTCTTTCTGCATGGTGTGTGAAAGATGTAGCTTTATAATTATATAAATGGCTTACCAGTTGTTCCAACACTCATTTAATTAAATCTCATACTTTTTTCACTTCTTTGAGATGCCATATTTATCTTTTACCAAATGTTCATATATTAATGATCATGTTTTTGGATATTGACTTTTGTCCTTTTGAGGGACAGGATTCCTCCTGTGGTGGAATTCTACTATGGCAGTTTCTGCAGAGGGGCTCGTTCAACATTTAATCCAGTTCCTTTCAAATGTGAGAAGGCTAAAAGCTACACTGCACAACTTCTCTTGCAGTTGCAGTTCTGTTTGAGATTTAATATTTGGAAGGAGAAAATGGAACACAGTGTTTTGGAGGCTGCTCTTTGCCATCTGCTGGCAAGCACAGAGGAGGATGCATTTGAGTTTTCTATCACAGCTGTGGCGGAGGTGCCCTTGTCTGGCTCCACCTTGATACGGATTGTGACAAACGGGAGGCATTATGCAGCCAGTAACTTCCTGATTCTTCGAGGCGCAGCTGCTCTCTTGGTGGCCTGATTGAGGCTTTGGGAGATGTTCCTGGAAACTCAGCCTAAGTTCTGTTTTGTTCGCTTTCCCAATGGTTCTGGAACTGTACTTCATATCTAGAATTATTCTTCTTATGCTAATTAGATAGATTCTGTTTTCTGAAAATGAGCACTGACACAATACATCTGTCATCATGTTTATTTTTTGCCAGAAAGTTCTGATTAGGCTGGGCACAGTGGCTCATGCCTGTAATCTCAGCACTTTGGGAGGCCAAGGCGAGAGAATTGCTTGAAGCCAGAAGTCTGAGAGCAGCCTGGCCAATATAATGAGACCTTGTCTGTATAAATAAAGTGAATTAACTGGGAAAGTTGATGGGCAACTGTAGTCCCAGCTACTTGGGAGGCTGAGGCAGGAGGATTGCTTGAGCCCAGGAGTTTGAGGCTGCAGTGAGCTATGATTGTGCCACTGCACTCCAACCTGGGCAACAGAGCAAGACCTCATCTCTTAAAAAAATTCTTGTTATTCTAAAGTTTTTCTAAACTGATAAATTTTTAAATTATTTAGTTAGGTTCTATTTTAAGAAATATTGTTTGGTATTTAAGTGCCATTGCATTACATTTAAGATTAAATTTGTGGAACTCATATCCTTCAAGTAGAAAAACTTTTTACCCAAAATATAGTACTGAGAGGTGACAGCACGCTGGCAGCCCTTGCTCACTCTCGGCGCCTCCTCTGCCTGGGCTCCTGCTTTGGCAGCACTTGAGGAGCCCTTCAGCCCGCCACTGCACTGTGGGAGCCCCTTTCTGGGCTGGTCAAGGCCAGAGTCGGCTCCCTCAGCTTGCAGGGAGGTGTGGAGGGAGAGGCGCGGGCGGGAACCGGGGCTGCGGGCGGTGCTTGCGGGCCAGCGCAAGTTCCAGGTGAGTGTGGGTTCAGCGGGCCTGCACTCAGAGTGGCTGACTGGCCCCGCCGGCCCCAGTTAGTGAGGGGCTTAGCACCTGGGCCAGCAGCTGCTGTGCTTAATTTCTTGCCGGGCCTTAGCTGCCTCCCCATGGGGCAGGGCTGGGGACCTGCAGCCCGCCATGCCTGAGCCTCCCCTCCCTGCGTGGGCTCCTGCACAGCCTGAGCCTCTCTGACGAGTGCCGCCCCCTGCTCCACGGTGCCCAGTCCCATCGACCACCCAAGGGCTGAGGAGTGTGGGCACACGGCGCGGGACTGGCAGGCAGCTCCACCTGTGGCCCCGTTGCGGGATCACTGGGTAAAGCCAGCTGGGCTCCTGACTCGGGTGGGGACTTGGAGGAGAACCTTTATGTTTAGCTAAGGGATTGTAAATACACCAATCAGCACCCTGTGTCTAGCTCAGGGTTTATGAATGCACCAATCGACACTCTGTATCCAGCTACTCTGGTGGGGACTTGGAGAACCTTTATGTCTAGCTAAGGGATTGTAAATACACCAATCGGCACTCTGTATCTAGCTCAGGGTTTGTAAACACACCAATCAGCACCCTGTGCCTAGCTCAGGGTTTGTGAATGCATCAATCGACACTCTGTATCTAGCTACTCTGGTGGGGACTTGGAGAACCTTTGTGTCCACACTCTGTATCTAGCTAATCTATTGGGGACGTGGAGAACTTTTGTGTCTAGCTCAGGGATTGTAAGCACACCAATCAGCACCCTGTCAAAACAGACCACTGGGCTCTCTGTAAAATGGACCAATCGGCAGGATGTGGGTGGGGCCAGATAAGATAATAAAAGCAGGCTGCTGGAGCCAGCAGTGACAACCCGCTTGGGTCCCCCTCCACACTGTGGAAGCTTTGTTCTTTCGCTCTTTGCAATAAATCTTGCTGCTGCTCACTCTTTGGGTCCACACTGCCTTTATGAGCTGTAACACTCACCACAAAGGTCTGCAGCTTCACTCCTGAAGCCAGCGAGACCACGAACCCACCGGGAGGAAAGAACAACTCCAGACACACCGCCTTAAGAGCTGTTAACACTCACCGCGAAGGTCCACAGGTTCACTCCTGAGCCAGTGAGACCACAAACCCCACCAGAAGGAAGAAACTCCGAACACATCCAAACATCAGAAGGAACAAACTCCGGACACGCCACCTTTAAGAACTGTAACACTCACTGTGAGGGTCTGCGGCTTCATTCTTGAAGTCAGTGAGACCAAGAACCACCAATTCCGGACACAGTATGCCTACTTATTAATGTCTCTACAACTTCTTCAACTTCAAAGTATTATAACTTTCTTCATTTGTGTCTTGCACATTTTATGTTGAGTTTATTATTAGGTATTTTAAAGCTTTGGTTATTATTGTGAACAGCAATTTTTCCTTATATTTTTCTAAGTGATTTTTATTAATATCTTAATTGAAGTTAAATTGGTATAATAAAGAGACCCCAAGTAGAATGAAGGATCAAGTAAGGTAGAAGTTTATTGCTTTTTCACAAAACATTCTAGCTGGCCTAGGACCAGGTTCCATGAAGCTATTTGTGGACCCAGGTTCCTCCCGTCTTTTTGCTCTATCATTTTCTAGGGTGTTATTCTCATTCACATGGCTAAATCTGAGTTGCTGCTTTGTGCATTTTAACTCCAGTTTAGGGATTGAAATGCACCCTAAAATGTCCAAGCCCAGTTAAAAAGTCCAGGGCCAGACATGTCTTTTTGATTAAATGATATAGAAGTAGCCTGTATAATTTCCTCTTGGAATCCAATAGTGAGAAATTAGGCACATGGCCATAGCTAGCCATAAGAGACTTTGGGAATTGTAGTCTGTAGCTGGGTTGCTCTCAGCAGTTAAAATTCTATTCATGGGAGAAATGAATGGCGAGAAATAATTTGAGTGGCAACCCTCCTAGAAATAATCCCTAAGACTAAGACTTGGGTGGGGAAGAGGAACTTATTTGGGAGGAGATTCCAGGAGGCAATGCGAAGCAATAGGAAAGAAACAGAGGGTAGGAAACCAATATGAGTACATCTGTGAGTGGGATACTGCTTAGACAGCTGGGGCTCACCTCCCTTGGGAACACTCTGATAAACTGTGTAGAACACCTCTCAGAATTGATATACAAAGGAGAAGAAAAGCTCAGGTATTTATCCATGAACTCCCATTCCTTACTGGTTAAATGTGGCTCCTGGGGCATCAACTTCTGTGGCCTGACTGGTCCGTGGCAGAGAGCATCCTAAGGCAGACAGGCACAGGAAGCCATTGGCATTGTCCAGAGCAGTCAACAGAGGTCCTCCCGAGAGGGCCAAGAGGATGAGGATAGTGCAATAGCAGCATTTGCGACAGTCAATGGGGGCAGCACACCTTTCCTGTAAAGGGCCAGATAGTATTTTAGGCTTTGTAGGCCATATCGTTTCTGTCACAACTACTCAAATTTGCAACTGTAGAGTGAAAGCTGCCATAGACAATATGTAATATAAATAAACATGGCTGTGTTCTGATTACACTTTATTTCTGGACACTAATATGTTGATTTCATATACTTTTCACAGGTCACAAAATATTATTTTGTTTTTTATTTTTGTGCATACATAGTACATGTATATATTTATAGGGTACATAAGATACAAGCATATAATGTGTAATAATCACATCACATTAGGGTAAACAAAATATCCATCACCTCAAGTATTAATCCTTTCTTTGTGTTACAAACAACCTATTTATACTCTTCTAGTTATTTAAAAATGTACAATAAATTGTTGTTGACTGTAGTCACCCTGTTGTGCTATCAAATACTAGGTCTTACTTATTCTATCTAACTATATTTCTGTACCCATTAACCATCCCCAGTCTGCCCCCACCCCCAGGCTCACTACCCTTACCAGCCTCTGGTAACCGTCATTCTATGCTCTATCTCCATGAGTTCAACTGTAATTTTTAGCTTCCACAAATAAGTGAGAACATGTGAAGCTTGTCTTTCTGTGCCTGGCTTATTTCGCTTAACATAATGACCTCTAGTTCCATCCATGTTATTGCAAATGACAGGATCTCATTCTTTTTTATGGCTGAATAGTACTCCATTGTGTATGTGTACTACATTTTCTTTATCTATTCATCTATTGATAGACACTTAAGTTGCTTCCAAATATTGGCTATTGTGAATAGTGCTGCGATAAACATGGGAGTGCAGATATCTCCTTGATATATTGCTTTTTAAAAATATTTTTTCCTTTTGAGTATATACCTAGCAGTGGGATTGCTGGATCACATGGTAGCTCTATTTTTAGTTATTTGAGGAACCTTCAAACTGTTCTCCATAGTGGTTGTACTTACTTATATTCCCACCAACAATGTATGAGAGTTTCCTTTTCTCCACATTCTCACCAGCATTTGTTATTGCCTGTCTTTTCGATAAAAGCCATTCTATGAGATGATATCTCATTGCAGTTTTGATTTGCATTTTCTGATGATCAATGATGTTGAGCACCCTTTCATATACTTGCTTGTCATTTTTATGTCTTCTTTTGAGAAATGTCTATTCAGATCTTTTGCCCATTTTTTAAATGGGATTATTAGATTTTTTCCTATAGAGTTGTTTGAGCTCCTCATATAGTCTGGTTATTAATCCCTTCTCAGATGGGTAGTTTGCAAATATTTTCTCCTATTCTGTAGGTTGTCTCTTCACTTTGTTGATTGTTTCCTTTGCTGTGCAGAGAAGCTTTTTAACTTGATATGATCCCATTTGTCTATTTTTGCATTGGTTGCCTGTACCTGTGAGGTATTGCTCAAGAAGTCTTTGCTCACTCCAGTGTCCTGGAGAGTTCCCCCCAGTGTTTTCTTTTAGTAGTTTCATAGTTTGAGATCTTAGATTTAAGTCTCTAATCCATTTTGATTATATGGCAAGAGATAGGGGTCTAGTTTCATTGTTCTGCATATGCATATCCAGTTTTCCCAGCACCATTTCTTGAAAAGATTGTACTTTCCCTAATACATGTTCTTGGAGCCTTTGTCAAAAATGAGTTCACTGTAGATGTATGAATTCATTTCTGGGCTCTCTATTCTGTTTCACTGACCTATGTGTCTGTTTTTATGCCAGTACTATGCCGTTTTGGTCACTGTAGCTCTGTAGTATGACTTGAAGTCAGGTAATATGATTCCTTCAGTTTTGTTCTTTTTGCTTAGGATTGTTTTAGCTATTCTGGGTCTTTTGTGGTTCCACATAAATTTTAGGATTGTTTTTTCTGTTTCTGTGAAGAATGTCTTTGGTATTTTGATAGAGATTGCATTGGTATTTTGATTGTAGATTGCTTTGGGGAGTATGGACATTTTAACAATATTGGTTCTTCCAATTTATGAACATGGAATATCTTTCCATTTTTTTTGTGTCCTCTTCAATTTCTTGCATCTATGTTTTATAGTTTGTGTTGTAGAGTTCTTTCACTTCTTTGGTTAATTCCTAGGTGTTTAATTTTATTTGCAGCTATTGTAAATGGGATGACTTTCTTGATTTCTTTTTCAGATTGTTTGCTGTCGGCATATAAAAAATGCTACTGATTTTTATATGCTGATTTTGTATCCTGCAACTTTACTAAATTTATCACTTCTAATAGTTTTTTTGTAGAGTCTTTATATTCTTCCAAATATTAAGTCATATCATTTATGAACAAGGATAATTTGACTTTTTAATGTGTTGCTGAATTCAGTTTGCTAGTATTTGGTTGAGGACTTTTGCATAAATGTTCATCAGGGATATTGGCCTGTAGTCTTTATTTTTATTTTTATTTTTTAATGTTTCTTTGTCTGGTTTTGGTATCAGGGTCATACTGGCCTCATAGAATAAGTTTGAAAGTATGTTCTCCTCTGTTTTTCAGAATAGTTTGAGTAGGATTGATATTAGTTCTTTAAATGTTTGGTAAAATTCAGCAGTGAGGCCATTAGGTCCTGGGCTCTTCTTTGCTGGGAGACTTTTTATTATGGTTCGATCTCATTATTTGTTATTGATCTGTTCAGGTTTTGGATTTCTTCATTGTTTAATCTTGGTAGGTTGTATGTGTCTAGGAATTTATCCATTTCTTCTAGGTTTTCCAATTTATTGATGTACAGTTGCTCAAAGTAGCCTCTAATGATCCTTTGCATTTCTGTGGTATCAGTTACAACATCTCCTTTTATGTCTCTGATTTTATGTATTTTGGTCTTCTCTCTTTTTTTTCTTAATTAGTCTGGCCAAGGGTGTGTTGATTTTATCTTTTAAAAAAACTAATTGTTTGGGGTTGGTCTTTTGTATTGTTTTCTTTATTTTAATTTCATTTATTTCTGCACTGATCTTTATTATTTCTTTTCTTCTATTAATTTTGGGTTTGGATTGCTCTTCCTTTTCTAGTACTTTAAGATGCATTGTGAGGTTGTTTATTTGAAGTTCTTCTACTTTTTAAATATTGGCACTTAGTATCTATAACCTTTCCTCTTAGTTGTGCTTTTGGTGTATCCCATACATTTTGGTGTCTTTTGTTTCCATTATTATTTGTTTCAAGAAATTTTAAAATTTCCTTCTTGATTTCTTCATTAACCTACTAATCATTCAAGAGCATATTGTTTAATTTTCATTTGTTAATTTCCAAAATTCCTGTTGTTACTGACTTCTAGTTTCATTCCGTTGTGGTCAGAGAAGATACCTGATATAATTTTAATGATTTTTGGATTTTTTAAAGGCTTGTTTTGTGGGCTAACATATAGCGTCTATCCTCGAGAATGATCCATGTGCTGAGGAGAAAAATGTGTGTTCTGCAGCCATTAAATGAAATGTTCTGTAAATATCGATCAGGTCTATTTGGTCTATAGTGCAGATTAAGTCTGATGTTTCTTTGCTGATTTTCTGTCTGGGAGATCTGTCCAATGCTGAAAGTGGGATGCTGCAGTCTTATTGTATTGTATTGTATTAGGGTCTCTCTCTCTTTAATAATACTTGCTTTGTGTATCTTGCTGCTCCGGTGTTGGGTGGAGTGCCATATACTGACACTCAAGTCACAAGACAAAGTCCTTCGTACCCTTCCCTCCCCTTTCCAGAAGCAGAGGAGTCTCTCTATGGCTACCGCCAAACAAGGTGCACAGCTAGTTCTACCTGACTATTGGTTATGTCCATTTGATTCCCCAAGGCTCTTCAGTCAGCTTGTGGTGAATGCTGCCAGGCCTGGGGCTCTGTTTTCTGGCCATTAAACTCTCTTCTGGCCTTGGACCAGAAGAGGTCCTGGAATCATGGACCCTAGGAGCCCTCTTGGTGCTGTACCCCTCTGTGGCTGAGCTTGTGCCTAAGCTGTGAGAGAAAGTCCTCCTGACTCTTCTCTCTCCTTTTATCAAGGGGAATGACTCCCTCTCATACATACAATATGTATGTATTTTATCCATGTACAATACAACATACATATACAATTATATGTATGTTAAAATTCTAGAAGTAAACCTTCTGGGTTTATATCGTACACTTTAATTTTGAAAATATGGCCAAATTCTTCTAAATAAATATTGTGCATTTTATGCTACTATCAGCAATGTGTTGATATATATATACAAAATTATATATATATATATATATATAAGAAAAGTCACTGTAGCATTATTTATGATAGTTAAAGAATTGTAAACCAGCCAAATACCCATCATATTTAAATATTAATAATTTATTATGTCAGCCATATTGTGGAATATTATGTAGCTATAAAAAGAGTAAAACAGATCCATGATAATAATAAAAATAACAAGTGGAATGTTTGTTAAAGGACAAATAAAAATGGCATCTGTTTGTATCTTTCGGGAGGGGAATTTATTGGCTGGAGGATAGAGTGGGAGAAAGACGTAATTATTATAATGTATACTTTTGTTTCATCTTTTCTACCAATGCATACATTATCTATTTTACTACTGTTAATAAAATCTAAGTCCGTAAAACATCTGTGAGTGTTGAAAATTTTAATGCAGATTTTGTAAAGAGATTTACTAGACTAGTCTTTGCATATTTCTTGGTAAGATTTAAGAAGAATCCTCCAAAGAGACTTTGGTTCTCCTCCCAAAGTTCTTTTTCACTGTCAGTTCCCAAAGCGTTCTTTCACAGACCTTTCCCCACTGGCCTGTCTTGCCTTCTGAATCTCTTAATCTCCTCTCCTCTTCTCACATGGTATTTGATTAAAATATTTCAATATTAAAATACTTCCAGATAAACCCATAGAGAGAGTTTTTTTGGAAAAAATAAACCATACAGGTGTGCTCTGTTTTGAGTAACTGGTGTTTCTCAGCAAAGGACTTAAAACTCAAAGCAGTAGTTGGAAAGCGTTGCACATCTCAAATTTGCATGGGAAGACAGAGGGCTGAGTCACCTTGCCTTATGATTAAAGGGAGCCGAGTGATTAGCTTTCTCAGGACATTTCTATGCCAGTTATTAAAATATTGTCTTTAAGATCCAAAACTATCACTTTCAGGTACACCAATCAAACGTAGATTTGGTCTTTTCACATAGTCCCATATTTCAGAATGGGAGAAAATTTTTGCAATCTATCCATCTGACAAAGGGCTAATATCCAGAATCTACAAGGAACTTAAACAAATTTACAAGAAAAAAACAACCCCATCAAAAAATGGGCAAGGGATATGAACAGACATTTCTCAAAAGAAGACATTTATGCAGCCAACAAACATGAAAAAATGCTCATCATCACTGGTCATTAGAGAAATGCAAATCAAAACCACAATGAGATACCATCTCATGCCAGTTAGAATGATGATCATGAAAAAGTCAGGAAACAACAGATGCTGGAGAGGTTGTGGAAAAATAGGAACGCTTTTACACTGTTGGTGGGAGTGTAAATTAGTTTAACCATTGTAGAAGACAGTGTGGCTATTCCTCAAGGATCTAGAACTGGAAATACCATTTGACCCAGCAATTCCATTACTGGGCTTATACCCAAAGGATTATAAATCATTCTATGATAAAGACACATGTACATGTATGTTTACTGTGGCACTATTCACAATAGCAAAGACTTGGAAACAACACAAATGTCCATGAATGACAGACTGGATAAAGAAAATGTGGCACATATACACCATGGAATACTATGCAGCCATAAGAAAGGATGAGTTCATGTACTTTGCAAGGATGAAGCTGGAAACCATCATTCTCAGCAAACTATCACAAGATCAGAAAACCAAACACGGCATGTTCTCACTCATAAGTGGGAGTTGAACAATGAGAACACATGGGCACAGGGAGGGGAACATCAGACACAGGGGCCTGTTAGCGGGTGGGGGGCTAGGGGAGGGATAACATTAGGAGAAATACCTAATGTAGGTGATGGGTTGATGGGTGCAGCAAACCACCAGGGCATGTGTATACTTATGTAACAAAACTGCATGTTCTGCACTTGTAACCCAGAACTTAAAGTGTATATATATATGTATAAATACATATATATACACACATATAGAGTGTATATATGTATGTGTATATATATGTGTATATATATGTATGTGTATGTGTATGTATATATGTATGTGTATATATATGTATGTGTATATATGTATGTATATATGTATGTGTATATATATGTATGTGTATATATGTATGTATATATGTATGTGTATATATGTGTGTGTGTGTATATATATATATATATGATCCCAAACCATGCTTGTTTGCTCTATGACACTGGGGCTGGGACTGCTAACCCCATTTCTGCTTTGCTAGCTGGCTTTCTGCTAGACTCTGTCATTAGGGGATGCCTGGTAGTTGGAGAAGGGAGAAAGACTTGCTTTCTTGCTTTCTGATTCTGAGAACATCATCCTAGCAACACATCTTTACCCTGGCAAGGAGAGTTTATTCCCTTAGTAGCAGTTGAGTTCAGTTTGCAGTTTTTCTAATACAAGCAAACCCAGTTTTATTTTATGCTCTCAGAGACACCAGTACCAGCTGGCTGATATCCCTAACTTGAGATCTGGGTGCTGTGAGTCTCATCTCTGAACTCAGGGGCACTAGCAGCAGCCAGCAGTACTTACTCCTCAGAGGCATAAGGCTCAGCTCCAAGAAGCCCCTCCTCTAATCGTCTACATATTAATAATTCCAACCTCTTCCCTTCATACCCTTAAGGCCTCCAGGTGGCAGCTTCTTACTGCGTTTGCTTCCTTTAAGAGTGCTTGCTTTCTCTAAAACAATTTTTCAGTATCGAGTTAACAATTTTTTTTTTTTTTTTTTTGAGACGGAGTCTCGCTCTGTCGCCCAGGATGGAGTGCAGTGGCCTGATCTCGGCTCACTGCAAGCTCCACCTTCCTGGGTTCATGCCATTCTCCTGCCTCAGCCTCCTGAGTAGCTGGGACTACAGGCACCAGGCACCACGCCCAGCTAATTTTTTGTATTTTTAGTAGAGACGAGGTTCACCATGATGGCCTTGATTTCCTGACCTCATGATCCACCCGCCTCGGCCTCCCAAAATGCTGGGATTACAGGCGTGAGCCAACGCGCCCGGCCGAGTTAACAATTATTTACATTAAATTCTCTCTGCTGAAATAACTAGTGAAACTAGTCCCTCACTGGTACAGCAGTAGTGGTGTGTCCAGGATCTGAAAGTAGAAAGGATGAAATGTAGGTTCTCACTGTGTTCTGCAAATAGTGTGAAGAATCCTATGTGAAACGTCCTCTCCATAAACTGTGTATAGTTGACATAGAAAGGAACAAATTCCTTAAAGAAGATAGTGCTGCTGTTTTTGTAATGTCTCACTCCATTTTAGAGATACCACAATTTTCTAGTTTTCCCACCATGGCAGGGGTCCCTCTCTTTCAGTCTGTGTTGCAGACTCCTCTCCACTCTCCACAACCTATAGTGGTGGAGTACTTAGCACTAAACCACTTTCTCTTTTCTATGTATTCTGTTTCCTTAGGTGTTTTTATCCTGTTCTGTGGCTTTACGTACCATATGCATACCAGTATCACCCAAATCTGTATCTTTAAACTCTCTAGAATTCCGGTAATAGATATCCATCTACCTACTTAGCATTTCCACTTGCATGTGCAGCTAAACTTTTGCATGTCCAGAATATTTCTCTTGACTTCCATCCTCTCAAACCCTTTGCCCACCATCTTTTCCTTCCAAGTATAATTACCCTGTTGCTCAAGCTAAAAACTCATGTGTCATTCTTGATTCCTCTTGTTCATCCACATCACACAGCCAATTCATCAGAAAGTTCTGTCTGTGATGTCTCTGAAACACATCTGATATCCAGCCCCCTCTCTCCATCTTACTTGCCGTCACCTGAGTCCAAGGCACCATGACCTCTATTCTGGACAGCCACAGTAACCTTCTGTTGGCATCCCTGCTCCATTAATGTCTCCTAATAGTCTTTCCCATATAGTAGTCTGAGAGCTAATAGCCTACTCATGCCTTCTCTTCCTTAAAACCCTTCCACAGCTTCTCACCACTCACAGAATCAGATCCAAACTTTTTTCTGTAGCCTAAAAAGTCCTCATGATCTGGACTTTGCCCAACACTTTGTCTTCTCAGATCATTCTCTAGTCGTTTCTTGTTTCTTAAATATGTCAACTTTATTCTTGCTTTTATTCTTTGCATTTGCTCTTCCTGTTCCTGAGATGTTTTTTCTCCATCTTTTCCCAGGGAGAAAAATATCTCATATTTTAGGTTTCAAGTCAAATGTCATTCCCTCAGAGTGGCCTTCCTTAACTACTAAGTTACAATCCTTCCCCATCCCAAGGGTTTCCAGCATCCTGCTATTTCCTTCATAGGAACTTCTATCCTCTGATATTATGTTGTTTACTTAAGTATGTTATAATTGTTTCCTTATATATATTCTTATTTTTATGTTGCCTGTCTTCCCTTTACCAGAAAGAAGGCAGAATATTGTCTGCCTTGTTCACTATTCTATCTCCAGCACCTAGAACAATGTCTGGCATATAAAATGCACCTAATAAATATTTAATGAGTTAATAAATTTAGACCAGAAAATTGGTAGATTTCAAATATCAAAAAAGACCCTCCTACCACAAATCCAGACACTATCTTTGGGGATTTGCACTAATCTTACAAAAGTAGTTATTAATTATCCTACTTTTGGATGAGAAAATGGAGTCTCAAAAGACTTAAGTATCTCAAGTAACTTACACAACTTTACCAATCTTATAAACAACAGAATTGGGGTTTAAATTCTGTTTCTGACTCCTAAACCTGGGCTCTATTCCCTCTGCCCTATAACAACTATGATATTTTAAAGGTGAAGAAGAGTCATTGACAAGGTATATCTATTCTGATGTTACACAATGTATAAACTAAGGGTGTATAATTATGAGGGCTAAACATTTCTTAGAAATAGTGGTACTATAATTTTCATATAGCAAGTGAAAACTAATAGAAATTGGTGATGAAGGATGCTTTATTCACTCTGTGAGAATGATCAGCAGCATGCATTCTGGGGAGTCAGGAGACGTAGGTTCTATTTCTGGCTCCGAGGCTAATTAGCTCCATGACTTTGGGTATGCCCATGACCTCACCGTATTTCATTTCTCTTGTCTGTAAGGTGAGGGAGACAGTTTTCTGGGACTTCTAACACACACACACACACACACACACACACACACACACACCACGCAGAATGTAGTATTGTAATTTGGCAATTCTGTATATGATATAAAAATGAACCACCTTAGCTTATCCCATTCAGACAATGGGAATCGTCTAAATATAAGTCAAATAATAAAGAAATGAAGGCATAGACTCACTATTCTTCCATTAAAATGTTAGTATTGCCACACGAAAGCCTATTTTTATAATTTATGATGTGTGTTCTAAAAAGAAATTTGAAAAAAAAATTAAGTAATGTAACAGTCTTTTTTTAAAGCTTGAGCTAGCTAGCTTGAGGGTGAAATGATTCCTTAAGGTCTGTTGTTTAGGAATGATTTATTATTAACATTGAAAAACAGAGGATTCTGTTTTCTTTTCTGTTACTTGCATAATGGAAGGAGGGCCTATTGGGAGATTAACCCAATTAGGTGAATGAAGTAAGACATCCTGTTTATTTTTCCTTGAATTATTTCTAAAAGGAAGCACTTGATTAAATACTCTCCATTTTGTGGCTTTGTAATTCAGCTATTATTTGGGGGAGATATTAGAAAGTTTGAGAAAAATGACTCAATCAGTTAATTAAAAGGAATAGTCACACTAAAAATTAAACTCTATGAAATCTTTGTGCATTAGTTAAGCTTCTGGGGGACCCTTGACATTCTCATGGATTTAGGGATCCCCAAAACCTGTGACTGCTGTAGAACACAGATAGTAAAGATGCTGCTTCTCTTCCCCCAAGGATGCTACTTCTCCCTTCCACCTTCAAGGGAGATAGTGGAAGAGAGAAGGGCAGAATTTCAGTAGAAAGGGCCCTGGGCTGGGACTTGGCAGTCCTGAATTCCTGTTCTACCTTTGCCAGGGATCTGCTGTTACTTTGGGCAAATGACCACCTTTCTCTGGGCCTTATCTGTAAAAGGAAAACGAAAGCAAAATACCCCTGAGACTCTGGCTGAGTCTACTAGTCTATGATTTTAGAGACAAATTTTGAGGACTTGTGTGGTCCATAGAGACTGGATAAAGGTGAGGGTGTTTGAAGGAGCTGCCTCAATAGAGGGCCATGATGAGTGAGGAATATTTGAAACTGAAAAGATGGAGAGCCCACCACTGTGGAGTCTTCTGATGGCTGTGCAAGGTCCCCACTCACACACAGGCCCACGCTGCAGGGCTACCTTTGGTTGGCTTTGTGCTCCAGATATATAAGGCTGTCTGCGGTGATTCTAACTGAGACCTGTCTAGGCTTTTCCAGGGAAGTCAAGAGAGGGTTTTAATCTGACACAGGCTATTGGCCAATTGGCTTTGCAGATCTTGTTCTGGGAGTAGCAGAACAAGAACCAGATCTCCCAGGGGCAGAGATACTAATTTTTGAAGCAGTTATATTTAATAACGTAAGACCTCCTGGGACAGAATCTGATACAAGATGTTATTTATTCCTCTTTTACAATCCAAAGTATCACATTGTTCTAGGTCAAAACTTGTCTTTATTTTCCTCCTGATTTTAATGCAGATGATATCTAATATTTAGTAGTCTTTAAGAATCCTGCCTATCAAGGAGAGAAAGAGAAAAAAGGACTATACATAGAACACCTTAGCTCACACATTTTCAAATTACATTTTTATGGGGGTGTTGATGCAGTGAAACTAAGTATTCAGATAATTATACCATCCATTTTAGATTTTTAATACAATTGTTATAGTATAGTTAGTTCTGTTGAAGAGTCCTGGACCTTGGGGCCTTTCAGAGACTTTCTAATCCATGGTATGCTGGCAAGCTGGCTCTCTAAAAACAAAAGTCCACATTTATAGCATCTGCTGATCTCTGTGGTGTAAATACTTTCACCATAGCAAATATCAAAGTATCAATGTGACATTACTGAATGTGGAATTGGGGGAGGAGATGCACAGAAGTGGCTCTTGTGGTCTGGTAGGAGCTGGTTTCAGCACACCCCTAATCATTGTCAATCAACAGATACACAGTTGCTGAGGATGCGAGGATGATGTAGGCTTATTAATGGAGGATACCTGAAAACCCCACAGGATTTAGGGAGTGGGCAGCTTCTAGGAAAAGGACTGCAGGAAAATACAGAATCGGAATGCAATCAAAATGAAAGCTGCAAGACTGAGCAAACCTGAGTTTCTGGGCCTAGACCTGCTAAATACCATCTCAGCTAGTAGACAGATGAATGGAATCAACCTTCTGAGAAACAGATGTCAGTATGCATCATATTTGACACAGGATGAAGGTGGTGTCCCAATCGGTGGAAAAGAGGCATATATATTAATCCCATATTATACATATTTATAATATATGTTGAATATACTTAAATGTATATTTATTTATACCTTTCATATTCACATACCATTATGTGACAATTATAATAATTAATATGGCTTGTAAGTTTCTGTTTTCTCTGAGAATAGAAAATGTAATCTGGTTACTACTAGGTAATTCAGTCACTTTTCATATAAACTCAATCTCTTAGGGATTTTATTCCCTCTACTTTTCCTTCACACTGGGACCATAAACTTCTCTCAGGCATGGGCATGGCCTCGGGGGATAGAGGCCCGGATCTAAGCTCATCCTCTGTCCTGTTGGCTTCATTATGATGGAGTTTGCACTGCCAGTCTGGGTGATTGATTTATCTGTCCACAGCATCTGCTCCATGTGTCCCTGGCTGAGGAAGCTATGCTCTGTCCTCCCAGAAACAGTGACTCTTCCATGAGGGGTGCTGTCCCTCTTTTGACTCGGGCCAGCCTCACTGCAGCCGGCACCCGGCCTGGCTGTCCATCGCACAGCCCCTGCTGCAGGCCGCCCTTGCCGTAACAGCAGCGAGCCCTCAGCAGGCACGCTGGCCTTTGATTCTCAGATCTTTTCAGCACATCCCTCAGAAGCCAATGGAAGGTAACCAAATCTCTTTTTCACCCCATCAGGAGCATTTGTGGGGGATGCTATGCTTAAACTGACAGTACTGCCATTTCTACTCTACTGTGGCTGCCCCAAGTGGCTCTGGGCACTGCAAACCTGAATCCTTGGAGAGTTTGCTGTTTGCAGACTTAAGTAAGCTTCTATCTCGCCACTCATTTTTTTTTGAGGTGGAGTTTCACTCTCCTTGCCCAGGCTGGAGTAAAATGGCGTGATCTTGGCTCACTGCAACTTCCGCCTCCCGGGTTCAAGTGATTCTCCTGCCTCAGCCTCCCGAGTAGCTGGGATTACAGGCATGTGCCACCACATCTGGCTAATTTTGTATTTTTAGTAGAGATGGGGTTTCACCATGTTGGCCGGGCTGGTCCCAAACTCCTGACCTCAGGTGATCTGCCCACCTCGGCCTCCCAAAGTGCTAGGATTACAGAGGCAAGCCACCATGCCCGGCCATATCTTGATACTCTTGTGATTGTCTTCGAGCTCCTCCCAGTTCAGAAAAACTTCCTATTTCCATCCTTATGAGATCTCTCTGGTGCTTCTCTGCTTTCTGGTTCATGATTTAAAATCCTGTGCCCCAAGTCTTTCAGGCTTTTGCTCTTTGAACCCAAAGCTTTTACCTCTTGAAATATTCAGCTCTTAAAAAATCTAAAGGACTTTGCCTTCAAGATTGCTGCTTCCACTCTGAATTTATAGAGCTTACTTTTGTATTCAAAGACAAGAATTTGGATATTTTTTATCATTTTGTTTGTATTTATCTGTTTTGAAATCCTTTCTTGCTTGGTGCAGTAAGCCAACATGAATTTTAGGTGTCAAAAAAAAAAAAAAACTGTGCAAAGCATAAAGATCACAGAGGTGATTTAAAATGTTTGATCCCAGGATAAGAAACGGTTTTCTAACTTAAAAGCAATAGAAAAAAATCACAGGAAAAATAGCAATAGTTTTGATTACATCAAAACTAAACTTTTTAGTGTTAAGAAAGCACATAATATTGAACTAAAAAAATAATAGGCTGGGAAGTCCATTACCCAAATATGAGAGACAAATGATTAATATACTTAATATATAAAGATTCATAAAAATCAGTTATAAACACAAATGCCCCATAAAATAAATATGCAGAGCACATAAACATAAGAAGAGATACTAATGACTAATAAAATCTTAAATATGCAAATTAGGAGAATAAATATGTTAAAAATATTTAGGTACATTCTCATATTGCTAAAATGTGTGCAAATTGATATAATTCTTTCTGGAAGGCAAATTGAAGCCAGGATCTTTGAAAAAATTCAGGCCAGGTACAGTGGCTCACGTTTGCAATCCTAGTATTTTGGGAGGCCAAAATACTTGGCTTGAGCCAAGGAGTTTGAGACCAGCTTGGGCAACATAATGAGACCCCATCTCTACGAAAAATAGAAAAAATTAGCTGGGCATCGTGGTGCTTGCCTGTAGGTGCAGTTACTCAGGAAGCTGAGGCAGGAGGATCGCTTGATCCTCCCCAGGGAAGTCAAGGCTGTAGTGAGCTGTGATTTCACCACTGCACAACTCCAGCTTGGGTGACAGAGTGAGACCCTGTCTCAAAAAAAAAAAAAATTCAAACTCTTTAATTTTGGAATTCTACTTCTAGGAATTTGGAAGTTAAAAAAAAAGATGGATATAAGGTAAAAATAAAAAGTTGGTGAGATAATAGTTCATAAATATGGAACATTCATTTGCAGAATATTATATAACTGTTAACATATTTCTAGAGTTTAAATGACTACTTTTCGGTAGAGAAAAGAAGAATGAATGGTCATATATTGCTTTTGTAATTAGAAAAAAAGTATTATTAAGCTAAGGACAGACAACTGTACCTTTTGGGTAAACTTTGAAGAAGTTTCTATAAAATGCTATTTTCTTTCAATATTCTAGTGATTAGACTATTTAGCTCTCTGTCAATAAGATAACCTCTATAATCTATAAGCATAAAATAATACAAGCTGTGAACAATGGTACTTAAAATTACATGGGTGAGAAGATTTCAAAAAATGTTAAAAATGAACACCTTTTAAAATATAAATCTTTGACATCTGAAAGAACGGTCTCAAATCTTCAGCAAGCTATCGAGTGACCCCATCTATCTGTCAAATTGAGCAGCATTTGTGTTTTGCTTTACCCTTTACAAGACATGTGTGCGCTCATGGTATCATTTCTTTGTTAATCCTCACAACACTCTGGGGCAGGAATAACTGTTATCATTCTTCAATGTACCAGTAGAAAGCTGGCTCAGGGGTCAAGTAACTTGTCAAAGGACCAAAACACCTCTTAGGTGTAGAAACATGATTCAAATCTTAGCCTCCTCGTAGGGAATCCCCAGCTCACTCCACTGCACCATGTAGCTTCTCTACAGCTTTCCAGTAACCCAGTAGAGTCCTGGCAACAAAACAGAAGTGTTAAAAAGAAACATTTTTACAAGATTTTTCAGATTTGAAGCTCCGTTTTAACTTTTGAGAATGTGATGCCATCTGGAAGTGGTATCCCATTTTAAAGCTGAGACAGTGATTCATGATTTCCTGACCCATATATACTGTTTACTAGTTTTATTTTTCCTTCTTCCAAGACATTTTCTACAGACAGGAGACAGATGGCTGAAACACTGTAACATCCAAGGCTGCTTCATTGCACGACTCCAGGAGCTCCTTTCACATCATAAACTGTGTGAAGGGCACTGTCTGGAATTGTGCAGTGCCTAGCCTGTGCAGCTGTACATGGCCCTCTGCCTTTTGTTGAGGTACTCAGCTCAGGTAGTGTTAGTTCTGAAGATGGTGGCCAGCATAGGAATCTGAATCATCACATCCTGAATTTCACTCCATCTACTATAGCCATAGCACCCTCTCTAAGGCCTAGGTGATATATATAGCACAGAAGATACTCTAAGAAAACAAATATTTGATTATTAGCCAAGCTACAACTCTCTTCCCCTAACTCAGTGGTTTTCAACCCTGGGCACACTGGCAATGTCTAGAGACACTTTGGGTTGTCACAACTGAGGATCTTGTAGGTAGAATCCAGGGTTGCTACTAAACATTCCAAAGGGCATAGGATAGCCCCCTCACAACAAAGAATTAACTGGATCAAACTGTCCTTATTAATGCAGAGCCCTAAATGGACACCCTTTCTGATGAGTTGGGCTGATCCATGTGTGAAATCTTGAGGATTTTCTTGGTTCTTTCAGTCAGGTCTGGAATAGGAACAGCTTAGGGGCTCTTTTCCCTTAAGTCCACACTCGATAGTTTCCTCTTGAAAATTTTCCATTCCCTTTGTGAGAAAAAGAAGTAGAGGTCCTTCCTGCAGAGAGCTTATCTAAATCATTCACCCAATGCCTTTTTTCCCTGTAAGGTTTGATGTAGCAAACTCCTTAGGGCAGAAAAAGCACATGGCTGGAGTAGAAGTGATGGCCTTGAGCATGCCCTGAGAGTTCTCTCTACTTTCATCCCTGAGGCACTTCCGCAGGGGGAGAAGAAGGCATGCACTCCTGTAAGGAGATGGAGAACCTGACCTGAAGCAGGTCCTTGACATATCTGTTGCTCCTCTAGTTTTATCTAAAAAATATATGTGAATTTTTATTCTAGTCTGTAATATATCCATGTTAACTTTTATAAAATTGTTTTAAATTATCAGATACTTTCCACATTTTGTTTCTCTAAGCCTTTGAATAAAATGAAAACTCCATGAACATGCATGTATTTACCCTGTTGCTTTGCTTGTATAACCATCTAGAGTTTTTCTCCATGGCCCTTCTTCTGGGGGCTTGGCAAAAGGTCCTTGGACCTTGAACTCCTAAAGGATCCTAGTTGTAAGAATCTGAGGACTCCTAGACCAAGCCAAAGTGGTGATCACAGGCATAGAGGTGTCGAGCACAGATGAAGGTCTGGCCTGTGTATGTGTCTTAAGGAGGATCAATTTCAGCATCTCTGCTCTGCATACAGGAGCCATGAACTAGATTGTGTATCATATGAAAGAGAGGAGCCTGAGAGAGCCACTTCCAACAAGGTCTAGCCAACAGACACTCAGGATGGGACTGAGAAGTTTTGACTTCAATGATTCCTCTGGTCCTGAGAAGTGGGAGGCAAACTAAAGTAGAAGCTACTAGACAGGGGCAAGGGATGCAGCTTGTGGAAAGACATACAGTTTGTGGCAAGCATTACAGCACTGGGTAAAGCTACAGGACTGTGTTCCTTTTGAGGTGTTTTCAAGTACAGCTGCTCTATTAGGAATCCATGATATAAGGAGAATATTATAAGCCTCGTAGTGACATTCCAGGGTCTAGACTGAGATAGATATGGATTTGAATTCTGATTCTGCCACTTACTGGCTCTGCAACTTCAAGTTATTTTGTGTCCCACAGACTCAGTTTCTCATCTATAGAATGTGAATAATGGTAATACGACATTTCTATTTATTTATTTATTTTTATTTATTTATTTTTTTTGAGACAGAGTCTTGCTCTGTTGACCAGGCTGGAGTGCAATGGCGTGATCTTGCCTCACTGTGGCCTCTACCTCCCTGGTTCAAGTGATTCTCCTGCCTCAGCCTCCCAAATAGCTGGGATTACAGGCACCCGCCATCATGCCTAATTTTTGTCTTTTTGTAGAGACTAGAGATGTATTTTTGTAGAGACTAGAGATGGGGTTTCATCATGTTGGCCAGGCTGCTCTTGAACTCCTGACCTCAGGTGATCTGCCCACCTCAGCCTCCCAAAGTGCTGGGATTACAGGCGTGAATCATTGCGCCTGGCTATATTTCTTAAGGTGTTTCTCCCTATCACTGGTGGGTAATGCTTCTCAGATCTTCTTCTCAGCTCTTCTCTCTGATATCTCATTTGGAAACTGATACTTTGATGACATATGTTGGGTGGGCGCAGTTCTGTCTTTTAAAAAATATCTTTATTCAATCCAGATGATGAATTTATCTGCTTGGATCACGTAAAGGGGACTGGGTGGTATTCATAATCAAAGCTTGAACATCTCTGTGGGTCTGCAGCCTTCTCTCTTCCTGGAAAGGTTAGAGAAGAAACGAATTCAAATTTCTAAATTTAAATCTGCCTGTCCTCATTATAGTGCTGAGTGGTGAGTGGGTCATTTCCTCACAGGGTATCAATGTCAAATGGCTTTTTGAAAGAACATTGAGAGATTTCTTCTTGAGTAGTCTAGTGTAAAATAGACTGATAGTCTATTTTTTTATAAGTGGACAGACTCTTCTATTTGAACACCTCTCATTCTTTTAAATATTTGGAGTACAAACTAGACTTACGTACTTTAATCAATAACATGTCCTTTGAGGTTAGTGATTATACAGAATGAAGTTTCATTGTACCAATTTTTGGATTGGAGATCATGAAGTCAATGAGAAGACACATCAGCATTCCACTCAGTGCTTTCTCACTAAAATCCAGTTTGGAATTCACCAAAAAAGCTTTTCTGAAATAATTATAAATGACTATAAATACATTAAGGTGATGAAACAAGCTATCTCTTTGGAAAAGAGCAAAGAATAAATTAGTAAAGAACTATCTTAAAATATCAACAAAGAGAATTAAAGTATTATGCTTCTCATTTTCCTTTGCTTTTTTTTCTCCAGTTTTTGTGATTGTTTAATGCCTTTTCAGCTTTAGATACTTCAGATTAAAGAAATTACTGTCTGTATTATTTCTTCTGATTCCTTGACATATTTCTCTGGGTTTCATTCCAGGAATCCTTCATTGTGAAAAGGAAAATTTGACACTATCAAAACAGAATATCAACAACATTCATTTAATTTATTTATCTCAAATTACTAAACATTTATGTGGATTCAGAGTTGCTTTGTTAAATTTGGTCTCTGAAATGTAATACTGGTCTAGGGAATCAGAAGTTTACAAGAATTGTGTAAACTTCACATGTATTAACACACTTTTGTCCTCTAAAAAGGATCCACATCAAGTTCCCAAGAATCAACAGCAGTGGCCCCCAACCTTTTTGGCACCAGGGACTGGTTTCTTGGAAGATAATTTTTCCACAGACCAGGGTGGTGGGGATGGTTTCGGGATAATTCAAGCATATTACATTTATTGTGCACTTTATTTCTGTTATTATTACATTGTAATATATAATGAAATAATTATATAACTCACCATAATAAAGAATAAATGAGAACTCTGAGCTTGTTTTCCTGCAACTAGACAGCCATCAGGGGCTGATGGGAGACAGTGACAGATCATCAGACGTTAGGTTCTCATAAGGAGCATTCAACCTAGATCCCTTGCATGCGCAATTCACAAAAGGGATTGTGCTCCTATGCGAATGCTGCCACTGCTGATCTGACAGGAAGCAGAGCTGAGGTGGTAATGTGAGCAATGGGGGGCAACTGTAAATACAGATGAAGCTTCACTGGCTTGCCTGCCGCTCACCTCCTGCTGTGTGACCTCGTTCCTTACAGGCCAGGTACTGGTTCCAGGGGGTTGGGGACCCCTGGTCAACGGTAGCTGTTGCCTGGCTGCTAGAGCAAAAGTCCGGAGTCCAGCTCACTCATGCTTTCCTTCTGCATTTGCAATTTTTTTTTTCTCCTCTTTCTCTAGCCTATTTAAGCCATCACCTTCTGCCCAATGTCTTAGCCTTCAAACCTTATAGTAGTAAACATTGCCTTCTGCTTTCCTGTCTTTCTACCAACCCAATTAGTCACCAAGCCCAGTGTTACCATCAAATATCTGTCTAAATAACAACTATATTAGAGACCATTCCTGTGAACAAAAAGTTTCAAAGTTCCATATTGCTTACACAATAATGACCCAACTTGTTTGCCTGACATTGTGAGATCTCCCTTTATTCACCCTAGCCTACCTTTGGCTTTATGTCTAATTTACTTTATGCTCCCAGGAAACTAAGATTATAGAGGTTTCCTGATTATATCCACTGCTAACTCGTGCCAATTTCTACCGTTTAATTTAAATTACTTTAAATTTAAAAAACTATACAGCAACACATGATGATTTTAGAAAACATGGAAAATGTAGATGAGCAAAATGAAAAAAATAAATCAAATTCCAGAGATAATCATTGCCAACATTTTGCTGTACTCTCTTTCAGACTTTTATCTATGCATACTTTATACATATGTAGATTTATAAAAATAGAATTTTACTACATATACTATAATCTGATGTTCAATGACTATATCATTGAACATAATTCCATCCTTATACTTTCCTATCTTGTCTATCAAAGTATTGATGTGTAAAGATATGATCTCCTATTTTGGTCACTTGTTTTTAATTTACTTTTTTTATAATTTAAAATAATGCTTCTATAAACTTTCTTGTAGCTAATCTTTTGCACACATTCTTAATTAATATTTTTGGATAATTCCTACTAGTGAGATTGTTTCTCTAATATCTTTAATGTTTTCTTATCACTCCTATTTTCAAATCTTAATAATTTCTATTTTTCTTCTTTGGGCCCCTTGTGACTTCATTCCATTTTTATGAAAGTTTGAAAATTAAGCTCAGACCTAGTAATCTAAGAAAGGATTGGACCAGAGTTAAGGACAAGATAGGAATGACTTTCCACCTCTTAGAGCTCATAATCCTTATTAATTTTAACCAGAATTACACGAGCTAACAACAAAACTTACTTTTTAGATGGTTTATATTGAGTTGGCCCTGCATCTCCTCATTTCTTTTTTTTTTTCTTATTATATTTTAAGTTCTGGGGTACATGTGCAGAACGTGCAGGTTTGTTACATAGGTATACACGTGCCATGGTGGTTTTCTGCACCCATCAACCCGTCATCTACATTAGGTATTTCTCCTAATGCTATTTCTCCCCTAGCCCCCCACCCCATGACAGGCCCCAGTGTGTGATGTTCCCCTCCCTGTGTCCATGTGTTCTCATTGTTCAACTCCCACTTAGGAGTGAGAACATGCGGTGTTTGGTTTTCTGATCTTGTGTTAGTTTGCTGAGAATGATGGTCTCCAGCTTCATCCATGTCCCGGCAAAGAACATGAACTCATCCTTTTTTATGGCTGCATAGTATTCCATGGTGTATATGTGCCACATTTTCTTTATCCAATCTATCATTCATGGACATTTGGGCTGGTTCCAAGTCCTCGCTATTGTGAACAGTGCCGCAATAAACATACCTGTGCCTGTATCTTTATAGATTTGTAATCCTTTGGGTATATACCCTTTTTACTGAATCAGCTCAGTCACTTTCCACAGAGCTATGGATCAAGTTTAAGTTTTGTTATGGTGACATAAACTTTATACATTTAGGTTTGCCTGGGTAGCTTCCAGAGGCTGTTTTTTCAAAGAGATATTTGGTCTATCATTCAGGTAATCTTCCACTGATTGGCTGTTAATTTTATTCTGTCCTATGTAATGAAAAAACATTTATTAAGCCTCTTCGGTGTAGATGGCTTTGTGTTAGGTGATGAATAGGACGGTTTCTCCCGAGGAGCTCATGGTTTAGCAGGGGAGATGGACTTGTAAATACCCAGATTCCTTCACTGTGACATGTGCAGCAACAGAATCATGTGCAAGGTAGAGGAGCTAGTAACTCTTTCTAGAGGGGTCAGGGAAGTTGTCCTAGAAGAGGTAACAACTGAGTTGTATTTTTGTAAGATAAACAGGGATTCCACAGGTGATTGTGCAGCAGGAAGGGTGGGGAAGAGAGAGCGCACTATTTTCAAATGTGATGGAGCCCAGAAAAACATGGTATATTTAGGAAACCATATGCAGAGTGGTATGACTAGAAAATTTGCTATGGGGAGAGGAAAGGAGTGATGAACCTGGAGGGGAGGATAGTGATTAGGTCAGGAATAGCCTTGGGCTATTGTGCCCTTAGACTTGACTCTGGATGTGTTAAACCCCTGACTTGATGAGATGGGTGTTTTAGAAAGATATACAGCAACGGGGTGCCTGGATTACAGGAGGAAGATATTGGAAACAAGGAGACCAGTTAGGAGACCATTGTAATTACTCATGAAAGAAATTAAGAAGATGGAGACAGGAGAGTGATAATGGCATAAAAGAAGAGATGCCCAGGGTGCTGGACCAGGTCAGGGGCCTTGGGGGTTGAATGGCACAGGGCTGAGAGAGGACTTAAAAATACAGAATGCTTGAATGATCCAAGAGAGTTTAGTGGAGGAACCAAAACTGAGAAAACTGAGAGTCAGTTATTCTAAAAGAGGCACCAACAGGAAAAATATGAGTAGGGAGCAAAAGCTACATGAGATACAACAGGCTAGGCCCTAGGAACAGCAAAGAATATTCCAGAGATATGAAAAAAATCAACAGATTTTCTAAGTAGAGCAAACAAATAACATTAACAGAATATTCACAAATAGACCACAAAGTAAAATTTTCCTCCAACCCGAAAATCTGGTAAAATCCCAGCAAAAGAGAAGTCCTGGAGGGGGAAAAAAAATGCTGAATTGATTTCAAGTAATTATGAACTGAATGTGAAAATCTCATTTAGAATAACATGTTCAAATTTCATGGGCAGCTCTAATAGGCACTAAACACTTCCCCTATTTTACTGGCTTTTTGTTCCTGGCAGGGAGGAATGTGTATACTTGTCCATATCCTTTACTGGAGAAAGTAGGCAAAAATGTGTTATTTATAGATGCTGAAAACCATCCTTCTAAGTAATAATATTTAGCAGTTGTTCTCTGTTTGACAGGAATCTTTTACCTCCTTTGGTTTGGACTATGTTCTAGTTATGCAATGCCATGGAACAAATCACTTCAAGACTTAGTGGCTAAAGACACCCATATTTTACTTATGAATCTGTAACTAGCCAGGGCTTGGGGGGAGCACCCTGTCTCTGAGCCACCTGATATCAGCTTTGGCAGCTGAAGGTGGGGGAATGAAATTATTTGAATGTTCCCTACTCATGTGTTTGGTGGTTGATGCAAACAACCGAGGTCTGGAACAATTGGTGCCCTATGGCCATCTCTGTCTATTTCTATATGATTTCCCCAGTAGGGTGGCTTCAGAGTAGCCAGATTTTTTTCACATGTTGATTGGAGACTCCCAAGACATGTCCTTCAAGAGAGAGAAAAAGCTAGGAGGGAGCTGTGTTGCTTTTCTAACCTACCTCAGAAGATACTAAGTGTCTCTTTTGCTACATTCAAGTTATTAGAAATGATTTGCCAAAGCCAGCCCACATCAAGGAGGGAGAATTAGACTCCATCTTCTGTGGGAAGAGTATCAAATGATTTGTTTTAAAACCACAGCAGTCTGGATGAATAGTTTGCAGGAAGTCAAATGATCCCTCTCCTCCAGGAGACCTATCATTGTAGCCATAGTTTGGTTGTATACTCTTTATTTTAGGGATTTCTACCAGAGACCTTTTTTTGATTCCATTCTCTTATTTGATTTTCACCTAATCCAATCTTCCCAAGTTCAGGTCTCTGTGACTTTTGATGGGCCCAGAGCCACATGGTATAGTAGAAAGCAGTGGTGTTCAGAGTCAGAAGGACCTGATTAGTAACCTCCTGATCTCAAGTCTGCTGTTGACTTGCTGTGATCACCTTGTGACTCAGATAAGCTTTCCACAGCAGGTGGTATTAATTCAGACCACAAATAGTGTAGTTTTTCTTTTAATTAAAATAACCATAAGATTTATGTGTGGAACAGTTAACAAACTTTATTGAGCTCTTCTTACATGCAAAATGCTATGCTGGGATCTATGGATGTACAAAGACTGGCCTGAGGGAAAGTAGAGGCTGGTGTTTAG
The DNA here is from genome assembly GCF_000001405.40 of Homo sapiens. Lineage (NCBI taxonomy): Eukaryota > Metazoa > Chordata > Mammalia > Primates > Hominidae > Homo > Homo sapiens. The sequence goes on from NC_000003.12 coordinate 156,098,544, forward strand.
CAATAAGTGGAGACACTTTGTAGACGGAGGTCAATAGTATGCTTAGACCTGGGCCACCAGGGCTTTTGCCCCAGGCTCCATGCCATCCACTGTCCTTCCCCCAAACCCCAGCCTCAGGGACTCCTGTGCTCTGAAGTCTCTTCGTCAAAGTTTTCTAAGTGCCTTTCTGGTGCTTAGAACTTGCCAGGGCTGGCAGTGCCATCTGGGCAGGGTGCTCTGAACCCAAATGAGGCCCAGTGTAGGCCCTGGCCTTCCTTTCTCACCTTCAGGGTGCTCTCTGACTCTTCACACTCTCACTTCTCCTATTTGTGCGGTTGACCAGTTGTCTCACAGGAGCTTCAGGACTCACACCTATGGGGTTATTTCCCTCCATTTCTCAGTTCTAGAAGGGCATCCTGGCAAGCAGATAGCTTCCACTGGATGGCATGGTATCTCTCTTATAGGACGCCATGAGATCAGGCCACCAGAATGATGCTGACATGTTGATTCTGAGGTCTGATAATTTTAATTTCTAACAAGTTTCCAGGCGATATTGATGCTTCTGGTCAGGAAAACACTTTGAGAACCGATGATTTTTTTGTGAAACTGTGTGTCTTGTGAATGGTTGTATTCTTTGTAATCCTTTGAGATATTTTGTTCTTACATTACTGAAATATTGGTAAAATGCCTAGCTCAAGAGCAATGCAGATCTAAAGTTTATCATCTAAACACCAAATGTACACAGTGATATTGATTCAGGCATTGAGAGGTGACAGCGTGCTGGCAGTCCTCACAGCCCTGGCTCGCTCTGGGCGCCTCCTCTGCCTGGGCTCCCACTTTGGCGGCACTTGAGGAGCCCTTCAGCCCGCCGCTGCACTGTGGGAGTCCCTTTCTGGGCTGGCCAAGGCCGGAGCTGGCTCCCTCAGCTTGTGAGGAGGTGTGGAGGGAGAGGCGTGGGTAGGAACCGGGGCTGCGCGTGGTGCTTGCGGTCCAGCGTGGGTTCCGGGTGGGCGTGGGCTCGGCGGACTCCGCACTCGGAGTGGCGGTGGGCCCCACCGGCCCCAGGCAGTGAGGGGCTTAGCACCTGGGCCAGCAGCTGCTGTGCTCAATTTCTCGCAGGGCCTTAGCTGCCTTCCCGCGGGGCAGGGCTCGGGACCTGCAGCCCGCCATGCCTGAGCCTCCCCCCCACTCCGTGGGCTCCTGTGCAGCCCGAGCCTCCCGGACGAGCACAGCCCCCTGCTCCACGGTGCCCAGTCCCATCGACCACCCAAGGGCTGAGGAGTGCGGGCGCACGGCACGGGACTGGCAGGCAGCTCCACCTGCGGCCCCGGTGAGGGATCCACTGAGTGAAGCCAGCTGGGCTCCTGAGTCTGGTGGGGACGTGGAGAACCTTTGTGTCTAGCTCGGGGATTGTAAATACACCAATCGGCACTCTGTATCTAGCCCCAGGTTTGTAAACACACCAATCAACACCCTGATTCAGGGTTCGTGAATGCACCAACCGACACTCTGTATCTAGCTACTCTGGTGGGGACTTGGAGAACCTTTGTGTGGACACTCTGTATCTAGCTAATCCGGTGGGGTTGTGGAGAACGTTTGTTTCTAGCTCAGGGATTGTAAATGCACCAATCAGTGCCCTGTCAGACCACTCGGCTCTACCAATCAGCAGCATGTGGGTGGGGCCAGATAAGAGAATAAACGCAGGCTGATGAGCCAGCAGTGGCAACCTGCTCGGGTCCCCTTCCACACTGTGGAAGCTTTGTTCTTTTGCTCTTTGCAATAGATCTTGCTGCTGCTCACTCTTTGGGTCCACACTGCCTTTATGAGATGTAACACTCACCGCGAAGGTCTGCAGCTTCACTCCTGAAGCCAGCGAGACCACGAACCCACCGGGAGGAAAGAACAACTCCAGACGTGCCACCTTAAGAGCCATAACACTCACCGCGAAGGTCCGCAGCTTCACTCCTGAGCCAGCGAGACCACGAACCCCACCAGAAGGAAGAAACTCCGAACACATCCAAACATCAGAAGGAACAAACTCCGGACACGCCACCTTTAAGAACTGTAACACTCACCGTGAGGGTCCGCGGCTTCATTCTTGAAGTCAGTAAGACCAAGAACCCACCAATTCCGGACACAGCATCATCCTCTAGAATACCTTTCTGTAAATGCCCTACCGGACTAATCTGTACTGTTGGTCACTACATAGTTAATGCAATGGTTTCTCATCCATGTGGCTCACATGAACACCAAGAAGGCCATTTGGCTTAAGGAGCAGAAAGGCAAATCTATAGCTCTGGTACTGCCTAATTCTTACTGTGGCTGAATACCACAGGAGTGGGTACGAATATCCCTTCCTTTATATATTGTTCCAAAATCTTTGGTGAAAATGAAATTTAAAAGAGTAAAATCTAATCCCATGTTTATTGAAGGAAGTAGTTCTTCAGAGGAGAATATAATGGATATTGGGGTTGGGGGATTGCTTTGGGAGTTTGGATTTTATAGAGGGGACTGATTATGGCCAGGATTCCTAAAGGGGCAGAGTCTGAAGTCTCCCAAAGATGACCAATAGGCCAAATGACTCATTAATAGATTTGGGAGTTTCTAAGGACATTTGTAGTTTCCATGATTGAAGACAGCAGGAGATCCTTAAAAATCAACATTTACTGCATAACCGGTGAGTGACAAGTCCACCCCAAGATGTGGGTTTTGCAGAACGAATAGGCCCCCAGGGACTCACATTATAGTATCCCTTTTCCTACATCTCCCATAAGCCACTAAGAAGCATTGATGAGCAGGGAGGGATCTAAAAAGGGTGTCAACCAGGCACCACAGAAATCAGAGAAGGGAGATGTGTGTAGGAAAAAATATTATAGAACATGGTAAGCGCTCCGAAACATTATCTTAGTTGGCTCCCAATTTCTATTTGGGAGAGAATATGATTCCTCCTTTAAAAATGGGGAAACTAAAGCGCAGAGACTTGCCCAAAATTATGCAGCTAGTATCACAGAGCCAGGATACAAATAATCTACACACATATGTTGTATATAGAAAGGTATATTAGGAACAGGTGATCTGTGTCAAATCATCACTCAATCATCTACTAGCTAAAGTCTAGTTACTGAATTTCTCTGAGTTCTTAGTTAACTCTTACACAAAATAGGGCTGTCTTATAGAAACCAGGTTTACGATGAAGAAGAGATAAGAAACAAAGTTACTAGTTTGGTGTTGGTCACATAGTAGATGCTAAAAAGACTGACTTCCTTCCCTTCCTGCCTCATCTCCCCCAAGATGGCTCCATGCTGGAGGCACAAAACAGATGTTTCTCTCAAACAAATTACTTTACTTTTCCAAGACTTAATTTCCTCACTTATAAAATAAAGATAATGGGGGCTATCTATTTTATAGAATTGTTGTATCATTTATTTTATTTTTTATTTTTTATTTTTTTGAGATAGAGTCTCATTCTGCCATCCAGGCTGGAGTACAGTGGCGTGATCTGTGCACTGCATCCTCCGCCTCCTGGGTTTAAGCGATTCTCCTGCCTCAGCCTCCCAAGTAGCTGAGATTACAGGTGTGTGCCACCACGCCTGGCTAATTTTTGCATTTTTAGTAGAGACAGGGTTTCACCATGTTAGCCGAGCTGGTCTTGAACTCCTGACCTCAAGTGATCCACACACCTTGGCCTCCCAAAGTACGGGGATTACAGGCATGAGCCATGGTGCCTGGCCTGTTGTGGCATTTAAATGAGATGATGCACATTAAGTACATAGAATAATGCATAGCACATGCCTAGTGCTCAATAAATGTTAGCTATCATTAATAATAACAGAAATGAACATTCAAGAATCTAGGGTTCTTGGAGTCAGAGGGACAATGTGCCTACTCTTTGATTCTGTGCCTTGCAACTGGCAGCCCTTTAAAGCTGAGTTGGGGAAGGCCCATGCCCGGGAGGAAGTCTGGAGGCCCCAGGGGGAAATTGGGCTGTTTGGATCACCCTGTTTTATCTCCTGTGCAGGGCATACAGCTCTTGCCAAGGAGATGGCAGGATTTTCTTTCAAATAAAACCGAATTTTGCATAGTCCTCAGAAGAATTTTTTCTTCTGTTGCTGAATAGAGCTTCTAGAGGGCTTTTTGCAGGAGTGAAGAGAATGAAATAGTTGACTTCTCTATCCCAGCTCCTGGTTTAATAATTAGACATTCCGGGAATAACTGCTTTGGCAGAAGTCAGCTACATTTTATTTTGACAGGGAGAGTCTTTTGTTTTCCCTTTTCTTCCTGTTCCGTCATACTCATGGAAGAAAGTATTCAGAAATTTGGAGTTTTTGTAACATATTTCACTGCTTAGGGCTATAATGTATGGTAAAATATTCCTTAAAGGTCACAGTGAGAAATATTTTATGGTGGAGAGATTATTGGAAAGACCAGCTTCCAGTATAACCCAGACAGTATCTACTTGGGATATCTTAAAATTAAAGCTATATTATAACTTCTTCAGATTTTTATTCTATCTTTGGAATGGGGAGCTAACACTGCAGAGTTTAAAAAAGGCAGGAGGGTGCAGGGCGTGGTGGCTCCTGCCTGTAACCTCAGCACTTTGGGAGGCTGAGATGGGTGAATTGCTTGAGCCCAGGAGTCTGACACCAGCCTGGGCAACATGGCAAAACCCTGCCTCTACAAAAAAAAAAAAATGCAAAAAATTAGCCGGGCGTGGTGGTGTATGCCTTGCCTGCAGCCCCAGCTACTCCAGAGGCTGAGGCAGGAAAGTCCTTTGAGCCCTGGAGGTCGAGCTACAGTGAGCCGTGATCATGCCACTGTACCCCAGCCTGGGTGACAGAGCAAGACCCTCTTTCAAAAACAAACAAACAAACAAATGTGGGAGGGCATTGAAGCAGAGAGACCAAGGCATGCATTCCACCTTAGCCATTAAATTGTCCCTGGCAAGTTATTAAAAATCTGTGATCCTCGCCATCCCCATCTGGAAAATGGCAGTAGTAAGCCCAACTTTGCAGGGTGGTTTGGAGAATGAGGGGACATTTGTAAAGCTCACAATGTGGCACATGGTGATTGCTCAATACATTTAGATAAATATTAGGTCCCTTCCCCAGCCTCCTCCAGTGCTTTATAGTTGAGTGCCCATGGGCAAGTCTCTGAGACTTACTGGTCTCAGTTTACCCATCTGTAAAATTAAGGGGCTTAGCCAGCTCTTCACACACTGTAATTTGTATCAGGCCTGAAAAGTCTCTGAGTCTCTGATTCTTTATGTTGTCGTCATTCAATGACGCTGAATTGAATTAGCTCCAGGTGAAAGGTGGAATGACCACAGGTATCTGGGTGGCGTGGGCAGAGTGACTTTTGACTGGGCCTGAGGAACTTTCAAGTTAGAGGGACTCAGGGTAGGTAACATCCTGAGTCCTTCTGGCCAGGAGAACAGCCCAGGGAGATTCAGCCCAAGCCCTACATGGAGTTCCGAATAACCAACCAGTTCCAGGACCAAGCTAGGCACTGGTGACAGATCCAGACTATTGTATTACTCAGCTTCCTTTTGGTGAGAAGCAGCAGAAACCCTACAAAAACCAGTTGGAACCCTGTAAAAATCAGCATAAAAGGGACTTTATTGTCTCATTAATCTTGGCAATCAAAGGGCTAGATCCATACACTACTGGATTGAGGACCTCAAATGATGTTGTCAGGGCATTTTATCTCTACATCTTTTTGTTCTTCTTGTCTGTCTTTTTGAATGTTGGTCTTATATTTTTCCTCCTGTTTCTGATAGATTTTCTCCGCCTGAGAGCCAAGCTGGATCTTGGCAGACCTAGGCTTGCAGACTTTGGCTTACAGTGCCATAGGGATACAATACAGTGCAATACAGTAGAATACAATACAATACGATAAGACACAATACAACAGGAATAGAGGTCTTCTCTCTCCCCTTGTCCACATGTCAGTCCTGTGGAAGGGCTCTGATTGGATTTTGTTAGCTATGTGCTCATTCCTTGCATGAGCATATGGTAGCATGTAAATGGCATGCTACAGTGCTCAAAATCCAATGCTCCAGTGTGACCGGGAGCCAGGTGGGCATTGTGATTTATAGTCTGATGATATTTGATGATATCTTGGTGAAGCTGCCATTCACCAACACAAAAAGATGTGCCAGACAAAAACCAACACGACCTGAAGAGATGCTCATGACAGGAGGAGGCTCAGCAATAGAAATAAATCCCTGTTTTGGCCCAGTTTCCTGTCCACTCAGAGACGCTGTGACTCTCCAGAGACCGCTGAGAAGCACAGCAGTGTACCCCCGGGTCTCACTTCCAGGAATTTGACTTTTTTTTCTATTAGTAGCTTCCTCTTTTCAATATCTTATTCACAAACATTACATGTCATTGTCCATCACTGATGTTTATCCAGTGTCAAATTCCTCACCTCCACTGTGCTTTCATTTCTCCTGCCTGCAAAACTCCAAGTCAGCCAAACCGTCCCATTTCTCCAGGCTTACAATTGGACTTCTGGGCACTCCAGGAGGTAGTCACAGGTCTGCACTGGCAAGTGCCACTATAAATTCATGGCCTCCAACTTCAGGCAGGCTCCATTCCCAGGCAGCTCTTTCATCCACTGTGGAGACAGTGGCCATTTTAGAACATCCTCCACTTGCTGATTATTCTGTTTCTCCTGCAGATCCATTCTCTACCTATGTCTTTTCTGTGCCCTGATTGTCCAACCTCTACAGACTATCATCTGGCTCCCTTGGCCTCTGGCTTCCTGTTGGGCTTGGCCAAGGGAAGCACCAGCAGAAGAATGAGAGGGCAAGAGGAGAGGAAAGTTGAGCTGCTTATGTTCTGGCTTCCTCCCTGCCTCACCTCCTGTTTGCCAAGAATAAAACATGTTCTATCAAGCTCTGAATGGGTAGCATATCTGTTTAAAAGATCATATCAGCCGAGCGCAGTGGCTCACGCCTGTAATCCCAGCACTTTGGGAGGCCGAGGCAGGCGGATCATGAGGTCAGGAGATCGAGACCATCCTGGCTAACACGGTGAAACCCCGTCTCTACTAAAAATACAAAAAATTAGCTGGGCGTGGTGGTGGGCACCTGTAGTCCCAGCTACTTGGGAGGCTGAGGCGGGAGAATGGCGTGAATCTGGAAGGTGGAGCTTGCAGTGAGTTGAGATCACCCCACTGCACTCCAGCCTGGGGGACAAAGCGAGACTCCGTCTCAAAAAAACAAAAAAAACTTGAAAAGTTATATTTCAGGAAGAAAATGAATTAAGAAACTGATTAGTTTGTCAAACATTGTTAATGCCAACATTCCACAGTTACTTTTTAGTTATAACTCACAAAAGAAATCAATGGGAAAATTTAAATATGGTACGTCAGCACTTAATAGAGTATGCTGTGGTCAGAATGGCATCAAGACAAAGGAAGGCATGTTCCATGTACCATTGAGGCAGGAAGCAGTGTCTTAAGAAGCTCAAGGCTAGAAGCAGGTCTTAGGGTTTGAGACAAGGAGAATTCACATATAGTCTTATTCTATTAATAGAAGAGTCTGTGCTGCATTATGGGGAAATTACTTGCCCTGGTTTGAGTTTTATTTCCATCCCTACTCCCACTCTCCCTTCCCCCAACCCACCTGGGACGATCTGTACTAATCCTGCTAACCACTATTTGTCTGGAGGAAATTTTATATAGAAAACATATGCATTTGACAAAATCAGGCACGTTTAGGGTGGTATGGCCGTAGACAAAGACATATGTATTCTTTAACAGGCATGCAGCTCAAGTTTGAAGAGTTCCTATTTTTCAAGTAATGAAAATTGTGGAATAATAGTGAAAGAGCATGGATTTTGGAATCACTCAGGGATAGATGCACTTAGAAAAGTTACTAAAACTCTGTAGGTCTCAGTTTCTTCTGTACCACTCAAAAATTATGGCTTCTTCACCCTGTTCAGCCACTCCATACACACAATACCCCAATATGTGCAAACTAAAGCCTCAAACTTCGATGTGCATACGAATCAACTGAGACACCTTATTAAAATGCAGATCCTGAATCAGTAGGTCTGGGGTGATTCTGTGTTTTGTTTTTTTTGTTTTTTGTTTTTGGTGGAGTCTCACTCTGTTACCCAGGCTGGAGTGCAGTGGCACGATCTTGGCTCCTGGCAACCTCCACCTTCCAGGTTCAAGTGATTCTCCTGCCTCAGCTTCCCAAAGAGCTGGGATTACAGGCATGCACCACCATGCCTGCTGATTTTTGTATTTTTAGTAGAGACAGGGTTTCACCATGTTGTCCGGGCTGGTCTTGCACTCCTGACCTCAAGCAATCCGACCGCCTCGGCCTTCCAAAATGCTGGGATTACAGGTGTGAGCCACCACTCCCGGCCAATTCTGCATTTCTAATAAGCTCCCAGGTGCTGCCCAGGCAGCTGGTTCTTGGAGCACACTTTTGAGAAGCAAAAACTCCTTGTATGGATAATCTGAGTGTGAAAAGAAAATGAGCCAGTGTTTTTTTTATAGCAACTGAAAGTTCCACAATGTGCCCTAGCCTTTTCCAGGACTTGTTACAGGAATGGTGGAAGTGCTGTGAGCAGCTCTGAGGAGTCTGCAGCCCCGCAGATGCTTGGGTCCCTCTGGTTGCTTTATTCTTAGTGTGGTCAGGTCTGCTGCCCCTACTGGCCCTGTCTCATGCCTTCTCCTAATTTATGTTGTAACTAATCACAGCACCTTAGCCCTCTTATTGTGCCTTAAATAGTTATAGGGGAACCTCTATGCTTCCAGTCTCCTTACCGTTAACCAGCCTGTGCAAAGTGTATCCTAAATCAGGCCACTGACATTTTGGAATAAAGAGTTCCCTGGTGATATGGCCTAAACTTCACAGGTACTGGGTCATCACTGTACAAATCAGCTTTTAGAAGCTGGAAAAAAAATTGGGTCAAATGCTTCAATGTGCATTACATTTAAATAAAACGTGTGGATGCTTTGACACATTTTAAAAACACTCTAGGTGTTAAAATGGAAATAATATAACAATGAATGACAAGATGTTTCATTTATCGCTTACTATGACTAGATGCTTTATATTCAATATCTGTAATCCTCACAGAAACATTGAATCTGTACTTTTGTGCCAGTGGGGACACAGGAATGCGGAAAGGATCAATTACTTGCCTGGTTTACACAGCTCATATGCAGCATAGCCTGGGTCCACCCGCCTCTGTCTGATGCCTGTTAAACACCTTCTGCCTCTCCAGATTAACAGTTCTCTCAGGCACCCTTTTCATTAGACAACCGCTTCCCTGAACGCATGCATTGTTTTAGTTTTGCTGTTTACTTTCTCATTCCCAATATTTGTGGTTTTTATTAATAAGGTTCCCCTTAAGGCAATGTGATCATCATGTTGGAAAATATTAGTGGGAGGTTTCTTTGAAATATTTAGTCAAGTTTAAACCCTACACAAAATGATATTCTTCTATGTCAGGAATGGGTGACAAATGAAGTAATTTCTTTTTTCTACCAGGTAGCAAGGCAGTATCAGTGTATAAACGGTGGGAATAATGCATCCAAAATGTGGGTCGTTATTTGTTTTTTCACTGTAGGGCTGAAGAAATATTTAAGTTTGTACTGAGTCACACATAGCCTCAGTGTGTTATTTTTATTGGGAGTGATTGAATTTTTGAGACTGAATTTATTTGAGTGATTGAATTATGAATGATTGATCAGTCCCTAGGATTGAAACTAAGGCAACATTACATAAACAAGAAATGGACCAAAGTAATCACAGCATCAAAACTCTGACAAGGGAGAAACGGATTTAGATATTGGACCCCCATAATAGTTTTTGTGAATTAGAAATGCCCTTTGAGTCTATTAATAAAGAGCATTTCAAGTTTTGAAAAAAGAACTTTGAGAACATTATAGCAATAAAGGGCACTAGTTGGGCCAGGCTTACTGATAGTCTGACATCCCAAATGTTTCCTGTAAGATCACAAAATGTCATCGATTCTGGTTGCCTGATCATTATCACAACTTGTCTACCTTTAAAAACAAGAAAATAATTTCTTCCCATTTTACACACTCTCTACTTTTCCTTTTTGGGATCATGCTCAGTTCTTTTTCTCTTCCAAAGGAGAGGAGGTGGTGAAGAAGCAGATGATTTCTATAAGAGGCTGCTAAAGGCTCACAGAGAATATTATTTTTTTCTTGATGTTTCTTTAAAGCAGTGATAGCAAGGACAGCATAGCCTTTAGCACATATTTTGCTGATGGCTTCAGTGTGTTTTCTTTATTTGCCAAACACTTAAATATTTTTAGAGAGAGTTGCTCCATGCTTTATAAATAGCGATGTTCTAAAACTTACCAAGATGAACTGTGTTTTCTTTCAATGATGATGTTCTAAAAGAAATGTGTGGCATATTTATGCAGCAAAAATGCTGTAAAAATACAAAGCAACTCCTTACACAGCGATAGGTTTGTAAAAGGCGATAAAGATGACCAACAGTAATTCATGTTTAGCAAATTAACAGGAAAGAAGAAATCTTTTTTTCTTTGCCTGCACCAGACGGGTAAGGAAAAAATCCAAGGCATTAGCGGAGCAAATAGCCAGTGTGCTATCTACCAATACCATTAAGTGAGAGTGAAAGGAATTGATCTCTCGAAACATAGTTAATGCACAGAGTTCTTTCATGGCTGGAAGGATTCCATACTCTTCGTGTGGGAAAATACCCTTCTCTATGCTTTTGGGTGGTGGTCCTTGAGTCAGCAGCTGGGGGACCTGGAAGGAATATATGGACAGTGAAACACAGCATCAGGGTTTGAGTCCCTGAAAGCTGCTTAAAGTAGAGCAAGTCATACAACCTATTTGGGCTTCCATTTCCTCATCTAAAAATGGAGAACGAAATGAGAATACATGTAAAAATGGTTCAGATCCCAAACTAGATGGGTATTAGTTATTGTGATCATTATTGCTGTTATTCTGACTGTATGTAGCAGCCCTGGTTTGAACTTCTTTGTGCTGAGATTTGGAGGTCTGTATCCTCATGCTCCTCCCGCTAGGCTCTGCCCATTATGGTCTATATCTACAACCTGCTTGTCTGAAGATGTGTGTGTTTTACTTACTTGGGAATAGTCTGATGTTCTACTAAGTTCAGAGGATGCAGGGGACATTGGAAACAAATGTGGATCATCTTAGAACGAAAATTGAAATAATTTTACATTTTACACATCATAGTGGCCAGGAATACAAAAACATCACTCATTCCTCAGTGTCTAGCTCATGAAACCTTAATTCGCATTGATTACAGAATAAAAATTCTGGCAATTCAAGATAAACAGTCACCTTTGAAGGTAAACTCAGTCAGTTTTGGATTCTCTCCTCACCTCCCTTCTCCATAGGGGTGATCTGTGATCTAAGCCGGGGCAGAGCACCTGGTCTGTGTGCCATCCTCAGTCCTCAGGGGCCCACATGACAGGGCTGCTAATCCATGCCCCCGGGATGAAACTTTCTCCCCTCACATCTGTGGGCCTCCAGGGCCCCATTTGTGCACTTCGTATCCCCTTGATCTCGACCCCAGCTTTCGCAGCTGCTGGCTTCCTCAGGCATTCCTGCATGACTTTTGATGGCAGGGACCGCTGCTAGAGAAACGTTTGGATGCTGTCCCACATCATGCTGGGGGGATGCGTAGGATGATTATACCTCCTGGTTTGCAGAAGACTTTGCCAGTTTTTGCCTGTTGTCTCTATGTGACTATTAATAGCCCTCTTCCTGCTCAAAAGTGTCCCAGTTTCGCAGTACATTCTACAATTGCTCAGGGTACAAGACTCAGGGAGGCTGCCCTCAGGCCTACATTGCCATAATCTTCCACTTCCCTTTCACGTAGATGCTTCCTTGGACACAGGGTAGGTCAGGCCCAGTGGCAACTCAAACCTTATCCAGTCCACTCTGATCCTTTCATCCTGCCTCAAGTTTCTTTTTTGCCTAAGGGAAAGGAGAGAAGGAAAGTAATACTTACATAATCAAATATTATTCTCCACTCCATGCCTTTACGCTCTAAGCTTTCTCCTTACTATTTTTTTTGTGGTTATTCTACTGTTTTAATAGAAACATATCTGTTCAAACTATAAGTTACTTCTAATCATTCAGTCTTTCAGGGAGCATTAGAAAAAAACATACATAGTAACGAACACTGAGTTCAGGCCCAGGTTCACATAGTTTGTTTTACTTTCAGGAAATCCAGAACCTCTAGGAAATTATTATATTATGAAGAAGTTAAATTTTATAAGCTCTTTCCCTCAACTTTGGCTAAATGCAACCATTTATATAGCTACATTTAGAAAACTAAATGCAGAAAACTAAATGATCATGAAGCAGAAATGTAAAATGGTAGATTTATTTTAATCTTTACTCAAGAATGATGTTTAGGGGTGGGGTGGCTCACGCCTGTAATCCCAGCACTTTGGGAGGCCAAGGCAGGTGGATCACCTGAGGTCAAGAGTTCGAGACCAACCTGGCCAACATGGTGAAACCCCGTCGTCTCTAATAAAAATACAAAAAATTAGCTGGGCATGGTGGAGCACATGCCTGCAATCCCAGCTACTTGGGAGGCTGAGGCAGGAGAATTGCTTGAACCTGGGAGGCGGAGGTTGCACTGAGCCACGATGGCGCCATTGCACTCCAGCCTGGGCAACAAGAGCAAAACTCTGTCTCAAAACAAAACAAAACAAAAAGAATAATTATATTTAAACAAAGCTCTTAAAATAACAACGTGGTTAAAAAACAAGATGAATCAGTGCTGAGAAGTTTCTTACTTACGGAGTCATTCTCAGGAAGCAATACTTAAAATCTTAAACTGTAAACTTTTAGCTTGCAACGTTTTGATTTTTCCTGTATTTTGCAAATTTCTCAGTGCCACTAAATATATTATCTACTATTTCTTCTTAAAGAACTAATGTTCATAAAAAGGATCATCATCGTCATCCTCATCTGATTCAAAATCAACCCCTTTCAATACTTGGCTCTGGGACATGTTTTTGCTGGATGATGTGCTGGACCACTTTTGATGTGTCTGTGAAGTGGTAGGAAAAATGTCTTCTTCCATATCTGATTCATCTACCTCAATCACCTCTGAATAATTTTTAGTGACATTTTGGGAAGGCTGCTGTCTTGTAGATTTAAAGGCTTCTGTAATAGACATATTTCTAGATGCTGGCACCATGGTCTTTGAGTTCCTGCTATGAGTAGAAGTCTCCAGACCAGGGCCTGCTCTTCCTCTTTGAGACCCTCCTCTGATGCTGAATTCTGTCCTCTTCCTCCTCTTCCACCTCTTCCTCAGCCTCTTTGTTGGTTGCTGCTGAGATGTTAACATCAGAGTCATTAGCCATCTGTTCTGCTAAATCTATACTCATAAGGTCATCAGCACTAAAGGCAGAAGCAGGTTCCTCTGATTGAGATCTGAGACCTCTGGCCCTGTTAATAGCCTCATGGACGTCATCATCTTCACTAGTATTTTTTTGTCTGTTTTCTCTGAATCGACATACTTCCTCATTGATTTTATCTTCTAGGGCATCAATATGACGTTCTTAAAGAAAATGCTGTGTTTTTTTTTTTTGTTTTTTTGTTTTTTTTTGTGTTTTTTTGAGACAGAGTCTCTCTCTGTCACCCAGGCTGGAGTGCAGTGGTGCGATCTCGGCTCACTGCAAGCTCCGCCTCTCAGGTTCACGCCATTCTCCTGCCTCAGCCTCCCGTGTAGCTGGAAGTACAGGCGCCTGCCACCATGTCCAGCTAATTTTTTTTCTATTTTTTAGTAGAGATGGCGTTTCACTGTGTTAGCCAGGATGGTCTCGATCTCCTGACCTTGTGATCCACCCGCCTCGGCCTCCCAAAGTGCTGGGATTAGAGATGTGAGCCTCCGCGCCCAGACGAAATTGCTGTGTTTTTTACAACTGGCATTTCATTAATTCCTCAATGGCATCTTTCTCCTCCTTGTCCACAAATTCTTGTACTGCTTCACCCATCCCTCTTTCTGTTAGCAGTGAGAGTGGCACATTCTTCTCTTCAGTTTGAAAATACTGTTTTACAAGATCTTCTACCCTTAAAGTTGTTCCTTCTGAAGAAGGTTTTGCGGTAAGTTTCCCAAAGTTGATCTCTTCCCCTGTTTTTTCCTTTTGTTCTCTATGCCTGAAAAAATGGATAATGTCTTTTGGATTAGCTACCCGATGTACAAATTTCTGGCTAAAGCGAAGAACGTTGAAAGGTTCAAAACCTCCACTATAGTCCACTCGCAGTGGTATAAGAGACTTCTCTGGCTGGCAAGAATTACCTAGATGTTCCCATTTAGCATTTTCAAGCATTTCTTCAATCTTCGCCAAACAGAAGCTTTGTATGGCTTGGTTTACTTTAGGATTATCTGGGTTAAAAAATGGATGATTAGCCAGAACAACATCCTCTATGAAAAACTACCGCACTGTGTGAAGAGGAATTTTCTGCATATTCATTTTTCTTCCTTTAATACACAGGAAACCAACATGTTTCTTTACAGCTTCTCCTGGGGAAAGAGAAGTAACCACTGAGCTTCCAGGTTGTGAGGTATAAAATAGTTGTTGTTCATTTTTGTTTTTTGTTTTTTTTAGATGGAGTTTCACTCCTGTTGTCCAGGCTATAGCACAATGGTGCGATCTTGGCTCACTGCAACCTTCACCTCCCAGGTTCAAGTGATTCTCCTGCTTCAGCCTCCCACGTAGCTGGGATTACAGGCATGTGGCACCATGCCCAGCTAATTTTGTATTTTTAGTAGAGACGGGGTTTTACCATGTTGGTCAGGCTGGTCTCGAACTCCTGACCTCATGTGATCCACCCACCTTGGCCTCACAAAGTTCTGGGACTACAGGCATGAGCCATTGCGCCTGACCTGTTGTTCATTTTTGGTTGGAGCTATTTTACACTCATGTGCATGGCCCCAGATAACAAGATCAATGAAGTCATCCAAAAATTGTTCTGGACTGAAGTTAGTACTTAGCCATGTTTACTTCTGTAATCACAAATAATCACAAATAAGTTAAACCAAGAGTTCTCATCTTCTTTTGATCTCAACATTGTTATTTCTTATTGACAAACATTCGAGAGAGCCTTTCATCTGGAATGGATCCTAAATCATAGAGTGCAATGTTTGTGCTTCCTTTTTGAAGCAAAACCAGACTAATGTCTATCTTCTCCACGGACATTGAAAGTCCAAAGTGATTTACAAATCCAACACAACTTAAAATGTCCAGGGCACAGCGTGCATCTGCCCCCATGGGGTCGTCATGATTACCATGAATACTAAACACTGGAATTGAAATGTTGAGATTGCCATCTTGATAGTTCACCCATGGAAACTTACTAAAACCAAAGTTGACTGATTGATCACTGAGAATTTCAAACTGGACAGGCCTATCACCCATACAACATTTTCTTAATAACTTGAGGCAGGTATGTAATGTTTTCCTTGAGGGCTTTTTTCATGAAAAAGATCACCACCTAACAAAATAAAATCCACTTCATTTTCCTGGGCAAGTTTTAAAATTTCATCAAGCGTTACACATGTATCATTTCCTCTGACTACATCTTTCTCCATAAATCCAAGATCAATATCTGTTGCAACTAAGATTTTAAACAAGTTTTAATCATCAAGTGCTTCTGCAGGACTCATTTTTATGGTCAGTCAAGCTCCTCTGGGACCAAGTTCTTCTCCAAGAACCCCTGGGTCCTGTACTCAAATGTCAGAAAATTCACTCGATTCCAAATTCTAGAAATTCCCACTCCTGGCCTCTTCAAAGCCCCACCCATCAGGACCCAAGGCTGTCTTCTTTCCAGGAAGAAAGGGTGGGATCTGTGAGAAGAAAACAGCATGGTCGGAACTTGCCTCTGAGAACCCGCAGGGCCATAAACCTGAATTCTCTCCTTACTATCTTAACAGAAGTTTCTAGAAATCAAAACAAAACCTTTCTATTTCAGGTTTCTGGTTCCACCACCGGCCTTTAAGATATCTTGTTGATGTTAAGGGGAGAAATCCAACATCATGTCGAATGTTGCTTCAGGATGCTGAAGGTGTGTGTGAGAGGTGGACTAAGGGCAAGTGAAAGGGGGCAAGGCATACATTAAAGGAAGCAAAATAATCCAAGACAGCAGTAGATGACTTGTTACCAAGCCGTGTGACTGAGGTGACCACATTAGTTCAGACAGTAAAGGGATGAGAATAGCAGTGAAGGAAATTCTTCCTCCATACTGTGGTGGCAGAGGAGGCCTTATGATAGCCTGGAATTTCAATGAGAAAACTGTAAATTGGGTAGGTAGAGTTTTTCATAGGGGGAAAGGAAAAGAAATATAAAAACAAGGAGGCATAAAACAATAGGTACTTTAAACGAACAGGAAACAAAGCAGAAGTAAACCAAAATAGTTGAAACTCATTCTTTGTGCAGAAAAACAGTTGGATATGGCCGGGCATGGTGGCTCATGCTTGTAATCACAGCACTTTGGTAGGCTGAGGCAGGCAGATCACCTAAGGTCAAGAGTTCGAGACCAGCCTGGACAATATGGTGAAACCTCGTCTCTACTAAAAATACAAAAATTAGCTGGGCGTGGTGGCATGCTTCTGTAATTCCAGCTACTCAGGAGAGTGAGGCAGGAGAATCGCTTGAACCCAGGAGGCGGAGGTTGCAGTGAGCCAAGAGCCGAGATTGTGCCACTGCACTCCAGCCTGGACAACACAGTGAGACCCTGAAATAAAAAAAGAAATAAAGAAAAGAAGGAAGGGAGGGAGGAAGGAAGGAAGGGAAAGGAAAGGAAGGAAGGAAGGAAACCAGTTAGATATAAAGTTGACAAAGTAGGTTGGAGGCCTTCAAAATCAGTTTGGTGGATTTCAATATTATTCTTGGGTACAAGGGAGCCACTGAAGGACTTTGAGCAAGGGAAAGAGACATATTTAGATTTAGATTTCCCTCACCCCATTTTTTAAAGGGAAATATATGTGTCAGGTAGGTAGATTGAATACGATTTTGGTATAATTAGAAACGGAAAGAACAGATAAGGATTTTAAAGTGAGCTTTTATAACTATGCTCAATGAGGTAAAGAAAAATATACTTGCAGTGAATGAAAGATAAGCAATCCCATCGGAATAATGGAAACTGTAGAAAATAACCAGATGACAATTCTAGAACTGATTAATATATTATCTGAAAAATTTTTAAAAGTCACTGAATACACTTACCAGAATGGAGATGACAGAGTGAGCTCGAAGACAGATCAGGTATTATCTAATCTGAAGAATAAAGAAACAAGAATGAAAAAGATGAACAGAACTCCAGGTACAGAGTTGAAAAAAGATATTTTTAGATAAAGAAGAATTTGTTGCTCTTAGATATGTAATGCTAAGGGAAGTTCTTCAGATTGTGGAAAATGATAATAGATGGAAACTTGTATCCTCAGGAAGAAATAAAGAGCGTGAAAACATGGTGAATCCGTGAACAAATACGAAATAACCCTTTGATTACTCCACACCTACCCAGAAAAATTCATCCTCCTGCATCTTCCCAGTCCTGGCAAGTGGCTCAGGCCACGATCCTTTGGGTCATTCTCAACTCCCCTTATTCTTTTGTATTACTTTTCTTGTACCAATCAACCAGGAAGTCCTATCCTTTCTACTTGCAAACTATATATACACATTGAACTCCAGTGTTCACCAACCTGTTCTAAGCCACTCTCATCTCCACCAAGATCATCGCAGTAGCCTTCAAATCACCCTCCTTCTTCCCTTGACTCCCAATGGCCTGGTCTCAGCGCCGTAGCCAGAATGATTCTTTGAATACGTAACTCTGATCATTTCACTCCTCTGTCATAGCCTTCTAAGAAGCTCTCCATCTCATAGCTGGGGGTGGATACATCATCATTTTTATATTTATATTTAAAAATGTATCATTAACCTAGTATTAGATCAGTAGGGTTACTATAGTTTACAATAATGTATTGTGTATTTCAAAATAGCTGGAAGAGAAGAATTTCAATGGTTCTAGCATAAAGGAAAGACAAATATTTAAGGTGATGGATGTCCCACGTACACTGATTTGATCTTTACAAATTAAATGAATGTATTAAATTATCACATGTACCCTGAATTGATGTACATCTATTATGCATCAATAAAATATACATATATCATTTTAAAATGACACATCACTGTGATTTTTATATATATTTGAGAAGACATTAAAAGAACTGAATGATTTTACTATAATAAGAAAGTTCCATTTTTATTATTTATGTAAACAAGATTCTCACAACATGTACCTTTAAAAATGAAAAAATAAAGGGAATAGAATTAATGCTTAATCCTACCTGTCTCAGTCTCCCAACAAATAACATACCTCCATGAACACATGACCTAATTCAGAAAATATATCGCAGCCCTATACAAGCCATTAAAAGACAGATTTCCAAAAAAATTTTATTTTTTATGTTAAGCAAAGTTTATCAAAATTTATAAAATCTGCATTTGATCAATTATGTCTGATTATAGTTGTCAAGATAACACGATCCCTAAGATATCTGATAACAATCTTATGGTCATAAAAAATAATTTAAATTTTTATTTATATTACTTTCATTGCATCAAAATTATTTGACAGGGTCATCTGTGAGACATTTTCAAGTATACAAATATTATATATTAAAATTCTGGGTGAGAAATTGACTGGAAAAAAATAGTTCAGGGAGAAAAAGGAAGAATGTTAAATTTCCAGCTGCTAAAGAAGAGCTTGTTCATGAATTTTTAAAATGGATAATGATAGATATCAAATAGCTATGGGATTTAAATTTCATTGGATACATTTAAGATAGTGATGTAACCACTTTATTTAAAAATACTAGTATGTACAATATGCTAGACATTGCATCCTTTGCAACTACAGTGGTGCATTCCTTAACAACAGGGTTACTTTCTGAGAAATGCCTCCTTAGGCAATTTCATACTTGTGGGAATATCATAGAATGCACTTACACAAACCTAGATGGTATAGCCTATTCCATACCTAGGCTATATGGTAGAGCTTATTGCTACTAAGCTACAAACCTTTATAGCATATTGCTGTACTAAATATTGTAGGCAATTATAACACAATGGTAAGTATTTGTGTATCTAAATACAGAAAAGGTAATGGTTGTACTACAACATTATGATAACTATGATGTCACTAGTTTATAAAAATTTTTCAGCACCATTATAATCTTATGGGACCACCATGATGTATGCAGTATGTCATCGACTGAAATGTCATTATGTGGCTCATGACTACTTAATTTATGATGAAAAATGTTGTTTGTATACCTAAAAGTGTTGAAGTTAATACTTAGCTTTCCAAATTTTTAAAAGGGAAGCAGAAGCAGAAAGTTTGCATTCTACTGATGCAATGGTTTCTAACCTGGAGAATAAATATTAATACTTATTGAATGTTAATAATGCTAGACATTGTTCTAAGTCTCACACATATATTGTTAAATGTTTATAATAAAGATAAAAGTAATGTTCTTATTACTATTGTGCACTATAAAAAATTCCAAAACTTAATGGTGGTAATAAAGCAAACATTATATTTAGCTCACAATTTTGTGGGTTAGGAATTTGGGAAGGGTATGAGTTGGTCATTGTAATTTGGGATGTCTTTTACAGTTGCAGTCAGATGTTGGCTGGGACCACAGTCATCTAAGGATACTGCTCAAGCTGGCTGTTGTCTGGAAACTCAGCTGGGGCTACTGATCAGAGCACCTGCATGTGGCTGTCCAGCAAGGCAATGTTAAGGTAATCAGGTTCCTTACAGAATGAACATCTCAAGAGTGGTGGGTGAAAGCTGCATGGTCTTTCTGACTTAACTGTGAATGTTACATAGCACCACTTCCACCACGTTTTACATTGAAGTAGTGTGAAGCTCATCCAGATTCAAGGGGCTGAGAAACAGGCCCCACCTCTCAATGACAGGAGTGTCAAAGAATTAGTTTTAAAACTGGCACAAGTAGATAATTATCTCTATTTTTATAGATGAAGAAAATAAAGCATATGGGAGTTAAGAAATTTGTCTAGGATCACAGCACTGGTACGTGATGGAGTTAGGATTTGAACCCAAGCAGTCTGACTCCAGAGCAGAGCTCTTAAACACAACAGCACTGCAAGCCAAGGACATTGGGAAGCCCTCTGTCTCTTTGGCTGAATGAGCATAGTGCCCTTTCCACAGTTCCATTGCAGAGCCCCCCATTGAAACATCTCCAAGAATATTAAACTGGGGTGATTATCTCCAGTCTACACTTCGGGGAGTCTAGTTGCTATGCATATAATGTTGCCAGAACTCCTCAATGACTCAAGGGATGGGAGCAAAGAGAGTAGTTGAAGAGGCTGTCGCCTGCTGGTGCTAAAAGTTCCTAAGACCCCACAGCATCAGATGGGACTGACCCTGCTAGTTGGTATCAGTTGCCTCCTTTGATACATGCTTCAGGCTGCACATTACTTGGTGGTTACAGTTCTAACCCTAGACTATCCTGGACAGTAATATCAAACAGGTTTCACCCAAATGTGCAAGAGCCCACATGGCTGTTAATTGGTTAATATTGATATTGGTTAATTAACAGCCATAGGGATCCTCAAAGACCTTTGGCAGGTCTTTGAGAGTGACAGTGGACTAAGGGCAAGTGAAAGGGGGCAAGGCGTACATTAAAGGAAGCAAGATAATCCAAGACAGCAGTAGATGACTTGTTACCAAGCCATGTGACCGAGGTGACCACATTAGTTCAGATAGTAAAGGGATGAGAATAGCAGTGAAGGAAATTCTTCCTCCATACCGTGGTGGCAGAGGAGGCCTTATGACAGCCTATTGACAGACTTTCCAAAAGAGCTAACTGCACTTTCCTATCTCTTTAAGAAGGCATGCTTCTTTCCTCCTTCCTCTCCTGCTCTTCTCAGGGACTCTAAGGACTTGCTATAACTCTACAATTTTTAACTTACGGTTTTGTCATGGAAAGAAAAATACATGCACCTTCCCAAGTTCTTTACATGCAGCAGGCACTGAGATAGTTGATCCAGAAGAGACTTAAGTTGATTGAGGGGGAGGGTGCCTGGTGCTTAACGGGTCACTAAACAACTCTGTGATAGACCCCTAGGTGGACACTGACATCATTATCTCCTAAACTAAAACAGAGTGAGATCCATGGGTGTGTGTGGGTCAACCCCATGCATCTTAACCATAGGGCCATCAGCTTGGCTTTCTTTGTTTCTCCCAAACTAGTTTTCATGTACACTGGGCACACACATACACATCCATGCACATACAGGCTCCCACCATTCCCTCCCACTCTTCTGTTTTTTCACACCAGTTTTGGCCTTCACCTTCCCAATTATCAGATGATTCTCATGGCTTCTATTTGTCAGAAGTGCTGGGAGGGGCAGTTACTGAATCGGTTATGAGGGATTACCATTCTCACATTAGGAATGAAAGAGTGCCTGACATACGTTATGTGGTTCACTGACATTCAAAGAAATATAAAATAAATTTAAAATGTTCAGGTTTGCACAAGAGAAATAATCTTTCCCTTGCATTGATACTGTTGAACTTATTTGAGGAAATTCACATTAAAACTTTTAAAACTCCAAAGGGACTCTAATCAGGAATGGCTAATGAGCCTCCAGAAATCTTTTATAACTCTAACATGATTATCGAATGTAATTTACCAAACCTATATGACCAAAAGTTCAGAGTTGTCACTATTAAATAAAGCAAAAGTCCTAACTTTGCGGAAGAAACAGCCACTGCCAAACTTCAGTATTACAAAGTTGTTGGGAGTTGTTTTTAAAATTTCCGTGTTCGAAGATACCACAGGTATTGGCCAGCTTACCTCTTCACTAGGAAAGGTTAGAGATACATTTTCATCCCAAGCCACAGACTGGGCTCAATTACAGCTTTGTGGCAGGATAAGGTTAAGAGAGGTGGAGTGGGCAGGGACGAGGGAGGGAGGCAGAAGCAGAAAAATCAATTCAGATTACTTTGATGACAGTGACTTCCAGTCTTCTCTGAAAGATCTCCACGATGCTGGCAGCCCGGACAGGGGCAGCGGGGAGTCAGATCTCAGAGGAGAACACCAAGTTAAGGAGACAGTCTGGGTTTTCTGTAGCAGGGAAAGACAAATCTCCCAAGAAAGCCTCAGAAAACGCTAAAGACAGCAGCCTTAGTCCCTCAGGGGAAAGCCAGCTCAGGGCGCGTCAACTGGCTCTGCTGCGCGAAGTGGAGATGAACTGGTACCTAAAGCTCTGCGACCTGTCCAGCGAGCACACCACCGTCTGCACCACAGGCATGCCGCACAGGTAAGCTGCCCCTGCTCTGCGCGGGCTTTGGGAGACGCCGTTCGAAGGTGCTCTGGAGAATGCTTTGATTTCTTTTCCTCTGCAGCTGGAAGTCTTAACGGCTCTAATTGCCTTAGAGATGATTGGCACTTCAGAATGTGTAACCACAAAGAGCAGGATCTTGGTGCAAATGGCAAATAATGTTCCCTGCATTGTTATTCAGAAAAGACCTCTTACAAGGAGGCAGTAGATGCTTAGGAGCTGACAGGACAAAAGAGCATTATGATTTTTCTTAAGTAAAAATCAGAGGAGTTAAGAGATGGTAGGAAAGTGCTCCCTTCCAAAATAACTACAAAAAAGAGTTTGCAATCTTTCAGCATTTCCTTTGCTCTGAGAACTTGGGGATGAGGGAAGAACATTTGTTTTGCCTGGTTGAAAAGTGGAGTTGAGTAGTGTGAACTTGTTGAATGAGGGGTCAGGCTGGCCATAGGGATGCAGAATGGGACATATTGACCACCAATATAGGGATCTGAGCCCCGTGTCTAAGACAGATAACATCAGGAGAAAAAGGTAACTTTTAAAAAAGAGATAAATGTAAGGCAAATCTCTATGGGTTTTCTTTCTGTTCTTTACTCAGCCTCAGCTTCAAATAAAGCAGAGGAAGGATAATTTCACAAATCCCAGTGTTCCAAGGCAAAACGTACTGAGTAAAAAGTGTCTGGAGTCCTGAAATTTAAGGATGCTTATTTTCTATAATTTGTGCAAAAAATCTCTTAGGAATTAAAGATAATTTTGGAAGAAAAAATACTGTGAAAATAATACCTAGAATAGCTATGTTATTAAATGGTAATAAAAATTCCTTTGAGATGAAAAATGGTTCCAATTACGTAGTCAAAGTATGGAAAACTCCTTTTGTAGAGACTGTATGGTAGCACTGAAATTCTGCAATGCAGCCTGTATCAAAGCATCCAGTGCACTCTGAGCTGCCTTTCTGTCTATATTTCTATTTCCAAAAGACACTACAGAAAAACTTATTTAGTAATTGAATTAACTTGTGCATATAGACTAAAAACTTGTACCGTACACTTTAAAACTCCTCAACTAACTTTCATTTTCTCTTTTTCAAGGCAGCAATAAATAGATATTTTAAAACCTAAACTATTATTCAAAAATCAACATTTAAAAATTAGCACAAAATAAAGCTTCTGGAAATGTTCTATGAAATACATTTGGTATTCATGGCCAGAGTGGTTTGTCTGAAGCTCTTGTATATGCTGTTGGGCCCACATTTGGGGTACATGGGAGGAAGACCAAAGGAAAAGTAGTCTCGTTTAAAGAAAGTTTGAATGAGCTTGTTAGTGTTACATATCTCATATTTCAAACTATTACATATCTCACATCTACAAATCTTAAAGCTATTATTAAAGATCCTCTAGGAAAAAGAGTTAAGTGGCAAAGGAAAGCATTGAAAATGGTTTTCTTCCGTAACATTTTCCTTGACTTGCGATATACCAGAAATTTCCTTTAAAGAGTCTAATACAAGACCACAGAATTCTTCATTATCTGACATTGGAACAACATTGAACAAGTCAGAGTGGCATATTAGTTAAGGTAACCAGGTTTAGCAAGAAACTTTTGGGGAAAAGCAAATATCTGCTCTTTTCTGCTTCACTTAAACAATAATATTTTGTTCTGTAATCAGAAAAGACTAGATTAGACATGATCCAGAATTAATGTCTCCTGTGATAATCTGTGGGGTAGTGTTATTAATCACTGATTGACAATAGCATGGTGTTTCCCTTGTTTAGTAAAAGGGTTGAAAAAGAGTGAAGATATGTCCACCTTACATGATCAAAAATTAAAAATTTCCCATCCTCCTTTATTATTGCAGCATGATTATTTCCAGGAAGAAACGAGTATGTGTAGTTGGAACTAACTCTATTTATAAATTAAATACATTTATTACAGAGTTCAATGTTTGCAATAGCTCAGGAAACTAAGGCAGTTTTTCTCATCGCCAGCAACTTTTTTACCTCTCAAATGTTGGAACTACATTCCTCTGTCGAGTCCTTGAGATTCCTGGACAGTGACAATGTCTGATGGTGCAATCTCTTCCAAATTTAATGTTAGCGATAGAATGTACGATCCCCCAAGTCACCCAAATTTTTCTTTCATTTGTAAATGTCAGCCGTTGAGAAGTCCCAGAAAATTTTCTTGGACTTCCAATTGTTCTTTCTTCCAATAACATGGCCCATGAGTGATATCTCCATTAGAAACTTGTATGTAGAAGATAAATATGATTAACTTATAAAATATTAACAAATTTATCCACCTGTGAAGCATTACTTACAAGACAGAATATGAAATGTATTGAAGAGTCCTTGAAGACATTACACATTTGCTATTGGAAATAATTCTGTGGGTCTTTGGTTAATGTTCATCAGTAAGGAATTGCTAGCGAACTCAAACTTGTTTCCTTTCTTGGAAGATGGAATTAAAATATTTTACATCAGGTTAATTCTAGTTCCTGAGGAATTTGAGGATTGCTTTATGTCCATATTCTATGGTAATTTATATTTGAAACAAAGGGTATTATTAAATGATTGGAAGAAAGCATTAGAGTTGGGGGAGATTCAGCAGTCCTGGTATATTTAAGAAGTAAAATTGCAGGCAGCAGGATAGGGAATGCACATTAGGTTTGTGGTAAGTAGTTCTGACTCCTGCTGTATTTACATATGACTATATAATGAAACAATCTAATATACTTTGCTTAATACAGATTTATTGTTCATCTAGAGTTGACTGATAACTCTGTGATACTGATTTTTTTAGAATGACAGCTCAGGGCCCTGCACCTTGAGGGAGGATGGGGCAGGGGCCAGAGTTCTGGAGTTGAAGGCAAAAGATTGGCTTTTCTTCTTACTGCCTGTAACTGTGGGCATGTTTTTTAAAAAAAGTATTGTTTTTGAATAAAATTTTTTTTCTGTTTACAAAAGTAACATCTGAACTTTGTAGAAAAGTTTGAAAACAGGAAAATATAAAGCAGAAAAGGCTACTGTTGTTAATATTTTGACATGCTTTCCCCAGCATTTTGAATTTGGGTCATGGGTAAAAGTCAGAATATGATCATATCATTCCTTTTTTCACTTAATATTACACCAATCTATTTTATTATCTTAAAAACTATTTAAAATTTTGTAAGGACTATATCTTATGACCATAATATTGCTTAGCCATTCTTCTTTTATATACTATTTATCATTATTAGATATAATATTACAATAAACATCTTTGTATCAGATTTTAAAAAACCATATTTCTGCTTATTTTCTTAGGATCTATTTCTTTTCTTTTTTTTTTTTTCTTTTTGAGATGGAGTCTCACTCTGTTGCCTAGGCTGGAGTGCAGTGGCGCAAACTCAGCTCACTGCAACCTCCGCCTCCTGGGTTCGAGCGATTCGCCTGCCTCAGACTCCCAAGTAGCTAGGATTACAGGTGGGTGCCATTACGCCCAGCTAATTTTTGTATTTTTAGTAGAGTTGGGGTTTCACCATGTTGGCCAGGCTGGTCTTGAACTCCTGACCTCAAGTGATCCGCCCGCCTTAGCCTCCCAAAGAGCTGGAATTACAGGTGTGAGCCACCGTGCCTGGCCGAGGCTCTATTTCTAGAAGTGCAATTAATGGATGAATGTATTATATATGTGTATATTTACACATATACACATATACAGAGATATGCAAATATATATTTATTTATTCTTAATGAATATTATCCAGTTGCTTTCTGGAAACATTTTTCTCATTATACCTTCTCACTGGCAATATTCAAGAATGCCTATCTTATTGCTTTCTCTGTACTACACAATGTTTATATGGAATCTTTAACATTGAGTTTTATAGTTCAACAAAATGTTGGGTTATTTAATGAACTTTTCCGGGTCTCAATTTCTTTGACTGCAAAAGGGTGCTAACACCATTATAAAGAATGGTCGTAGGCCGGGCATGGTGGCTCATGCCTGTAATACCAGCACTTTGGGAGGCCGAGGCAGGTAGATCACAAGGTCAGGAGTTCAAGACCAGCCTGGCCAACATGGTGAAACCTTGTCTCTACTAAAAATACAAAAATTAGCTGGGTGTGGTGGTGCATGCCTGAGGTCCTAGCTACTCAGGAGGCTGAGGCAGAAGAATTGCTTGAACCGAGGAGGCAGAGGTTGCAGTGAGCCGAGATTACTCCACTGCACTCCAGCCTGGGTGACAGAGCAACACTCCACTCAAAAAAAAAAAAGAACCATTGCAAAACTTAAATGAGATAATGTGCAGTGATTTGAAAGAGGAACGTGCTTTGTTTTCACACTCTGTAAAATAGGGCTTGAGATATAACCCATACTGTACACGGTGTATTTAAGGCCTATGAAGAAAATTAAGGATGGATGACTCCAAAAATCCCCAACAAAAGTATATACTTCACCTAGCATCAAGAGCTGAGCATCCCGCTGTGCTCAATTAATATTTTATAAGAGACCTTTGTGTGTCCTCACCAAAAGCTTTTTAAGGATTTATAGGATACCACCCTCCTGAGGAAAAGTGACTTGGAGATAGAATACAATGAGCTTTTACATACTATCAGTATTCACATTTCAAACGATAGTTGACTGAACCTATTAAATTGAAGTTACTAGGAACATTTAGTAGGGCAAACTGAGATGTGAGTGAAAATTTAGCTATAGCATTTTGATACTGATTTTGACCACCTTAATGAATGTTTCTTATTATCTAGGACAGTAGTTATACTGAGACTCGCTCCTAATATTTTCTCTCTCTGCTCTCAAAACTGCTTGACTTCCAAGAAAGTGTTTACTCACACTTGCTTCTAGAAGGCTGAATGTGGTTCTATGTGAGAAAAGGCAGTTAGTTTTCCAGGTGAGTTTGGTAGACTTGATTCCTGCCAACAGGCAGCAGGAGATCCAAGAGCTTAGAAGCCTTTGGTTGAGCTTATGAAAGCATCTTAATTGATGCAAGAAGTTTATGCAAGAAGATATTCTTGTTAAGAATCAAGCTGGAGGTCAGTGAGTAAACATTCAACAGCCATTGATTGAGATTCTTGTTTGTACAAGGCCCTGTGACACAAAGATGAAACTAGAAAAGATTCTAGTTGCTTGCAGCCTAGGAGTAATTGGGTATGGACTTGGAAGATGTGCAGGATTTGAGCAGGAGGAGATGGGGAGGGGAAGGCAATCCATGTGTAGGGAAGAGTGAGCAGAGGTGCAGATGAAAGGGGCAGGAAATGAAGATGGAGAGCTGCTTCTGTTCATGAGGCTACTAACAGCATCCTTCAAAGTTTCTTGCAGGCTGGATCTGGGAGTGTGGCCAGGAGAACAAGAGGAGAGGAGGCCATTTGACTACTTTGGAGACTGGGGAGTTGGGCAGAGAGCAGGCGTGGAGGAGAGGCAGTGTGTGCAGGCCACTCTCAAGAAGAGGCAGTGCAGAGGAGAGAGTATGATAGTTGAAGTCTGTAGTAGAGTCTGGGGGGAAATTTGTAGGAGAAAGCTGATCTGTGGATGTTTTTAGGCAAAGGGGAGGAGTCCAGGGGAGAGAGAATGTGTGTAATACAAATAATAGAGCAAAATCGTCCCCATATCCCCAAGGAGGGGGAGCCTCTTGGGTATCAAATGCAGGTATTAGCTTTGGCAAAGTGAAGTGTAGCTGGGCCTGGTGATGAAAAAGCTCTGGAGTCTGGTGGCCTGCAGGCTGCATCTCAGCAGTACCACTTACTAGCCTGGAGGCTCTGGGTAAGCCCCTTGCCTGCGAGAAGCAGTTGGTTTTGGTTGAGGCCACAGATCCTGGAGCTAGGCTGCTGGGTTCAAGCCCTGGCTCTACCAATTATCAGCTATGTGATTTAGTCTTCTCAGCTATAAAAAGTGGGTAATGATGGCAGTAATACCTTAGGGTTGTTACGGGAGCTCAAGTGACTTAAGTAAGTATAGCTCACAGAACAGCAGTGGGCACATATAGTAGTAAATATGATATTATACAAAGGTCTTAGCATCATTCCTGACGCATGATCTATGCCCTTGCTATTATCATGAGATTGTTATTGGAGATGCCAAAAGTAGGGATGCCTCTCTTTTCTGGAGTGTACTCACACTGATACTGTAAATGGGCATAAAAATATCTAGCTCATAAGACTGCTATAAGGATTCCATGAAATGATGTAAATCATCTGGTGTAGATTAGACACTCAATCAATTTTGGTGCTCACCTCTGCCACTTTCCTCTTTTTCCACATTCCTGGAACATAGTGGACAGCATCAGTAAGATGGTATCAGGGATGGAGTATGGAATGGTGGAAGTGAGCTACAATGGAATAACTCTAAATTATTCAACCAATATTTTTTTTCCTAGAAAAAGCTATTAATTCATTTTTTGTTGTTGAAGAGAAAGCTCTTCCTTTTCTAAAATATGATATCTATTTCTTAGAGCAGGCACATTCTCCCTAAGGCTGTAATTCTTGTCATGTTTGCATGAGCAGTCACATAGAAGTATTATTTTCAGAGATATTGGAATATGAGGACATTTTTATGTAGTTTACTGTGATTTTAGTTATATGCTAGAAAGATTGCCTCCTAGCTCATTGTTCTGTTGTTTTGCATATTAGAGAAAATGTTGGACCACTGAATGATTGGGCTAGGAGTGGGAGAGTGAACCTCAACAGGACAGGATTTAGGTAGCCAGAGAAAGTTACAGCATTCTAGTAGCAGCCTCTGGGGAGGGTTAGGGTTGCCATGGCCACTAAAGATGGTGATGATGTCCTTTGACTTGGCCATGAAGCTGCCATTGTCCTGTGTAGCTGCACCACTGGGGTGGTGAGTTGGAAGTAGACATCCCTGGACGGGCACATCCACTCCATGGGAGTAGCCAAATGCACAGGGACTTGGTTCAGTCTGCACCCCTGTGACTGCTTTTTTGGTTATCTTGACAAAACTGAGCCAGTTTCTCAGTTTTAGATTCCTCTTCATTTGGGGTGTGTGTGTGTGTGTGTGTGTGTGTGTGTGTGTGCACGTGCGTGCGCACCTGGTTTCTTCTGAATAACTGTGGACACCTGGAAGGCAGTGCCTCTATCTCAGTCTTCTGACTTGCCCAGAGGGTTCTTTCCTAACTGGACGTTGGTAAATTAGATAGAGCATCAGCTCTGGCTCCTCTTTCTGAGATCTCTCTGCCGCTACAGGGAATGGGCTCATGTAACAGTAGGAAAATTGGTTGAGGGGCCAGGAGACATGATTCAAATCCCATTTTGCAGTATGGTCATAAGTAAGGTTTTTAAAGTTCTCCAGAAATCAGTGCTCCTCTGTAAAATAATGAGACTAGACGAGATGATCCCTTGAGCTTTGTCCAGCTTTGAGCCTGTGGAGTATAATGACATAAACCTGACCAAAGGGGCACACTGTGTTGTTTATAGAGACAGTGCAACTGAAGTATCTCTGAAAGAAAAAGGGGATGAGGTGATACTTTGTTTTGAAGTTGTAGGAGAAGGAGAAAAATTCTCTTTGATTTTCAAAGTGTGTTATTTTAGTGATTGGTTGATTACTGACAGATATGTTTAATTTTTTAAAAAGTGTTCTTTAGTAGAAGGAGACAGAGTAACACAAATACCTACAATTTGTAGTATCCTTGTTTATAAAATGTCTTGTCGTGCATTATCTCATTTGCCTTCACATGACATAGAGCAGGTGTTCTCCTACTTTCCTGTGAGGGAACGTGCCTCATAAAGGCGATGTGCCTGATCATCTAGGCCCAGATCCCAGGTCTCCTGGTTCCTTGTCCAGGCTTCTTTACATGCTTTCAATGTTTCCCAAACTATGGCACTCTAATTGTGCCAAAGATAATTTTGGGGGGCATGTGGAAATTAAATCTTTCAATGGGTTGATAATTTATTTTCATGAATATTAGGAAGAAATATATAACATACACCTAAAATCTATAAATTCATGGCTATGAGAGCAGGGCGCAAGGGTAAGTTTTAAAATAAATGAGTCAATTGAGAGGAAAACATTCACTAACTGTAAGTAGTGGTGGAATTGAGATCTGACAAAAATCCTCAAGGTGATACACAAAGGACTATTTCTTTCATCTCCTTCATAATTATCAAGCATTTATAAAGCATCATGCCTTCTTCCCGGGGCTTTTATAGTCGTTCTGTTTAATTCATACAACAACCTCATAGTCTTGTTACAACCCATATCCTTCAGTGAAGGAGAGTGTGGTTCTGCCTATTCATTTTTTGTCAGTCGTTGATTTTTTTTTTCTTCTTTTCCCATTAAGGGGATGAAATATTCCCTGAGCTACCTCCCTGCTGAATATGCTTAAGTATGTTCCAGGTTATCTTTTTGAGCCTTCGTTATTCTACTCCATATCGAAGGTCAACCTTTCTAGTTCTGTCTCTATGTACCGAATACTCTGCTTCTCTGGGGTGTGGTGATATCATACCATGAGTTTAAAATTTAGCCTTAGCTATACAGCTTAGCTTATTAAAGTTTCACGTTTACTTTTCAGGTTGTTGTGCAGTTGTGGTATTAGCCAGTTAGAGATGTTGTGCCTCTTGCCTCCTCTATAAGTCACCACAGATATATAAACTGGGGACACATTAATATAAGCTCTGATATCAGGCTGACTTAGGTCTAAATTCAACCCCTTACAATCTGTGTGACCTGGAACCTCAGTCTTCTCACCAGTAAAATCAGAATAACAGGGTTACATATTCATAGAGTTGAGAAAATTAAATGAGATAATATCCATAAAAGTTTTAGCACAATGCTGAGTGCATAGGAAGGGGCCTTCAGCAAAAGCCATAATTACTATTCCCCTTTGAAGTGCCATCAGGCCATCTGTTATTTTGCCTCCCTGATCTTCCTTTAGCTAGGAGTCTCTCTATGAGCCCCTCAAGCTTGGGAAAATT